>NC_000016.10:56683712-56986742 GCF_000001405.40 Homo sapiens
TTCCTGTACCCCCAATCACTACCTGTCCAGTCTTCTGTCCTGTCCCAGACTCAGGTGGGGCTGGGCAGCTTTTTCATATAAAACCCTCATCCCAAAGATCTACCAGTTCTCTTCTGACAAAGCCATGCCATCCTGAAATGATGGTCCTCTGGGGCTGGAGGCAGGGCTCGAGCCAGGCCTCTGTTGGGGCAGGGAGGTGCCTGATTGAGTCTGCTCTGACCTCTCACTCTCCCCTTCTTCTCCAGGCTGCTGCTCCTGCTGCCCTGTGGGCTGTGCCAAGTGTGCCCAGGGCTGCATCTGCAAAGGGACGTCAGACAAGTGCAGCTGCTGTGCCTGATGCCAGGACAGCTGTGCTCTCAGATGTAAATAGAGCAACCTATATAAACCTGGATTTTTTTTTTTTTTTTTTTTGTACAACCCTGACCCGTTTGCTACATCTTTTTTTCTATGAAATATGTGAATGGCAATAAATTCATCTAGACTATTCTGGCTCTGGGCACCTCATTTGTCACTGGGTATATGGCACTTGGTTCCAGTTGGATTGTAGGAAACCCAGATTGTGGGGCATTTCAGAGAGGGGACCATGGCAGTGGGGGTCTGGGTGCAAGGTTCCTGCAATCCTGCCTGGCCTTGGCTCTCCTTTGTGAACTATGGCAAACTAGGGGGTTTATTCTACCACCCTCTAGCAACGGTTAACTGGTAGTAGCTGCCCTTTTTGTGTAGCTGTGACACAGCCTATACTCACCAGCCACCTATGGTGCACCTACTGCATACACAGGCATGGGGTCCTCAGTGGTGAGGGGAACAGGGAGCTTATGGACTGCTGGGGGGAGAGAGAATTATAGAATAAGGAATCTTATAAAGGAGAAAGTACTGTGACTGAATGCACTTGGGGTGAGCCCAAATGAAGAACTCTTTCCACTGGGATCTGAGAGCTGCATTCCTGCAGAGGGCACAGCTCCAGCAAAGGTCTGGAAGTGGGGAAGAGTCTGGCACTGGGGGAACAGAAGACCAATGTGTGATTGTGTGAGGGGAGAAGCCCATGTTCCGTTTGGAGAGGGGAGGGCAGAGGCCACGTGCCTCATTCATCTGAAGGATGGCCTCACTGGCTGCACAGTTGAATCACTTGGAGAGGCTGGAAAAGTGCTCGAGCCTGTATTCCACTTCCCCCACCCCTGCAGCCCCCTTTCCAATTTGTTTAGGGCTAAGTGGGCCCAGGGAACCTACCTTTTAATTTTTAATAAGTACCTAGGTTTGCAACCCACTGAAGCAGTCACACGGAATTATTTGGTGAAATAAAATGGCCTCTGCCAGTTCCTCTCTGGTCTCAGGACCAGGAGATATTTTCCATCCCAGTTGGTATTTGGAGCAACTCTCCAGCATGTGGCTGCCTGTCCTGGTGGCCGAGGGAACCTGGAGGTGCCCAGCTTCCAGCTGGCTGTGGAGGGAGAGTCTGGCAATCCTCAACATGTAGTGTGGCAAATGTCTTCATGGAGACCAAACCAAGCTCAGAGGGTAGATTTAAGCTTCCTTGGGGGCTCATGCTAGGGAAACACCACTTCACTGAAGTTGGGTTGGTGTCTGAGGTGCCATTCTCTGGGGAGAGAATCTGACAGAGACCTCATAAGGCATGGGCAGGAGCGTGATGTGGGCACTGCCCTGTTTGTCTGAGATTTGATCCAGAAGCCCTGGTGCCAAAGTCACAAATGCACCCAGCCATTGCTGGTTTCATAACTCTGTTTTGGGAAACTGCAGCTGCCAAAACTCTCAAGGGATAGGCACAAAATGTTTTTGCCAGGTCTGACAAACATGATCATTCAACTTACGGCTTCTTTTCCAAGTCATGTGTGAAGTGGCATCCTGTTCATCCCTCACCCCCAGTCCTGAGCCCCATCTTCTTTGGGGCTGGGTGGGACATGATTATTGTGGATGTCTGTTGGAGAGATTAATGTACAGTCATTCAATTTTTTTTTTGATGTGGCTCTTATTGGAATGCTTTGTTTAATTTCCAGAGGCTTCAGTGTCAAGCACACCATCATGAAACAGCCTGGTAAAGCAGTTAAGTGCGTCAGCTCTGGAGCCAGGCTGCCTGGCTAGACCCACAGCTCCATTAGTTTGTCGAATTATGTGGTCTCTCTGTGCCTCACATTTCTTAACTGCAATGTGGGGACAATAATAGGACCTACGCCATAGAGTTGTGGTGAGGTTGAATGTGGCGAGCACTGTCCCTGGAACATATCAAGTCCTCAGTAAGTATGGGCCAGGTGTGGTGTCTGACAATCAGTAGGCGATCCATAAATGTTCTCTACTTAATTCAATGAGCACTTATGGGACCCCGTTCAGTATGTAAACCATTGTACTGCCCACAGAGAGGTAAGATAATATATAAATAAGAGCCAATTCCTTTGTTGGAGATCTTATTCAAGTCTCTGTTGAATTCAGGGAGCAATTATTTACCACTGCAAGATGCAGCTGCTGGGCTGGGACAGAGAGCCACATGGGGGCTAAAGATTTCTACCGCCAGGAGAAGCACCCATTCCACGCTGACTCTGGGATAGGCTGGGCGTGAGACAGGTTAAGACAGAGGTATGGACGCTTTGGGAGAAGAATGTGATTTAGCTGGGCCAGGGGAGCAGGAGAAAAACATTCACTCGCCTAGGCACAGTGGCTCATGCCTGTAGTTACAACATTTTGGGAGGTGAAGGAGGGCAGATCGCTTGAGCCCAGGAGTTTGAGACCAGCCTGGGCAACATGGCGAAATGTCTCTACAAAAATAAAAAAAAACAAATAAATTAGCCAGGCACGGTGGTGTGCACCTGTAGCCCCAGCTATTCAGGAGGCTGAGGTGGGTGGATCACTTTAGCCTGGACGGTCGAGGGTACAAGGGAGCTGTGATCATGCCACTACACTCCATCCTGGGTGACAGAGCAAGACCCTGTCTCAAAAAACAAAAACAGATTATTTGGTAGAGACGGGGGTCTCACCATGTTTCCCAGGCTGGTCTCAAACTCCTTGACTCAAGCGATCCACCTGCTTGGGCTTCCCAAAGTGCTGGGACTACAGGCGTGGGTCACCGTGCCTGGCTTAATTTTTTAAAAAACTTGTCACTGAATGGACAAGACAGGGGCATTGCTGAAAATGTCAGACTCAAATTTTGATAGCAGCAAGAATAATTTCTTTGAGGGGGAAATAGATGATGAGGAAAGTGTGATTTTGACATTGGTGCCAGTTAAAGAAGATCCAAATATAGAATAAGCGTTTCTTCAACTTCTGATGTCAAACCGGAGAAGCCTAAGAAACACAATAAAGTTCATCTACCTCAAACAAACAATTCACAGCTCCACAAAAGCTAGATGCAAAATACCAGTCTTTCCCTTGCCGACCATTTTGCCTCCCATTAATAAGTTGTGTCGGGAGACTTTGTGGAACTGGTGTCAACAACGAGTTTTGAGTCCTAATGGCAAGAAAATAGAAGTTTATCTGAGGGCCAGGCGTGGTGGCTAACGCCTGTAATCCCAGCACTTTGGGAGGCTGAGGCTGAGGTCAGGAGTTCGAGACCAGCCTGGCCAATGTGGTGAAACCCTGTCTCTACTAAAAATACAAAAACAAACAAACCAACAAAAAAAACTAGCCAGGCATGGTGGTACGCACCTGTAGTCCCAGCTACATGGGAGGCTGAGGCAGGAGGATCACTTGAACCTGGGAGGTGGAGGCTGCAGTGAGCTGAGATCACGCCACTGTACTCCAGCCTGGGTGACAGAGCAAGACTCCATCTAAAAAAAAAAAAAAAAAAAAAAAAGTTTATCTGAGGCTCCATAGACACGCTTACCCTGAACAACAGCAAGATATTCCTGAAATGTCACAGGAGACCAGATTACAGCCATGGTTGAGGAAACACAAGGCATTGACCAAGAGAGCAAGGCTTCAGAAAAGTCATGAGATGAATGAGAAAGCAGAAGAGACTAATACATTTGAAGTGATAACTTCAACTCAGGAAGCCATGTTGGCATCATGGGCAAGAATTGCTGTGAGAGCTGTTCAGCCTAAGGCTGTGAATTCATGTTCTATTCCTGCTTCTGTTGAGGCCTTTTTGAGGTAAGCCTCTGGTGTTGGGTGTCATATGGTCTATGGCAGACTTATCTCGGTAGACACAAAGGGTTGGGTACACCTGCAGTTTCGTGCAGGTCAGGCCTGGGTGCCTACCACTCACAGGAGGATGATTTCTCTCTTCATGTTACCTGCCTGCGTTTTTCCATCCCTAGGCATAGAAGATAATATGTCATGTGCTAACTGTGCTAAGAGGAATAAGAGGATGATGAAAAGATGAATGACAATGGAGAAGCAGCAGCAACCTGTTTGAATACAATGTACTAGAGAAAGAAAGATGTACTTTCGCACCATGTAACATACTATGAAGGAATGGAAGCAAAGACAATTTGAATGAATCCTCATGACCTACAAAACAAAATCATAGTGATTAGGACTCCACAGTGAAGATGGTTGACTAGTGACACAGCCTCACCTAAAGAGCCCCACAGAAAGTGGGTCTGAAAACCCATTAAAATAAAGTTACGGCAACTGGCCTTAACAAAAACAAAAACAGGCCGGGCGCGGTGGCTCAAGCCTGTAATCCCAGCACTTTGGGATGCCAGGTGGGTGGATAACCTGAGGTTAGGAGTTTGAGACCAGCCTGGCCAATAGGCGAAACCCAGTCTCTGCTAAAAATACAAAAACTAGCAGGGTGTGGTGACGCGAGTCTGTAATCCCAGTTACTCAGGAGGCTGAGACAGAAGAATCGCTTGAACCCAGGAGGCAGAGGTTGCAGTGAGCCAGGATCGTGCCACTGCACTCCAGCCTGGATGACAAGAGCAAGACTCCATCTCAAACAAACAAACAAAACAAAACCCATTTACTCATTCACTCATTCATTCATTCACACGGTCACATCTTGGCCACAGCAGATAGAGCATTGATGGGTAGGCTGGACAAAGCAGGAAGCTAACTCTTCTGGAGGGGGCTGCCCTGACATTGCCCAATGTGGATGACAAAGGCAAACTGAACCACTCAGATCCTCTCTTCTGAGAGACCTGAGGGGCTAACAGGGCTGCCAGAGCTCATGATAAAACTGGAGCTGCATCATGAGAATAGTAAAGAACCCACCCTAAATAGTAGCCATGAGGACAATTAGACCAAACCACATGCCTGCTTTTCCGTGGGAACTGCTATATATCTCAGTCCTCTAGGGACCCAGAGAGGCTGAACATCTGCTGACTGGGATCCCAGTGATACCCACCTCCCTTTGAATCCTGAAAGCAAACTCTGTATCAGTCAGGGTTCCTTGGATGCAAGCAACAGAAATGGACTCCAGCTAAATTAGGCAAAACAAATTCATTGGAAAGATACTGGAGACCCATGGAGTCAACTAGAAGGATGGAAAACTAGGCTCAGAAAATGGGTGGTTGCTGTGAGTGGTCAGGTAGCAGGTCATGTCACAGGATCAGCCCGGCTGGGCTGCAGCAGTTTACACAGCTGTCACCACTGCTTCTGCTGTTCCCAAATGCCCCCACCACTGCCATTGGCCACTGGTACTATGAATGAGTTCTAAACTATTCACTGAATTCTTTGCTTCCAGCTTAGGATTCAAAGTCTCAGGAAGTCCACTGGCTGGCAGTGGGGAGGAGAATCTGGCCACCTTCGGGTTCCCTAGTGGGACGTGGGACTCTGCACACCCTGAGACTCACTGTGGAGTTTCTTCCTATACCAGGAAGAGTCCTGGCAGGAGATCAGTGAGTCATTGGGGAGAGTTTAATAAAGGGGTGTTTACAAAGGAGCAGGAAGGATTAAAAGAAATGAACAAAAGATGCAAAGACTCCCAGGCCTGCAACACTGGGGAGCAATTGCCAGGCCCGGGCATGGCTATCCCTGGAACCCAGAGAAAGTAGCTGCAGGAGAGGGTGTCCCAACGGGAGCTGTGACTCTCAGGTTGCCACACAACTCGGTGAAGAGGGAGTCCATTCTGTGACCTCCTCTCCATTCTGTGACCTCCTCTTCTCGTCTCCCATCTCCTGCCAATGCGCTCATTGGCTGAACCCAAACAGATGCTGGCCCTACCACTCCCTCCCTCTCTCTGGGTGGCGGGAGGAGGATGGAGAGTGGGTCTAGAAAATACCCAGCACACCTGCAAATAGGCTGTGTCCCGTCACTAAAGGCCATGTGCGTCTCTTCCTTACACCCTGGGAGAATGGAACTAATCTAAAGACAAATTCAGCTTACGGGGTTGGAGGGGGTCGGGGTGATGGTGGAAGCCTTGTATGGTGGAAGCAGGAGTCAGGGTGGGGTGGAGGTAGTGCAGGCATGTGAGGGCTCTCAGAATGTCTGTCTGCAGATGTGGCTGAGCAAGTCTGCTCAGACTCCCGTGAGGAGTGGAGGTCGGGGAAGAACCTGAATCACACACCTGTGTGTCCCCATGGGACACTTACCTGGCTTCATTTGTGGCATCACAATACCTACTAAGCCACCTTTTTTTTTTTTCCTTCCTTCCAGGTTTCTTTTCTTTTTTTTTAATTTTAGGTTTGAGGGGTACATGTGAAGGTCTGTTACATAGATAAACACATGTCATGGGGGTTTGTTGTAAATATTTCATCACCCACGTATGAAGCTGTTTCCAATAGTTATATTTTTTGCTTCTCTCCCTCCTCCGCCTCCCCTGAGGAGGTCCCATTGTCTGTTATTTCCTTCTTTGTGTTCATAAGTTCTTATCATTTAGCTCCAACTTATAAGTGAAAACATGCAGTGTTTGGTTTTCTGTCCCTGCTATAGTTTGCTAAGGATGATAGCCTCCAGCTCCATTCATGCTCCTGCAAAAGGCATGGTCTTGTTCTTTTTTATGGCTGCATACTATTCCATGGTGTGTATGGACCACATTTTCTTTATCCAGTCTGTCACTGATGGGTATTTAGATTGATTGCATGTCTTTGCTATTGTGAACAGTGCTACAAGAGCCACCTTTTCAGGGTGATCCCTGGGGCCATCCCTGGATGGCCGAAGTACTACATCCACCTCCTGCCCTGGGCAAAGCCGTGAAGTCAGCAAGGCTGGCCCTAGTTCCCCTCACCCTCATCAGCCATCCTTAGTTCCTTTCTGGCCCCCTCCACCCTCCATAGAGAAAGATTCTCCCTCCCTGCCGAAACCCACAACTCTTCTATGCAGGGAGTGGGAGGCTAGGGTGGGATGGAAGGGCTGGCTGCTTTCCAGGAGTCAGAGCCCCTCCCTCTTCTGAGCCTCTGCCTCTGCTGGACAGACTTGGGGATTCTTGAGTCCGCATGGGAAGGAGCAGAGACAAGGCTGGGAAGCTATTGTTGTCACCCAGGCCTATGTGATATGAAGGGCTCAGTGGACTGGTCCCCTGGGGATTCCAGAGGCAGCCTCACAAAGCCGGGGTATAGACCTGTGCCCCATCACCAGCCACTTTTGCCCGTTCGAAATATCATTTCCATCCTGGGGGTGGGTGTACCCCCCTCAAACCTGAGTAACGCTAACCCGGAACCTACACCAGTGGGTCAATGATCTTGGGTTTCCCAGCCTGGGAGAGTTTGCCAGCATCAGTGGTCCTTCAGAGAGACAGGGCAATGCTTCACCCAGAGAAGTGACTCTCTGGGGTTGCATTTGGGCTGGCATGGGCTTTGGTAAAGTTTGACTGTCTGGTATCCATCTCCCCAATTTACTTTAGGAGAATTCCCCCACCTCCATTGGGCACAGCCTTGAAGGGAGGGGAGAGCCAGGGTCTGGCTTCAGCTATAAAAGCTGCAGGGCCAGAATCGTGTTCTCCAGGGAGCCTCAGTCGATCGGATGTTCCCTTTGGGAACTCTGAGATGTGGGGTATAATGTGTCTCAAAGGGCACCCATCGCAGGCGCACACCCCAACCCCACAGCATTTGTTGATTCCTGAGAATGACCCCACAGCCCCCACCTTTTACCCTTCTAGCAAATGACCCTTAGCTTAATTCTTCTTCTTTTTTTTTTTTTTTTTTTTTGAGATGGAGTCTCCCTCTCTCGCCCAGGCTGGAGTGCAGTGATGTGATCTTGGCTCACTGCAACAACCGCCTCCCATGTTCAAGCGATTCTCCTGCCTCAGCTTAATTTTATTGCTTGCAACCAGAGTCTGGACAGACATCCCTTTGGTGGGGAAGGTGTTGGTGGCATGAGGGGGCTTTCTCCATGGCATCACAGGGCCAGCCACTGTGACCAAGCAAAACTGTCCTCACCTGACCTCCAGGGCCTGAGACTCTGAGGGCGGAACTGGATGGGGAACTGGATATCTCGACTCATCCTGGGGCAACATTCCTTCTTGTCTGGGCCTATGAGACACGCCCTTGAGTGAGCAGGTAGGCGTTTCCTGCCCTTGGGGCCTGCCACTCTCAGGCCTGGGAAAACTTACTTTCCTGGCAAGGATTCAAAGTTTGTAACAGTCCAAAGTGGCTCTTCAGAGTCTGGTGGGTCACATGGGCTGAATCCCTGGTACAGAAGAAAAGGCCAAGGCAAGGCCAGGCATGATGGCTCACACCTGTAATCCCAGCACTTTGGAAGGCCGAGGCAGGCAGATCACTTGAGGTCAGGAGTTTGAGACCAGCCTGGCCAACATGGTGAAATCCTGTCTCTACTAAAAATATAAAAATTATCCAGGCATAGTGGGACGTGGCTGTAATCCCAGCTACTAGGGAGGCTGAGGCAGGAGAATTGCTTGAAGCCATGAGACAGAGGTTGCAGTGAGCCAAGATCATGCCACTGCACTCCAGTCTCAGTGACCTGGGTGATTCAGTGAGACTCTGATTCAAAAAAAAAAAAGAAAGAAAGAAAAAGAAAAAGCCAAGCCAAAATCCCCAAGGCAAGCTCCCCTAGAGGGAAACAGGCCAAAGAGGGCATGTGTGCAGGATCCTTGGCACCCCTGACTCCCCTCCAGCACACCCACCCCGGTATGGACCGTTGCTTCTCATGGAGGAGGGGATGATAAGAAAAGGCCTAGAGATGGGAAAGAGTCTTGTTTGATCACCTCCCAGGTGATAGGGAGCCACAAAGGGTTAAGGGACAAGGAAACAACGTGATTGGAGGTATTAATTTATTAATTCCTGGCTACTTCCACTGTGCTGGGCCTGTGACAAGGACTTATTAATAATAGTGAATAAGATAATCCTTGCCCTCCTGGGGTCCTCAGTCTATGGCATGAAGACAGGGGAGTCAAGGACACAAATATATTCAACATAGAGTGAAAGAAGACAGTGTGGCATCAAACCAGCTCCCGTCACTTTCCCACCACCCGATAAACTCCTACCATCCCCCCTCCTATGAGTCCAAATCACCACCTGCTTCTCCTGGATGACTGCCCCAGGTTCCAACCTGCTCTCCCTAATCTGTCCTTACTACCTGAACCCTACGCTCAGCCCAGAAGCTAAGGGGTTCTTCCTCTCCCACTATGGGAAATTATGCTCCTTGAGGGCAAAGACCTACATAAATTATTTGGAATTCCTTTATACAGGAGATTTTTTTCTTCTCCTTTACTTATAGGAGCTTCACTGGTCCCTGTCTCACTCCATGTAAGTCAGAGTCCTTACAATGGCCCTCAGGGCTGAAATAGAACCTATGGATCCACATCCTCTCTTGGTACATTGGAATTTTAAATTTCTGCAGATCGAATGGGTCCAAAATGGTTTCTCATTGTGACTTTAATTTGCATTTTTCTGATCACTAATGATGTCTATTAGTGATCTTCATATATTTATTACCATTTGTATATTTCCTTTTCTGAGAAATGCCTGTCTATATCTTGCCTCATTCAAAAAAATTTACTAGGCCGGTTGTGACGGCCCTAGTAATCCCAGCATTTTCAGAGGCCAAGATGGGCAGATCGCTTGCACTCAGGAGTTTGAGACCAGCCTGGGCAACATGGCAAAACCCTGTCTCTACAAAAAATACAACAACAACAAATTAGCCAGGCGTGGTGGCATGCACATGTGGTCTCAGCTATTCGGGAGGCTGAGGTAGGAGGATTGTTTTAGCCCAGGAGTTTGAGGCTGTAGTGAGTCGTGAGGGTGCCACTGCACCCCAGCCTAGGTGACAGAGCAAGACCTTGTCTCAAAAACAAACAAACAAACAAACAATTTTAAAAAAAATTTACTAAAGTCCAGTGCCATTCAGATTTTCTCGATTTCTTGCCTAATGCCTATTTTCTGTTCCAGGGTCCCATCCAAGATACCACGTAGTTTGCGGATCTTCATAGGCTTTTCTGGGCTGTGATCATTTTGTCAGATTCTCCTTGCTTTGGTAACCTTGAAAGTTTTGAGGAGTCCTGAGCGGATGCATTGTGGGATATCCCTCTGCTGGAATCTCTCTGATGTTTTCCTCATTCTTAAATTGGAATTATGGGTTTCTGGGAAGAAAGCAACAGGGTCTTCCTCATCATGCAGTATCAATGGTATAATACTATCAATATGACTTATCACTATTGATGATGACCGTGATTACCTGGCTGAGCTAGTGGTTGTCTGGTGTCTCCACTGTGAAGTTACTCTTTTTCTTTTCCTCCTCTTTCCATTTACATGCTGTATTCTTTGGAAAGAAGTCACTATGGGCTGGGCACAGTAGCTCATGTCGGTAATCCCAGCACTTTGGGAGGCTGAGGCAGGTAGGACTGCTTGGGCTCAGGAGTTCGAGTCCAGCCTGGACAACATAGCAAGACCTCATCTCTAGTAAAAATTTTAAAAAATTAGCCAGCTGTGATGGCACACACCCACAGTCCCAGCTACTCAGGAGGCTGAGGTGGGAGGACTGCTTGAGCCTGGGAGATTAATGCAGTAAGCCCTGATCACACCACTGCACTCCAGCCTGGGTGACAGAGTGAGACCCTGTCTCAAAAAAAAAAAAAGTCACTATGTGCAGCCCACACTTAAGGAATGGGAAGTTATGCTCCTTGAGGGCAAGGACCTATGTAAATTATTTGGAATTCCTTTATACAGGAGATATTTTTTCTTCTCCTTTATTTATGTATTCAATTATTTAGTTATATCAGAATGGATTCATGGATATGTATTTTATACTTTGGGTTATAATCCAATACCAGTTTATTGCATTGCTCTAATTGTTCCAGCTTTGGCAACTGGGGGCTCTTTCAGGTGGCTCTTGTGTCCCTTTGACATATCCCTATCCTTACGGACTATCTTTTTTTTTTCAGTACTTCATTACTTTCTGTTTGCACCCATTTTTCTATGAGTTACTTGTATGACTCTTATTGCATTATAGATGCTCTTTATATATGTTTGAATTGCATCTCCTGCCTGACTGAGTCTTTTCATGGGCAAAACATCTTACTTTTATTTGTTTTTATTTTTACTTTTATTTTTTGAGACAAGCTATCACTCTGTCACCCAGGCTGGAGTGCAGTGACGCCATCAGGGCTCACTGTCATGGCAGCTGCCACCACTCCAGATGGCTGCCGTTGCCATCATGCAGGCTGCACACTCCACAGATCAGTCAGGAGCCCCACCCTCCTAGATGGGGCTGCAGCCACCCAAACTCTGGCTGCAGATCTGAGCCACCTTGTGTTCTTGGGGGGCCAGAAGCAGGCAGGAGTTCTGCCCCCCTGGGTGGGGCTGCAACCACCCAAGTTGTGGCTGCAGACTCAGGCATCCCTTCACTCCTGGGGGAGCGAGAAGGCCCCCCCATGCCCACACAGGCTCAGAAGTGTCTGCTCCCACTGCCTGGCTTCTCCCTGCTGTCAGTGCACACTGGGATGTGGGAGCAAAGTCTGGGCTGAGCCTGGGGGCCATGAACTACTGCAGAAGGCAGACAGATTCCTGGGAGGAAGTGGGTGGTCCTGGTGAGACCCCACCTTTAAGCCAAGGAGGGCCTGAAGGCTGGGGGCCAAGCTGCCTGTCCCACTGACCAGAGTGGGAACTTACAGTGTCTTTTCTGGGCCCGCCCATGGCTACCCATGGGCCAATCGGTGTGCCCTTCCTCCCTTCAAGGCCCATAAAAGCCCCAGACCGAGCTGAGCAGACTACAGGACAACCACCTGCAGAAAGGAGCTACCCTCTCTGCTGAGAGTTTCAGAGACCTGCAGAGACCTCAGGACTACCAGCAACCCACTCCAGGGCCTCCTCTCTCCTAGGAGCTGGGCAGACAACAGGACAACCAGTAGCAGAGAGGAGCTACCCTCTCCAAGGCCTCCTCCCTGCTGAGAGCTGAACAGTAAGGACAACCTGCCTGCAGAGAGGAGCTACTCACTGTGGGTCTCATCTGAGCTGTTCTAACACTCAATAAAGCTCCTCTTCGTCGTGTTCACCCTTCGCTTGTCTGCATAGCTCATTCTTCCTGGATGCAGGACAAGAACTCTTGCAAAGGTGCCACCAGCCACAGAGGTGTCCGGCCAGAAAATTGACACCCCAAAGATCCTGTAATGACTGCAGCCTTGACCTCCTGGGCTTAAGCCATCCTCTCACCTCAGCCTCCTGAATAGCTGAGACCACAGGCATGTGCCATCACACCTGGCTAATTTTTTAATTTTCATAGAGACAGAGTCTCCCTATGTTGCCCAGGCTGGTCTTGAAATCCTGAGCTCAAGGGATCCTCCTGCTTCAGCATCCCAAGTTGCTGGGCTTAGAGGTGTGAGGCCACCACACCTGGCCAAGGTCTTACTTTTAAAGTGGTCAAATGTATCACATTTTATTATATAATCAATTCTTTTCTGACTTGTTTAAGGAATGTTTTGCTATTTCAGGGTCAAAAAGATATTTGAATATCTAAAACTATCTAAAATATTTTTTCTAAAGTTTTGTGTTTGATATCTAAGTCCTTCACTCATCTGGAATGTATTTTTGCATATGGAGTTGAGACGGATCCAAATCCATGTTTCCTGGTGAGCCGTCAGGTCCATTTATTGAGTGTTCTCCTTTCCACCACTGAGCTAACTTGCTACTATCAGGTAAGACCTGCGGAAGAACTGAAGGAAGCCTGGAAAGCAGTTGAAGTAATTTCTAATTATCCAGTTAATATGCAGTGCTACCCTGAGTAGGAACTAAAGGCTTCCTGTTAGGCCCATTTCATATATAAATATGGTTGCAAAATGCTTAATATGATCTTTTGTTTTTTTGAGACAGAGTCTCACTCTGTTGCCCAGGCTGGAGTACAGTGGTGCGATCTCAACTTACTGCAACCTCTGCCTCCTGGTTTCAAGCAATTCTTGCACCTCAGCCTCTCGAGTGGCTGGGATTACAGGTGTGTGCCACCACACCCAGCTACTTTTTCTATTTTTAGTAGGGACGGGGTTTTGCCACGTTGGCCAAGCTACTCCGAACTCCTGAGCTCAAGCAATCCGCCCTCCTTGGCCCCCCAAAGTGCTGGGATTACAGGCATGAGCCACTGCACCCAGCCTAATACGATCTTTTAAAAATCTAGTTCAACAATGCATAACAAAATACATTATGACCAAGTTGTCCTGGTATGTAAGGAAAGTTGAATATGATAAAGTAAATAAATATTAGTTACCACAGGGGAGTAAAAGAGAAAAAAAACATAAGATTGTGTCAATAGGTACAGGAGAAAAAAGCCATTTGATAAAATTTGACAACCATTGATGATAAGGATTCTTTGTAAATTACAAGGTAATTTTCTTAACCTGCTCAATCAGCCAAGGTCCAATCAGGAGACAGTATTTTGAACAGAGAAAGTTAAAGTTTACTGTAAAGACTTATTAACAGGGGATTGGAGTAACAGAATTGATGGTAAGAGTAAAGAAAACTCCAAAGAATGCAGGAATGGCAGATACAGGGAGCAGCTGCTACCCTGGGCCTGTGCTAGAGACGGATGCTAGAGAACCCAGGGAGGAAGCAGAGCCACCCCAGGGCTGGGATGCAGACCTTGATGGGGAGGGCTCAGCCCTGGCTTAGTGTTTGGTGGAGACGTCACTAAAGTGCCTTGCTGATGGGACTTGCTGGGAATCTGCCATCTGGGGTGCTGGGGAAAGCTGTTGTCCACAGAATGTCATCGCACCTTGAAACTTGCTACAAAGTCAGTCACCTGAGAGGATGCCAGGGAGCTGCTGGGCCACTGGCTGCTGCTGGACACCATGCTATAGAACCTAGGAGCTAGAGAAACATCTGTCTTAGTCAGCTCTAGCTGCCATAACAAAATACCATAGACTAGGTGGCTTAAGCAACAGAAATTTATTTTCTCACAGTTCAGGAGGCCAGAAGTCCGAGATCAGGGTGCCAGCATGGTTGGGTTCTGAGGAAGGCCATCCTCCTGGCTTGTAGGCAGCTTCCATCTTGTTGTGTCCTCGCATAGCCTTTCCTCAGTTTAACATGCAGAGAGAAAGAGAGCTCTCTGATGGCTCTTCTCATAAGGGCACTAATCTCATCATGGGGGTCCCACTCTTGTGACCTCATGTAACCCTGATTACCTTCTTAAGCTCCCATCTCCATATATCATCACCTTGGGGCTTAGGGCTTCCGTATAGGAATTTAGGGGTGAGGACATGAGCATTCAGTCTATGAAATCACTCTCTGTGAGAGCCAAGTGCTGGAGAAACCGTGCCCCGTAGGAGCTGGGTGCTGGAGAAACTGCATTCTACAGACTGTGCTGGAGAAAGTGCCCTACAGGAACCCATCAAAAAAGACACCCGGCAACCGGGAGGAGAAAATGCCTTCCTCCTCCACTGTCCCTCCAGTGCCTTCTGACATGCTTCACCATGCTCCGGATGGCCCAGGAGAAATATTTATGAAGCCCTCCTCCATGGTCACAGAGCAGAAAGAGAAGGGTAGATCTGGAGCGAAGAGACAATGAACTGGTCACTGGCTTACCTGGTAAGGCATATTCATTTAAAAAACAAAACAGGCTGGGTGCAGTGGCTCACACATCTGTAATTGGGGAAGCTCAGTGGGGAGGTTGTTTGAGCCCAGGAGTTTGAGACCAGGCTGGGCAACACAGCAAGACCCCCATCCCTACCAAAAAAAAAAAAAAAAAAAAAAAATCCAGGCATGGTGGCAGGCTTCTGGAGTCCTAGCTACTCAAGAGGCTGAGGTGGGAGGATCACTTGAGCCCACTGAGGCTACAGTGAGCCATGATCATTGCCACTGTACTCCAGCCTGGTGACAGAGGGAGTACAAAATACAAAGCAAAACAAAATACAAAAACAAAAAAATCCCAAAAAAACCCAAATATGCCAGAAAACCTAGAGTGATTCTCTTCAAAGTCAGGGATGAGACAAAGATACCCACTGTCACTTCCTCTCCACATTCTGTTGGAGGTCCCAGCCAGAGGAATAAAAAAAGAAAAAGGAATTAGAAGCATAAAGATTGGAAAGGGAGGAATAAAATGTCATTATTTGCAGGTAATGCATTCATTTACATAGAAAAACAAAAGAATATACATTTAACTTGTTAGGAATAATAGGAGTGTTTAGTAAAGTGACTGTGTACCTCCAAGAGTTGTTTGTATTTCTATATACCAGGAGCAAACCACTAAGAAGTGCAATGAAAGAGTAAATCCCATGTACAGCATTATCAGAAAATACCAAGTGCCCAGGAATAAATCTAACAAATAATGTTCAAAATTGTTACAGGGAAAATTATAGAACTTTATTAAGAGATATTAAGACTTTCTAAACAAATGGAAAGATAAACAGCGGTTCTGAAGCCAGCCAGTACTGGCTCATGGGAGTCAATTGTTAAATTTTCAGAAAGTTTGCAAACCACTTTCAAACCCAGCCTTTGCTAAAAATTATATAAACTTACAATTACATAAGTTATATTAAAAATAAAGGGAATAGGCCAGGTGCGGTGGCTCACACCTGTAATCTCAGCACTTTGGGAGGCTGAGGCAGGCAGATCATGAGGTCAGGAATTCAAGACCAGCCTGGCCAACATGGTGAGACACCCCCGTCTCTACTAAAAATACAAAAAAATTAGCCAGGTGTGGTGGTGCTTGCCTGTAATCCCAGCTACTCGGGAGGCTGAGGCAGGAGAATTGTTTGAACCCTGGAATGTGGTGGTTGCATTGAGCCAAGATCATGCCACTGCACTCCAGCCTGGGCGACAGAGAAAGATTCCATCTTAGAAAAAATCAAAATAAAGAAAATAAAATAAAGGGAATAAATATTCAAAACTCATCAGTTCTTAATTGCTATACTGTATTTTATTATTATGCAGGCCAGAAGTCTGCATAACATTTCTGTAAAGGGCCAGAGGGTAATTATTTTAGGCCTTGTGGGCCACATACAATCTGTGTTGCATATTCTCTTTCTTCTTTACCTCCTCTTTCTCTTCCTCCCCCTCCTCCTCCTCCTCCTCCTTCTCTTAAAAAAAAAAACCTTTGAAAATGTGAAACCATTCTTAGGTCACTCAAATCTTGCAATTTTTTAGGACAAGCCAGAAATCCAGATTTTTATGTAAAATATCCAAGTTTTAAAAAGATTGTGTGGAACCCTGAAAATATTATGCCAACTAAAATTAGCCAGACATAAAAGGACCAATATTTTATGATTCCACTTACATGAGGTGCCTAGAAGAGGCAAATTCATGGAGATAGAAAACAGAATAGAGGTTACAAGGGGCTAGTGGGAAAGGGAATGGGGAGTTATTGTTTAATGGTACAGAGTTTCTGCTTGAGATGATGCAAATGTTCTGGAAATGGATGGTGGTGATGGTTACGCAACATTGTAAATGTACTTAATGCCACTGAGTTATATATCTAAAAATGGTTACAATGGTAAATTCTATGCTATGCATATTTTACTGCAATAAAAAGTTGCATTAAAAGAAAAGTGTCAGTTCTAAGAGCTTAAACTAAAAAAAAAAAAAAAAGAAGATAAGATAAAAGAGGCACACCTCAAACTCAACACTTTGGGAGGCCAAGGTGGGAGGATTGCTTGAGCTCAGGAGTTGGAGACCAGCCTGTGCAACAGAGACCCCATCTCTACTAAAAAAAAAAAAAAAAAAAAAAAAAATTAGCTGGGCATTGTTCCTGCACCTGGAGTCCCAGCTACTTGGAGGCCAAGGCTCAGGACTGCTTGAGTCTGCGAGGTCAAGGCTGTAGGGGCCTGTGATTGTGCCATTGCACTCCAGCCTGGGCTAAAGAGTGAGACCCTGTCTCAGTAAGTAAGTAAATAAAATAAAGTAAAATAAAAGAAAAAGAAAAGAAAGGAGAAGAAAGAAAAAGGTTGTGTGGACCAAAGAAAAGTCAGAGGGCCAGGTCTGGTCAATTTGCAGCTTCTGGTTGGAACATCCCTGTCTGAAATACTAATTCTCACCTATTTCCTTTCCACCCAACAAAATTCTGCTGATCCTTCAAGAACTGGCCCAAATGTCACCGCTTTTTATTCCCCACTGCTGGAGGTCTGGCAATAGTGGGCCCACTTTTTTTTTTCTTTTTTGAGATAGAGTCTCACTCTGTCACCCAGGCTGGAGTGCAGTGGCACGATCTTGGCTCACTGCAGCCTCCGCCACCTGGGTTCAAGTGATTATCCTGCCTCAGTCTCCTGAGTAGCTGGGATTACAGGAGCCCACCACCACACTCAGCTCATTTTTGTATTTTTAGTAGAGACAAGGTTTCATCACGTTGGCCAGGCCGGTCTCAAACTCCTGACCTCAGGTGATCCACTTACCTGGGCCTCCCAAAGTGCTAGGATTACAGGTGTGAGCTACTGCGCCTGGCCTGTGGGCCCACTTTTATACATGGCAACAAGCTGAGCTAAGTGGTGGTTGTTCTTTTAGAGCCGCGTTCTCCAACTTGCCCCATTCCTCACCACTCCCCATCCCATCTCCTACCTGCCTGCTTCATCTCTTTATATTACCTCCCTGGCCCTGTAGGCATCTGAAATTTCAATTCCTGCAGACTGTCATTCGTTGAGGACAGCGATAATATCTTATTTTCCCAGACATTACGGGTGATTCCCCCTGCTACATCCTAGATCAGTGCTGGGCTACAGAGAGAAGAGACACGGGAGCTCAAGTTTCACATCATGAGAGGTAGGACTTTGTTGGTTTAACCCAAGTTGTCTCAGCGTTGTCACCATCGACATATAGGTTCAGATCATCCTTTGCTGTAGGCCGTCCTGTGCATTGTAGGATGTCTAGCATTATCCTTGGCCTCAACCTACTAGATGCCAGTAGTATTATATACCCCTAATTGTGACAACTAAAATTTTCCTAAATTATGCCAAATGCTCCTGGGAAGCAAAATAATACCAGTGCCAGTTGAGAACTAGTTTAATGCATTGATTAGTTTATCAAGTAAGTACCTTCTTAAAATTAAGATCCTAGATAAAGGTAGGAGGATTCTAGGCAGGTTGAAAGCTGGGTATGTTAAAAAAAAAATCAGTAACACAATTCAGCTATGGTTACCAAGAATTTAAGTGCTCCCCCGCCCACTGTCACAGATTCCCCGCCCTTCTGTTCACTTCCGCAAAGCCTGAGTACTTTTTCAAAAGGCACTGACTTTGCTTACTGGACGTTTGCTGTCCCCTGGTGGTCATTTCTCTTTATTGCAAGCTGATGGAGCTCCCAATTCAGTGTCCGTAGTCACCCCAACCAGCACATGCAAAGGTTAAGACGATGATGAAACCCTGTCTCTACTAAAAATACAAAAATTAGCTGGGCCTGGTGGCATATGCCTGTAATTTCAGCTACTTGGGAGGCCGAGGCACGAGAATCGCTTGAACCTGAGAGGTCGAGGCTGCAGTGAGCCGAGATTGTGCCACTGCATTCCAGCCTGGGTGACAATGTGAGACCCTGTCAAAAAAAAAAAAAAAGGTTAAGACAGTCAGACTTGCTTTCCTTAGATTCTAGAAAGAAGCCCTGGGGCTCACAGCTCAGATCACGTGAGAGGTGCACACACAGGCCCTTGAGAAAATAGTCTGGAGTTAGCAAGAGCTGGAATAAGCAGTGACCTGCCCATTTTCCTCGGGCCTACCGTAGTTTGAATGTTTAGGACACCCACTCTGCCCCTACCCTTCCTGCTGCTAAAGGTTCTACTTGAAATGCATGTATAACTTATGATCCAGTGCATCTGAACTCTTTCTGTGAGTATATTTTTGAGAATTTTGTATACTTGGAGATAATTAGACACACTCAGGGTGCCATAAGACAGGAACATCTTATGCATCAAAGCAGTGTTTTCCAAATTTGTCTGATCATTAGAAATAGACAAATTAATGTGCGGAACCTTCCAGCACATTGTTAGGAGCAAGGCCATCTGGGAATCCTGTGTCGTGGGGTGTCAGAGCTGTTGCTATAGCGACTCAGTGAGCTGGGTGACCTTGAGGGTGAGGAGTCTTCCTGACTCTCAGTTTCCAGGCTTGGGCCACCTCCCTGTCCATCCAGCCCAGATAAAATGGTTATGTGAGGTTTAGACTTGGGCAGAAGTCAACTTCTTCGGCTGTTTTTAGATTAAACAATACAGATGCTCCTTGACTTCAGGGGGCAGGCGGGTGCTACATCCTGATAAGCCCATCATAAGTTGAAAATACTGTAAGTTGAAAATGCATTTAATACTCCTAACCTACTGAACATCATAGCTTAGCCTAGCCCACTTTAAACACATTCAGAGCACTTCCGTTACCCTACAATTGGGCAAAATCATTTAACACAAAGCATATTTTATAAGAAGGTGTCGCACATCTCATGTGGTTTATTGAATACTGCACCGAAAGTGAAAAGGTGAATGGCTGTATGGGTGTTCGAAGTACAGTTTCTACTGAATGTGTTTGCACCATTGTAAAGTCAAGAAATCCTAAGGGAAACCATCATTAATTGGGTGTTTAATAGCAATAACAATGAAGTTTCAAGAGGCTGGGAGATACTTCAGGCGATTGCAGCCAGAACCGTCATGTATTTTCAGCACAGCCACGGGATTCATCCTGGCAGAACAGGTCACTCCTCTGTTCCAAACCCTTCCATGGCTCACCATTTCTCTTGGAGTAGAAGCTGAAGTCCTTATGTTGGCCCAAAAGGCCCTTCATGACTCTCTCCCACCACCCACATTTGCCTCTTCCTTTTCCCCAAGATCACCAAGAATTCCTGCCTCAAGGCCTTTGCACCTGCTGCCTGGTGGCCTGGGATGCTCTGCCAGCTGGCTCCCTCCCTCCCTCACTTCTCTCAAGTCTTCACTCAGCTCCCTCCCCCTCAGAAACCCATCCCACTCCTCTTCCAGCTTTACTTTTTTCCCTGAGCCTCTGTCATTATCTAACCTCCCATATTTTTATTTGATGTGTTGTCTGTCTCCCCTGACAGACTCCGCACTCCATAAGGGGAGGGATATTGTAAATGGAAAAATTCTTTCTTAATGCAGACATTAAATGGCAAGGTGTGGTCGGGCGCAGTGGCTCACACCCGTAATCCCAGCACTTTGGGAGCCCAGGCAGGTGGATAATCTGAGGCCAGGAGTTTGAGACTAGCTGGCCAACATGGTGAAACCCCATCTGTACTAAAAATACAAAAATTAATCAGGCCTGGCGGTGCAGGCCTGCAGTCCCAGCTACTTGGGAGGCTGAGGCAGGAGAATTGCTTGAGCCTGGGAGGCAGAGGGTGCAGTGAGCCAAGATGGCACCACTGCACTCCAGCCTAGGCAACAGAGCGAGACTCTATCTCAAAATAAATAAATAAATATATAAAAATATATAAATAAATAAATACCTAAGTGGCAGGGTGTATACTTAAGAAATAAGTCACACTCTGGACACGGTGGCTCACACCCGTAATCCCAGCACTTTGGGAAGCTGAGATGGGAAGATTGCTTGAGCCCAGGAGTTTGAAACCAGCCTGGGGGATGTAGCAAGACCTCGTCTCTACAAAATAAAAATATAAAAAATTAGCCAGGCGTGGTGGCATGTGCTTGTGGTCTCACCTACTAAGGAGACCAAGGCAGGAGGATTGCTTAAGCCTAGGAGGTCGAGGCTGCATTGAACCGTGATTATGCCACTGTACTCCAGCCTGAGCAACAGGGCAAGACCCTTTCTCCAAAAAACAAAAAACAAAAACAAAACAAAAAAGTCAGACAAGGCAAACTTGCAAATTAAAGATCTCCCTCTTTGGAAATAGGAGCAGTATTTGAAGGAAAGCAATTATAAGTTGACATATATTATGTCGTTATAGGAAAAGATGCTTTATAATGATGCATTAAAATATTCTATCTTTTTGACTTAGCACATGAAGCAATATAATGATCTCACATCTTGGTTTTATAGGCCCAGAGGAGATCTGACTGTATTTTCCCTTCTTATTACCTTAAAGATTTATTCAGTCAAGGAAGGAATAAGAACAGCAAAGGCAATTGTGAAGTAATCGCCCTGAACTTCAGAATAACCACACTGGCAGATGAGTGCCAAGAAATGAATTGTGATTGCTGCTGTGGCTCTAATAAAAACAAGAATTTCACTCTCAATGGTTCTGGGGTATGAGGTTCTGGATTCAGTGTCGGACATGGCATCTGAAGGCCTAGGGTCAAGTCCTGTCTCTGCCATTTACTGAGCATGTCACTGTGGGCCGCTCACTTATTTGCTGTATCTCAGTGCCCAGAACAATATCTGGCACACAATAGGTGCTTAGTGAGAAAGAACAGGTGAGCAAGAAGCTGGGGTGGCAATGTACCCTTGGGAGTACTGGGGTGGGAGAAATGGTAAGAAGACCCCTGGGATGCACAAGGAGCCCCAAGTGGGGAGGGAAAGGCACATGTGAAGGACTCCTCTTCTCTGTTGAAGGTCTCTGAATAATGTAAATTTCACCAACTATAATTGATGCCCAGGGGCCAGGCTCAGGGTGGAGAGTGGGGTCAGGGGATGCTGCCAGGAGGTCAGAGGCCAGCAGGGAGGGCCTGCCCTGGGTATGGAAACCTACACATCCATCCAGTGTGGGCCTGTGGGGTTTGTGTCTGCTATGGGGGGTCTTATCCAAGGCTCAGAGAGCACTGAGGAAAGAGCAGCCTCTTTTTGGAGGGAGGGGCTGGGGATCAGGAAACCTTGCATGGGGAGGCCTTGAGTAGGCAGAATGAACTGGATGCACCCCGGAGGTGAAAGTGGGGGCGTATCTTGGCACAATAATGATACTTTAGTTTCTTTTTTCTTTCTTCTCCCTTCCTCCCTCCCCCAACCTTGATTGCTGAAGTCATATATGCTTGCAGTAGAAAATTCATAAATTATAGAAAAGAACTAAGAAACTCTCATCACCCAGAGAGGATCCTTGTGAACACTTTAGTGTATATACATGTAGTCTTGGGCATTATTAATTTTTAATTATGCATGATAGACAAATATATTCTTCTTGTAAAAAATTAAAATATAACAGATAAGTCTTAAGTCTCAGTAGTCAGCCAGCCCCACTCCTGGTCCTTTCCCTTCAACCCTTGTCACCTCTCAGATCAGATGGCCACTTCATCAGGGTAATAAATAGCACTCTGGACTATTCTTTACATACATAGAAATATAGACACTTTTCTTTTCTTTCTTTTTTCTTTTCTTTTCTTTTCTTTTTTTTTTTTTTTTTTGCGACAGAGTCTCGCTCTGTCACCCAGGCTGGAGTACAGTGGCACAATCTCGGCTCACTGCAACCTCCACCTCCCAGATTCAGGCGATTCTCCTGTGATTCTTCTGCCTCAGCCTCCTGAGTAGCTGGGACTATAGGCACACACCACCACACTCGGCTAATTTTTGTATTTTTAATAGAGACGGGGTTTCACCATGTTGGCCAGGCTGGTCTCGAACTCCTGACCTCAAGCAGTCCACCTGCCTCAGCCTCCCAAAGTGCTGGGATTACAGGTGTGAGCCACCACACCCGGCCCTTGTTTTTCTTTATTTTCTTTCTTTCTTTCTTTCTTTTTTATAGACAAGGTCTTGCTGTGTCCCCCAGGCTGGAGTGCAATGGCACTATCATAGCTCGCTGCAGCCTGCAACTCCTGGCCTCAAGTGATCCTCCCACCTCAGCTACCCAAGCAGCTGGGACTACAGGCAATGGCCACCACATCTGGCTATTTTTTTTTATTTTATTTTTTGTAGGGACAGGGTTCTCACTGTGTTGCCCAGGCTGGTCTCAAACTCCTGGCCTCAAGTGATCCTCCCATCTTGGCCTCCCAAAGTGCTGGGATTACAGGCATGAGCCAGCCTCTTAAGTAGCTGCGACTACAGGCATGCACCACTGAGCCCAGCTTAATATGGTACAGTTTTAAAAGCCATTTTCCTATTAACGGACATTTAGGCTGTACCTATGTCCTTTCCCGTGTGGATTTCTCTATAGTGGAATTGCTGGGTCAATGGGAAAGTACATTTCCATTTCTTTTCTTTTCTTTTTTTTTAAGCTTTGGGGTCTTGTTCTGTTACCCAGGCTGGGGCACAGTGGTGTAATCATGGCTCACTGAAGCCTTGAACTCCTGGGCTCAAGCCATCCTCCCATTCAGCCTCCCCGGTTGCTGGGATTACAGGTGTGAGCTACAGCACCCAGCTTTCAAATTCTTTCTTCCTTTTTTTTTCTTTTTTTGAGACGGAGTCCCACTCTGTCACCCAGGCTGGAGTGCAGTGGCGTGATCTCGGCTCACTGCAACCTCCACCTCCTGGGTTCAAGCGATTCCCCTGCCTCAGCCTCCTGAGTAGCTGGGATTACAGGCCTTACTACCATGTCTGGCTAATTTTTTTTTTGATTTTTAGTAGAGACAGGGTTTCACCATGTTGGCCAGGTTGGTCTCGAACTCCTGACCTCATGATCCGCCCACCTTGGCCTCCCAAAGTGCTGGGATTACAGGCGTGAGCCACCACATCTGGCCTCTCAATTTCTTAATATTTAAAAAAATCCACATACATATAGACTTACTATGTTATATATTAGCCAGTTTTTCACCTAACTATACAGTGTGAGTTCTTTCTAAATACCACTCAATATACTACAGCAATTTCTCCATCCATTTTTAACATACATTTTATTACGGAAAATTTCGAACATATACAAAGGTAGAGAGAATAGTAAAATGAACCCCCATGTACCCATTTCTTGAGCTTCAATAAATATCAACTTTTTTAATACTTCATACAGCACCATTAATGATGGCATAATATGTATCATAAGCATGTTTTATGATATATTGAGTCTGTTCCTTGTTGTTGGAGGGTTGAGATTGTTTAATTTTTCACTATGACATGTAGGATTTACATGCCTTGCCTTTGGTAATGGAAGCATGGGAGTGTTTTGCCTTGGTCTCCACTTAGCCCACCGCTGCCCCTTTTCTGCCCACAGACACCCCCTCTCCCACTGTAGTGTTGTAAGGAGCTGTCTTATGTCCGAGTTTCTCAGATGCAGAGCTGGAGACAGGGATTCAGGTGCACGTTATCATGGTCAACGACTGCCTGGGGGCTGGCTGGGCTCGGTGGTTCACGCCTGTAATCCCAGCGCTTTGGGAGGCCGAGGCGGGCAGATCACTTGAGGTCAGGAGTTTGAGACCATCCTGGCCAACATGGTAAAACCCCATCTCTACTAAAAATACAAAAACTAGCCGGGCGTGGTGGTGGATGCCTGTAATACCAGCTACTCAGGAGGCTGAGGCAGGAATCACTTGAACCTGGGAGGCAGAGCTTGCAGTGAGCCGAGAGGGCACCACTGAATTCCAGCCTGGGCGACAGAGTGAGACTCTGTCTCAAAACAAACAAACAAACAAATAAAAAACTGACCCCCTGGGGTCAGTGTCACAGGTGGTGAAGGAATTTACCAAGACAATTGTTGGGAAAGAAAGGTAGATTTATTAGAGAAAAGCGGGACATATGTTCCAAGGGAGCAACGAGCAACATAGCAGAGGGAATGCTGTCTGCAAAAAGGCAGGGGCTGCAGGGGACTTTATAAAGTTGTGCTGTCTGGGCTGAAGGCTTGCAGACAGGAAGCTTGGGTGCAGGTGGGCTGTGAGCTGAATGCTTGCAACAGGATGTTTGGGTGCTAGTGAGCTGTTTGCTGTTGACCCTATTTCTCAGAACATTCACTCCCCTCTACCCCTGTGTCTGTTCTTGCCAGCTAAGCTCATTTCCAATTTTCTTTTAGCTCCTTAGGGCTCCACATGCGTGACTTATTAGAGGAGCAAAAGAAGCCGAATATGGAAGGGGAAAGCCTTGGCCTGATCCAGGGTGCTCTAGAACAAATTCCTCCCACTGAACTGTCCTGCTGTGGGGCAAGCAGGTGAGCACTTGTTCTGTTGTCAGTCACCATTTGCCCCCGGGGTGGGGTGTAACCTGCCAGGCATCCTCAAGGGATGCACTGGCAACAGCAGGGGGATGGTGACAGCCGGTGTGGGGATCTGGAGCACCCACACGCCCACATCCTGCATGGTGAGACCCTTACTGACACCTATTTACAAGCAAGGCTTAAAAAGAAGCATCTGGGGGGCGCCGGGTGAAGGCAAATCTTCAGGGCTCTCGGATCAAACTGGGAGATTTGGGGTTGGAGAAGCAGGCAGCAGGAAATGAATCTGTCTTCTGTTCATATCTGGCTGCAAAGCTCACAAACGCTCAAGCTCAGGCTGCAGCTGGATGTGGAATGAGATGGAAGATCGGGCCGCATGATAGCCCAAATGGAATTATAAAAAGAAACAACAACAAAATCAGTCAGCAGAAAGGTGGCTGGAGACAAAGGGAAAGGTGGAGGGGAGATAACCCTGAACTTTGGCGCATGTGTAGGCCTTTGGACAAAGCAACGGAAACACCTGGCAGAGGATCATTTGAGTCTGAGATGGAGCTCCTGTTTGTTAGGAGATGGGGGCATGCAGGCAGGAGAGCAGTCTCAGAAAGCCCTGGTTCAAGGTGCAGGGGAGAGTGGGTTCACACAGGGCTAAGCACCCTCATCCTTCAAAGGCCTGGGCCTCTGAAGGTCACTGGCCTGCTGCCCATCCTGGTGCAGATCACCCAGGAGTGAGAGGAGAGCAGATATTGCCATCACCCTGGGCTGCAGCACACCTACAGATATGTTTTATTTTCTGCAACATGGGCTATAAAAATCAAAATCTTAAAAAACCTGGATCTTCTGGAGCCCTGGGCCATTGTTTCTGCATGGCCCCAAGGGCACATTTCAGTAATGGCCACCCCCTTTAAAGCAGTCCTGCCACGGGCCCCACCATTCCCTAATGCATCACACCTGCCGCTTTAATCATTTACAAGACCAGGTTGGCCCTGCAGGCGGTTGTGGCTTCCCACTCACCAAGGTTTTGAGAAGTCCAGCCTCAATCATCTTGTTTTTTAATCTTCAATCATCTTTTGAGTTTCCGTCCTCTACCTCCAGCTACAGGAATGAGTCCAATGTTCAGAAAAGTGAGGGTATCAGGGGGCAGTAGAGGGGGAAGGCCAGCCCAGAGGGTAAGGACCTGAGCCCTGGAACTGTCTGGGTTAAAATCCTGGCTCTGCTGCTAGTTGTGTGAGGTAGGCAAGTTGCTAAAATCCCCCTGGATTTTTAGTTTTCTCATCCCTAAAATGGGAATAATGAAATGAGTAAATACATGTAAAACTTAGCATTGATGAAGTGCTCAGCTAATGTTACCCATGACTGTGATTACTAGCCCGGACACTGTTGTCACCAGGCATCCTGCTGCACAAACAAGGCTGCTTCGGGGCTGTGCTTCCACTGGCCATTGGCTGCAGCTGCTCTCAGCAGGCCACAAAGATGCCCTCCCAGCCACCCTCACCACTGACCACAAGCCTCCATGATGGGACCCTGTCTACTCCCCCAAGATCCCAGTATTAGGCACCAGTGTCCCCAGACATTCTGGTACCAGCAGTATCTGAGAGCCTCCTCCAGGGCACTGTGTGCAGCAGACCCAAGACCTTGTGGTCCTCCAGATTTTAGGGAACCACTCCCTTCAGAGCCACACGCCTCCACACCTTCCTCCCCAGTGTGAGCAACCCCTGTCCATCCTGTCTACTTACATCAAAATTCCCCAGGGGAGAAGGGGTAATAAAAATGCCCCAAAATGTCAATTCCCCCATCTCATTAGTCACAATCTCTGAGCTCAGGGCTAGCAATTTATATACACACACGTACACACACACATAACTTTTTCTTTATTTTAGACGGAGTCTCGCTCTGTCGCCCAGGCTGAAGTGCAGTGGTGGGATCTTGGCTCACTGCAACTCTGCTTCCCGGGTTCAAGCAATTCTCTTGCCTCAGCCTCCCAAGTAGCTGGGACTACAATAGCACGCCACCACACCTGGCTAGTTTTTTGTATTTTTAGTAGAGACAGGATTTTGTCATGTTGGCCAGACTGGTCTCCAACTCCTGTCCTCAAGTGATTCGCCCCCTTGGCCTCCCAAAGTGCTGGGATTACAGGCGTGAGCCACTGCGCCCACATACACAGAATTTTGGGGGTAAAATTACATTTACATTTGATAAAATGCACTAATAAATGTGTGTATATATACATATACATATATATACATATATATATATATATATATATATATATATATATATATATATATATAATTTTTTTTGAGATGGACTCTCGCCCTGTCACCCAGGCTGGAGTGCAGCGGCACAATCTTGGCTCACTACAACCTCGCCCTCCTGGGTTCAAGCAATTCTTCTTCTTCAGCTTCCTGAGTAGCTGGGATTACAGGTGCGTGCCACCACACCTGGCTAGTTTTTGTATTTTTAGTAGAGATGTTGGCCATGGCTAGTCTCGAACTCCTGACCTCAGGTGATCCACCTGCCTCAGCCTCCCAAAGTGCTGAGATTACAGGTGTCAGCCACCACACCCAGCTAAAATGCACAAATCTTAACAGCAGTTTGACTAGTTTTGACAAACGTACCCCACCATGTAACCCATATCTCATTCAAGATCTAGAACATGTCATCACCCTAGAAAGTTCCCTCATCCCCCTGCCAGTCAGTACCTCACCCCTCCCTGACCAGAAAACACTATTGTGATTTTATCCCATATTAGTTTTGCTTGTTCCTGAACTTCATATAAATGGAATCAGAGAGTGTGTACTTTTTTGTTCTGGTTTCTTTTAGTCAACCCAGTGTTTTTGAAATCCATCCATATGGCTGTATGTGTCAAGAGTTTGTTCTTTCATATCTCTAAGTAGTATTACATTGTATACATGTATCACAGTTTGTTTATCCGTTCTTCTTTGATGGACATTTAGGTTGTTTCCAGTTTGGGGATATTATGAATAAAGCTGCTATAAGCATTCTTGTGCAAGTCATTTTGTGGACTTGTTCTTTTATTTCTCTGGGATAGATACCAAGAAGTGGAATTGCTGGGGCCCTATTAGAATCTGCCAAACCATATTCTAAAATGGTTGTAGTATTTTACACCCCCGACTGGCAGAATATGGGAGGTCCAGTTGCTTCACATTCCCACCAGCACTTGCTAGTGTCAGACTTTTAAACTGTGGCCATTCTACTGGTATGAAGTGTTATTCATTGTGGCTTTAACTTAGATTTCCTTGATGACTACTGATGTGGACTATTTTTTCATGTGTTCATTGGTATTTTTATATTGTATTTTATGAAGTGCCTATTCAAATCTTTTGCTCGTTAAAAAAAATCGGTTTTTTAAAATAATTAATTTACAGAAGTTCTTTGTATATTTTGGATACCTGTCCTTTGTCATATATGTGTATTGAGAAGATGTCCTTTCAGTCTATGTCTTGCCTTTTCATTTTCTTCAGCTTATGAGACGAAAATGCTGCCAGCTGCACCAAGAAAACTGCCACTTTTCATTTTCTTTTTTTTTTTTTTTTTGAGAGGGAGTCTCACTCTGTTGCCCAGGCTGGAGTGCAGTGGCACAATCTCGGCTCACTGCAAACTCCACCTCCCAGTTTCAAGCCATTCTTCTGCCTCAGCCTCCTGAGTAGCTGGGATTACAGGCATGTGCCACCACGTCTGGCTAATTTCTGTATTTTTAGTAGAGATGGGGTTTCACCAACTCGGCGAGGCTGGTCATGAACTCCTGACCTCAAGTGACCTGCCTGCCTCGGCCTCCCAAAGTGCTGGGATTACAGGCGTGAGCCACCACACCCGGCCACAGTTTTCATTTTCTTAATGGTATCTTTTGATTATCAGAAGTTTTCATTTTTCCTGAGGACCAGTTTATCGTTTTGTCTCTTTTGTTTAGTGCTAGTTTTCTAAGAATATTTGCCTACTGACAATTTATATTTTTAACGAACTTCTCAAGTAATTCTGTTATGCACTAAAATTTGAGGTCCACTGGTCTCAGATAATGAAGCACTATTGGTTTTTTTTTTTTTTTTTTTTTGGCCCTGGTTGACAACATTTCCCCTAACATACATGCCTTTGAGTGTGCACGCACACACACATGCACACACACACAAACACACACACACACACACCTGCCACATAGAACAAGAAACCCAGAATTTAAGAACCCAAGAAATTGTGGGTTAGAGACAATGGGTTTGCCCCACTATCTATCCCCTCTTCCTCTTAGTAATAGGAACCTCACAAGTGTCTGGGACATAGACATACAGCCAAAACCACATTTCCCAGACTATCTGGCAGCCAAGAGTGGCCACATGACCGTTTTGTCCGATGATTTGTAAGTGGAAGTGGACGTAAAACTTTAGGAATGTATCCTTGAAAGGGACGAGGTGCCGCTCTGGTCCCTGTCCTCTTTCCTAATGGCTGGAACAAGAGCATAATGGCTGGAGCTCCAGCAACCATCTTGGAGACTGAGGCAGGATGCTAAGGATGGGGGAGCAGCAATGTAGGTGGCCAGGTCCTTGATGACTGAAGCCACCACCTAGCCTAGATGGCTTCTCTTCAGACTTCTCTCATGTGACAGAAATAATGTCTTATCTTGTTCAAGCCCCTAAGTGTTGGCATTATTGTCACCATTGCTTTTGTTTCTTTACGTAGCTGAATTGAAGTCTAATTTCTATACCTGGCTTGAAGTCTAATTTCTGTTCCTGTGAGGGGATAGGGAAAATCAACTTCTTGGTTTTTGTTAATGGATGCTTAGCCTGTTTGTGCTGCTATGACTGCATACCACAAACGGTGTAATTTATAAATAATAGAACTTTATTTCTTACAGTTCTGGAGCTGCTGGGCAGACAAAGGTTAACGTGCTAACAGGTTCAGTGTTTGGTGAAGGTCTGGTTTCTGTTCCAAGATGGCACCTTGGACACTGTCTCCTCACATGGCAGAAGGCAGAAGGACAAGACAAAAACAAGCCAAAAAGGCCTAACTAGTTCCCTGCAGCCTCTATAAATGTCATTGTTGTCAACAGGTGTAATGAAACAATGGGCTAAGCCATGCCCAGCCAAACCCACAGCACAGAAATTATTCCTGTTCTGATCAGGTTGTTGTATTTTTTTTATTCATTGCACACGTATAGTAATGGCTTATTCTACACAGGGCTTTGCTTGAAGTGAACATATTTTCATTTTATTTGTGGTGATTAATTTCAGGAAAAACAAAATAGAAAAGTTGATTTTTGCCAGCATAGATTTTCAAAAAACAGCAGAGAATTTGGTTATTTAAAAAATGAAGACCATGACCGGGTGCGGTGGCTCAGGCCTGTAATCCCAGCATTTTGGGAGGCTGAAGCAGGCAAATCATGAGGTCAAGAGTTTGAGACTAGCCTGGCCAACATGGTGAAACCCCGTCTCTATTAAAAATACAAAAAATTAGCTGGACATGGTGGTGCCTGCCTGTAATCCCAGCTACTCAGGAGACTCTCTCGAACCCGGGAGGCAGAGGTCGCAGTGAGCCGAGATCGCGCCACTGCACTCCAGCCCGGGCAACAGTGCAAGACTCTGTCTCAAAAAAAAAAAAAAAAAAAAAAAATTAAGAACATATTGGAATAAAAACTCTTCCTTCACCCTTCACACCTCTGAATTTTTATCTTTTTTTTGAGACAGTGTCTCCCTCTGTTGCCCAGGCTGGAGTCCAGTGGCACGATCTCAGCTCACTGCAGCCCCAACTTCCTCAGGCCAAGGAATCCTCCCGCTTGAGCCTCCCGTGTAGCTGGGACTACAGGCAGATGCCACCAAGCCCAGCTAATTTTAAAACATTTTTTGTAGAGACAAGTCTCACTATGTTGCCCAAGCTCGTCTTGAACTCCTGGCCTTAAGCAATCCTCCTGCCTTGGCCTCCCAAAGTGCCAAGATTACAGGCATGAGCCACCGCACCTGGCCACATACTTCCCAATTTTAACTGAACCATGAAACTAAAAATCAGACTTCTCATAATACAAAATCAAATACATTACAAAAAGTAAATGCTGTGAAGACACTTAGGGATTAAAAAAGCACGTAAACATACTTTTCCATGAAAAGCAATTACAACATTGTCAGCCAGATGGATAAAGAAAGTTTTGTTTTTGCCTGCGCATCCTCTCTTTCCTGACTCTTTGCTTGACTTTTTCACGATTTTTAAAAATTATTACTTATTCTAAAAAAGAATGAGACCTCTAAGACAGCCATCAACCAGGGGGCTACAGCCTCCAGCTTGTGTGTCCCACGGTTTTCAGAACTGTGGTGTTGGTTTACTGAAGTCTGAGTTCTGCCCAGTGGCCAGCATTGGGCACAGTCTCATCCCTCAAGGCTGATAAGATCTAGACAGTTACATTACAGAACAGCTGAACTGGCTGACCCCCAAGAGAGGTCACGTATAGGAGCTGGTCTTCCCTGCTATGCCACACATGCCAGTGTTAGCCCCAGTTTGAGTCAAATTTGAGTTAAGACTCTGCCTTCAAGCAATTGGATAACTTGCGTGATTGGAGCCTCCATTCTGAGAGTCTCCTGGCAGCTCATTCAGGACCTTTTTAAACTAACATTCACCGAACACCCACTAATGGACACAAAGCCTTCAAGGGCTTCCATTCTAGTGAAATTTATGCACAAAACAAAAATTGCGCCTGTAATCCCAGGGAAGTGGAGGCAGAAGAATCACTTGAGGGAGTTTGAGACCAGCCTGGGCAACATAGTAAGACCCCATCTCAACAAAAATTTTTTAAAAATAACTGGGCATGGTGGTATGTGCCCATAGTCCTAACTACTCCAGAGGTGAGGCAGGAGGATTGTTTGAGCCCAGGAGTGCGAGGTTACAGTGAGCTATGATTGCACCACTGCACTCCAGCCTGGGTAACACAGCAAGACCATGTCTCTAAAAAATAAAAATAAAAAATTGCAACTTTTTATGATGTGTGTAGGGTACTTGACAGCTTTGCACTGGTGGGGCAAGGACACCTCTACTCAATTCTAGAATACCGGGGCCACTGGCCTTGCCAAAAATAAAATGGTTAACACTTACTGAGCACCCACCATATGCAAAACTCTGTTCTAAGTCTCTAACATGTATTAAGTAGCTCAGTCCTTGTAACAACCCTTCACGGTGGGTTACCATCATCTCCATAAGAATACCCACAATGTGAAAGAAGTAAATCCCTGGAAAGTAAATGGGGAGAGGTTCTTGGTATAGTTACCAAAGAAGGGTGTTGGAAGGCCCCAAAGCCAGCCGTGTTCACTACTGTTCTCCACACTGGTTTGCTGATATTAATTTTCTTCTGGGTTTGCAGAGAAGGACTAAGTTTTCTGATTTCTTTCTTTCTCTCTTTCTCTTTCTTTTTTTCTTTCTCTCTTTCTCTCTCTCTCTGTCTCTTTCTTTTTGAGACAGAGTCTCTCTCTGCTCTCTGTCACCCAGGCTGGAGTGCTGTGGTGTGATCTCAGCTCACTGCAACCTCTGCCTCCCAGGTTCAAGCGATTCTTGTGCCATAGCCTCCCAAGTAGCTGGGATTACAGGTGCCTACCACCATGCCCAGCTAATTTTTGTATTTTTAATAGAGATGGGGTTTCACCATGTTGGCCAGGCTGGTCTCAAACTCCTGACCTCAAGTGATTCACCCTCCTCAGCCTCCCAAAGTGTTGGGATTACAGGTGTGAGCCACCGTGCCTGGCCTAAGTCCTCTGATTTCTAAGAGTGGCAATAGCTACAAGTCTGTTTCTGTTTTCTACTTTCACTCTTGGGGACACTTTTCTTTTATCATTTAAGTTTTTTTTCTTGAAACTCCAGCTGCAAATACATTTAATAATCAACCACAAGAGAGCCCTTGACAGATGGGCCTTGAAACAGATGGCTCCATTGAAAGGCGGCAATTAAAATTGGAGGGTAATTTGAACCAATCAAGAAGATGGGGTCTCTTGGAGGCAAAGTTTCTACAAAAACCGAAACCATATCCCCCAAGCTCCTTTGGTACATTTTTCACCCACAGATGAGCCTTCCTGGGAGTGGATCCAACTTTTTTAAACATCTGGAATGTTGAAAAGGAAGAGAGAGAAGCCCTTGGGCCTTGTCAATCAAATTCACTTTTCTTTTGGCAAATTCAGCATCAGTGACAAATTGTGCAATTTGACATAAACAAAGTTGATAGATGTCGGCAAAGCTGTTTTTAAACAGCAGCAATGGAGAGATGTGTAGGATGGGGATTTTTCTCATTCAACAGTCAGTATGTTTAATAACAAATAAAACAACCAGATGTTGAAAAAAAAACCTACCACCTTGACAATGTCATCTGATAGTCAGCTGCTGCTGATTAATGAGTGTGGGATATATTCCAATCTCAATTCAGAAAGCTGGCAGAAATGTCCATGTAAGGACTTCTCTGGATAATTCCTTAATAGAGTTAACGAAGGGCTCTAAATTCACCTTGGAGGCTTTCTTGAGATAAAAAGCACTGGCCTTGATTTTTATTATTTTATTTTTTTATTTTTATTTTGAGGCAGAGTCTCACTCTGTTGCCCACACTGGAGTGCAGTGATGCAATCTCAGCTCACTGCAACCCCTTCCTCCTGGGTTCAAGTAATTCTCATGCCTCAGCCTCCCGAGTAGCTGGGACTACAGTCATGCACCACCACACCTGGCTGATTTTTATATTTTTAGTAAAGATGGGGTTTCACCATGTTGGCCAGGTTGGTCTCGAACTCCTGACCTCAAGTGATCCACCTGCCTTGACCTCCCAGAGTGCTGGGATTACAGACATGAGTCACTGTGCCCAGATTGGCCTTGATTTCAGAAGACTTGAGTGCAAGTCCTGGTCTGCCACTCTTTCCTTATATGACTTGGGTAAGTCATTCAATCCCCTTGGAGCTTAGGTTCCCCATAGGATACATAATGATGATAAACTCTGCCCTGTCTACTCCTAAGTTGTTGCAAGGCTCAAGTGGAATAATTGCTGTCAATCACTTTTTCCTTAATTTAAAATTTTTGAGAAATAATTACATCCAGTAAAATGCACAAATCTTAAGTGTACAGCTTAATAAATTTTTATGGCCATGGCCACTGGCTCACACCTGTAATCCCAGCACATTGGGAGGCTGAGGTGGGCAGATTGCTTGAGTCTAGGAGTTGGAGACCAGCCTGGGTGACATGGTGAAACCTCGTCTCTACAAAAAATACAAAAATTAGCTGGGCGTGGTGGCCTGCACCTGTAGTCCCAGCTACTTGGGAGGCTGAGTTGGGAGGTTAGCTTGAGCCGGGGAGGCAGAGGTTGCAGTGAGCTAAGATCGTACCATTGCACTCAAGCCTGGGTGAGAGTGAGACCCTACTTCAAAAAAAATACATTAAATAAATACACAAATAGGTCCGGGCGCGGTGGCTCACGCCTGTAATCCCAGCACTTTGGGAGGCAGAGGTGGGTGGATCACGAGGTCAGGAGATCGAGACCATCCTGGCTAACATGGTGAAACCCCGTCTCTACTAAAAAACCAAAAAATTAGCCCAGCGCAGTGGCGGGTGCCTGTAGTCCCAGCTACTCGGGAGGCTGAGGCCAGAGAGTCACTTGAACCTGGGAGGCAGAGCTTGCAGTGAGCCAAGATTGCGCCACTGCACTCCAGCCTGGGTGACAGAGCGAGATTCCATCTCAAAAAATAAATAAATAAATAAATAAATACACAAATAGATAAATAAGTAAATTTTTGCGTATGTATACTCCTATGTTGCCACTCAGCTCAAGATATAGAATATTTCTGACACCTCAAAAAGTTCCCTGTGCTCTTTCCTGGCCCATAGTTTCAAGGAACAATTATTCTCACCTCTATCACTAGAGATAAGCTTGCTTGTTCTTGAAATTGAGATAAGTCGAATCTCATAGTATGTATTCTTTTATGTCTGGCTTTCAATTGACATAGGTTTTGGGGATTCATTTCTATTGGTGCAGCAGTCAGTGGTATGTTCCTTTCCATTGCTGAGTAGTGTTCCACTGGGTGGCTATTCCAGTTTGTTTATCCATTTTTCTCCTGTGGGTAGACATCTGAATTGTTTCCAGTTTGGGATTATTATGAATAAAGCTGCCATTAACAAAAGACCATGAGATCTGCAGAGGAAGAGGGAGAGCTTTATTTTCTCTCTCTACATATATGGAAAACAATCTGCAGAATGGGGAGGCACAGTCTTCAGCATAAGTGAAAGCTTACCCTGGGAAGAATAAAGGTAGAGTCTGGCCTCAGTAGGGAAAATTCTCAATTAGGTCTGCTTATACAAATGAAGGATTCAAACTGGTTCAGTTCTGATTAGTCAAAATAGTCCAGTCCTAAGCCGGGCGCAGTGGCTCATGCCTGCAATCCCAGCACTTTGGGAGGCCCAGGCGGGCAGGTCACTTGAGGCAGGAGTTTGAGACCAGCATGACCAACATGGTGAAACCCTGTCGCTACTAAAAATATAAAAACTAGCCAGGCCTGGATTTGCGATTTGCTCTCACTATCCTTAACCCTTGGCTTCCCACAAACTCAACCAATTGCCAGGGGTTGGTGTTCTAGAGAAAGCCTGTTTGCTATCCTGGATAATGTCAAGTCACCTTCTGTGCCGCTGACATGAAACCCATCTGAAAGGCAAAGTAAGAAGCTTCCCTTTTAAGCTTTTAATGGCTTTTTTTTTTTAAAAAATTAAGACAGAGTCTCACTCTGTCACCCAGGCCGGAGTGCAGTGGCACAATCTTGCCTCACTGCAACCTTCACCTCCTGGGTTCAAGTGATTCTCCTGCCTCAGCCTCCTGAGAGCTGGGACTACAGGTGCATGCCACCATGCCAGCTAATTTTTGTATTTTTAGTAGAGACGGGGTTTTACCACTTTGGCCAGGCTGGTCTCAAACTCCTGACCTCAAGTGATCTCCCTGCCTCAGCCTCCCAAAGTGCTGGGATTACAGGTGTGAGCCACTTTGCCTAGCCAAAGCTTTTAATGACTTTTGAAGAATATTGCTAATCACTCATCCACAGCTCACCAAGCTTTATGTAATTTGCGACTTCCCACTAAGAAATCGTCTCTGGAAGCAGCAGCTCAAGATAGGGGGTAACAATTAGTGGAGCTGGATTCTGTTATTTAAGAAATATTTCTTGCTTTCCTTCCATGAACCACATGCTAGGTATTGTGGGGAATACCAAAGAAGGAAAGCAAGGTTCCAGACTGCAAACTATCAGGGAAAGTGACATGAATTTCAGATTGCAAAAATATTTAATATTCCATGGTGAAGGGAATATTCTATTTTATTTTTACTTTTTATTGTAGCATAATGAATAACATATGTATGGTAAAGTGCACAAATCTTAAATGTGCAGCTCAATGAATTTTTAAAAAGTGAATACATCCATGCACTCAGCATCCAGATGAAGAAATAGAACATTAAGAGATCTCAGAAGTTTCCTTCATTCCTCTTCCCAGGCAACAACCTCTCCCTGTTTCATGATAATCACTGTCCTGACATCTGTCACCATAGATTAGTTTTTCCTTACTTGAACTCTATATAAATGAAATTATACTTTTGTGTCTAGCTTTTTTTGTATGACATTATGTCTGCAAGATTCATTCATGTTGTTGCTTGAGGATGGAGTTCATTCTTTTTTATTCCTGAATTATTTTATTATATGACCACAACATAATTTATTTTTCCCTTCTTCTGTTAATGGACTTCTGGGTTGTTTCCCCTGTTGGGCTAGTACAAATAATGGTGCTATGAACATTGGTATACATGGCTTTTAATGAAAATATGTACACATTTATGCTGAAGATAGGTAGATAGGTAAATAGATAGATAGATAGATAGATGTACTAGGTCATAGAGTATGTGTATATTTAGCTTTAATATATTTTGCCAGTTTTCCCAAGTGGTTGTCCCTGTTTATAAACCCTCGGCTGCATATGATGGTCCCAGTTGCTCCACAACCTCTTGGACAGTTAGTATTGTCAGTTTTAAAGTGTAGCCATTTTCTCAACATCATTAGTTGTCAGGAAAATGAAGACTAAAACCACAATGAGATACTCTGTATGTCTATTAGAATGCCTCAAATAAAGAAAAAACCTGACAATATTACGTGTGAACAAAGATTGGAGCAACAGGAACTCATACATTGCTCCTGGTGGGAATGATACAACCATTGAGAAAATAATTTGGCATTTTCTTATAAAGTTATATATATATATATGCATCATATGACCCAGAATTTCCATTGCTAGGTATTTATTCAAGGGAAACGAAAACATATGTTTGCACAAAAACTTATACAAGAATTTTCACAGCAGCTTTATTCCTCATAGCCAAAAACTGGAAATAACCCCAAACATCCACCAAAATGAATGGATAAGCCAGGTGCAGTGGCTCACGCCTGTAATCCCAGCACTTTAGGAGCCGAGGTGGGTGGATCACTTGGGTCAGGAGTTCAAGACCTGCCTGGCCAACATGGCGAAACCTCATCTCTACTAAAAATACAAAAATTAGTGGAGTGTGGTGGCGCATGCCTGTAATCCCAGCTACTTGGGAAGCTGAGGCAGGAGAATCGCTTGAACCCGGGAGGCAGAAGTTGCAGTGAGCCAAGATCACACCACTGCACTCCAGCCTGGGCCACAGAGCAAGATTCTGTTTCAAAAAAACAAAACAAAACAAAGATGAATGGATAAATAAAATGTGATATATCCATATAATGAATTCTACTCATCAATAAAAAGGAATGAACTATTGATACAGACATGGACAAACATAAAAAAAAAGATGCTGAGCTAAAGAAGCCAGACACGAAAGATAAAGGGTGATTACATTTACATGAAATTTAGCCAACAGGCATTGACTGCAAAGGGACATGAGGGAAACATCAGGATGGAAATGTTCTACGTCTTGATTGTGGTGATGGTCATACAGATATATACATGTACTAAACATATCTAAGTGTACTCTTAAAACAAGTGCATTTTATTGTATGGAAGTATCCTCCATAAAATATCTAGTTATTCTAGTCTGACAGATATGTAGTGGTTTTTCATTATGGATTTAATTTGCATTATCCTGATGACCAATTGTGTTAAGCACCTTGCATATATTATTGGCAAGTCAGATATTGTATTAGTCAGGGTTCTACAGAGAAACACAACAAATCAGATGTGTGTGCATAGATAGATAGATAGATAGATAGATAGATAGATAGATATAATATGATTATGAAAGTTGACAAGTCTCAAGATCTGCAGTCATCAAGCTGGAGACCCAGGACCTAGAAGAGTGGTTGGTGTAGTTCCAGTCCCAGTCTGACAGTCTCAAGACCCAAGAAGAGCTAATGTTTCAGCTTGAGTCGAAAGACAGAAAAAAAAGCCCATGTCCCAGCTTAAAGATAGGTAGAAGGAATTCTCCGTTACTCAGCCTTTGCATTTTTCTCAGGCCTTCAACTGATTGGATGTAGCCCACCGGCATTAAGGAGGGCAATCTCGTTTACTCAGTCTACCCATGCACATGTTAATCTCATCCAGAAACACCCCCACAGACACACTCAAAATAACATTTGATGAAATGTCTGGGCATCCCATAGCCCAGTCAAGTTGACACATACAATTTAACCATCACATATCCTCTTTTGTGAAATACCTGTTTAGGTTTTTGCCCACTTCTAACAGGATCTGTCTTTTTCTTCTTGATTTATAAGAGTTCTCTATATAGTCTAGATATGAGTCTTAGATTAGTGTATTGCAAACTTCTTCCAGTGGTTTGCCTTTCACTCTCTCAGTTTCATCTAATTTATCAGTCTTTTCCTTATGGTTAATGTTTATCGTGTCTTGTTTAAGAAATGTTTGCCAACCCCCAGAACCTCTAGGTCATGAAGCCTATTATCTTGTCTTTAAGAAAGTTTATTGTACTTTTTTTTTCACATTCAGGTCTATAAGCCATCTGGAATTCATTGTTGGTTTATGGTGTGAGGTAAGGATGAGATGAATGCTGCTGTTCTTTTTAAATTTTTTATAGAGCCAATAGATTCAATACCATTTATTGAAAATAGAATCCTTTCTCCCCCTGAGTTACTGTTTTTAAAATCAGATAACTATATAAGTGTGGGTCTGTCTCTGGGCTCTCTATTCTGTTTCATTTGTCTATTCATTTTTTTGCCAAGATCATCCTTTTTAAATTATGACAGCTTTTAAATAAGTCTTGAAATCTTGAGGCATAAGTCCCTCTCCCACATTTTCTTCTTTAAGAATGTCTGAAAAGAATGTTTTTGGCCTTTTGCATTTTCAGATAAATTTTAGAATCAGCTTGTCAATTTCCATTAAAAATGTGCTAGGATTATGGTTGGGATTGCATTGAATCCATAAATCACTTTGGGGAGAACTGGCATCTTGAGTCTTTGATCCAAAAACATGGCTTATCTCAACATTTATTTAGGTCTTCTTGAGTTGCTCTCATTAATGCCTTGTAGTTTTTAGCATCAAAATCTTGTACATCTTTTTGTGAGGTTTAATCCTATTTATATGATTTTTATGCTAATGCAAATGATATCATTTAAAATGTTCATTTTCCAGTTATTTTTCACAAATATATAGAAATATAATTAATTTTTGTATACTGACCTTTTTTTACAGGCTTGCTAACTTCATTAATTAATTTTAATATTTTGTCTGTAGATTATTTTGGGTTTTCTTCTTATGTATTCATGTCATCTGTCCATGATGGTGATTTTATTTTTTTCTTGCCAATCTTTATGCCTACTATTTCTCCTTCTTGCCTACTGCACTGGCTTAGACCTCTAATACAATGTTGAATATAAATGGTAACAGCTGACATCTTTGTTATGTTTATACGACTTTAGGAGAAATATTTATATTTTTCCATTAAGTGATATTTGCTGTAAGTTTTTTATAGATACCCTGCATCAGATTAAGTTCCCCTCTATCCCTACTTTGCTAAAAGTTTTTATCATAAATACATGTTGAATTGTATGAAATGCTTTTTATTGGCATCTATTAAGATAAACATTTATATTTCTCATTTATGTTGTTAGTGTGGAGAATTACATACATTTTCTAATGTTACATTCTTGGTAAAAAATAATTCTTCCTATGATCCTGATGTATTATCCTTTTGCTATATTGCTAGATTGGGTTTCTCAATATTTTATTTCAGATTTTTGCCTTTACGTTTAGTAGGGCTGTTCTTCTATTTCTTTTCTTGTAGGGTCCTGCCAGGTTTTGGAATCAAGGTTATGCCAGCCTCATTGAACTAGTTGACAAGTGTTCTTATTTTTTCTGTTCTCTGGAAGAGTTCATGTAAGATTCGTATTATTTCTTCCTTAAATATTTGAAAGAATTCACCAGTGAAGACACCTGGGCCTGGAGTTTTCTGGTTTTGGTGTGTTTGTTTGATTTGGTGGTAAGTAGAAGGTGTGTTTTGAAATCCTGTCTGTCCCAGAGGCCTTGACACTTGCTGACCCCGCATAGCTCCACATGGCTGCTCCTTTGGGAATCCAGGTCTCTGCTCAGATGCCATCTCCTCAGAGAGGTCTTCCATTACTTCCCCAGCTGAAGCAGCACTCACTCCCCTCAGCTGCACTTTCTATTTTTTTTTTTTCTTCTTGAGACAAGGTCTCACTCTGTCGCCCAGGCTGGAGTGCAGTGGCTCAATCATAGCTCACTGTAGCCTCGACCTCCTTGTCTCAAGTGATGCTCCCACCTCAGCCCCCCAAGTAGCTGGGACTACAGACACGTGCCACCACACCCGGCAAATTTTTGTATGTTTTGTATAGATAAGGATTCGCCATATTGCCCAGGCTGGTCTTGAACTCCTGAGCTCAAGTGATCCCCAACCTTAGCCTCCCAAAATGCTGGGATTACAGGCATGAGCCACTGCCCCTGGCCCTTTCTATTTTTTTATATACAGGCTTATCACTCCCTGAAATTAACCTTCCCCAAAATCTGTTCATTTGTTTATTGTGTGTTTGCCCTGTTAGAATGTGAGCTCCATGGGGCCAGGGATCTCATCAATTTCATTCATTCTGAATCCCCAGCACTCAGCACACAGCAGCACTCAACAAATATTTTTCAAGAGACTAAATGAAAGGAAGTCAAATGGAGGCCCTTTCCCCACAAAGTCACAAGAAGCACAATGAATCACTTTTATTTTTTATTTTTATTTTTTATTTGAGATGGAGTCTTGCTCTGTTGCCCAGGCTGGAGTACAGGGGCGCAATCTTGGCTCACTGCAACCTCTGCCTCCTAGGTCCAAGCAATTCTCCTGCCTCAGCCTCCTGAGTAGCTGGGATTACAGGTGCTCACCACCCCAACTAATTTTTGTATTTTTATTTATTTATTTATTTTTATTTTTTTCACCAGGCTGGAGTGCAGTGGCATGATCTTGGCTCAGTGCAACCTCTGCCTCCCGGGTTCAAGCGCTTCTCCTGCCTCAGCCTCCTGAGTGGCTGGGACTAGACGCACATGCCACCACAATCCAGCTAATTTTTGTATTTTTAGTAGAGATGGGGTTTCAGCATGTTGGCCAGGATAGTCTCAATCTCTTGGCCACATGATACGCCCATCTGAGCCTCCCAAAGTGCTGGGATTACAGGCGTGAGCCACCGTGCCCAGCCAAATTTTTGTATTTTTAGTAGAGACAGGATTTCACCATATTGGCCAGGCTGGTCTCGAACTCCTGACCTCAAGTGATCCGCCTGCCTCAGCCTCCCAAAGTGCTGGGATTACAGGCATGAGCCACCGTGCCCAGCTGAACCTTACTTTAAAAAATGTTTTAATAGACATTTTTTTAGAGCAGTTTTAGGAGCACAGCAAAATTGAGCCAAAGGTACAGCGATTTTTCACATACCCCCTGCCTGTACACACGCCTAGCCTCTCCGATTACCAACATCCCCCACCAGAGTGGTACATTTCTTACAACTGATGAGCCCATTTGATGCATCATGATCACCCAGTCTGTAGTTTACATTAGGGTTTACTCTTGGTGTTGTACATTCTGTGGGTTCAAGCAAATTTGTAATGCCGTGTATCTAAAAGCCTCATCTTTTTAATAATTAAAGTTGACCATTGTCTTCACTGAACTTACACAGAAACAAAACCATGCAATATAATTCTGTATTCCTTGCCAAGTTACAATGTCATTGTGGAACAAAATGCAATGAACATGAAAATAAGACTTTCTCAGCTTCTTTGTAAATGGAACTGTTTAATATTATTTTGTTAATGGGTAGAATAAAATGTAATCTGATGGTGAAAACATTCTTCTTGACATTGTGGAAAATACCTCCCTATATTGCATGTGATGGAAAAGCAATTCGACTGGGAAAAGTTTACTGAATTAAGCTTACTGAATTCTGGCCTATTGACCTTATAATAAGCATGTTAGATGAGACGTTATAAGGGCTCAAGTAATACCTGCATCCTTCAGGATTATTTTGATTGCAAGTGATGTAAAACCTCAGTGAAATTGAGCAAAAAATAAAATTTTCTGGGTCATGCAACAAAACATTCCAGGGTTAGGGTTAGCTTTAGGCACAGCTTGATCCAGAAGCTGTGTCACAATGTCACTTGAGTACAGGCTCTCTCTCCATCACTACATGGCTCTCTTCTGTATTGTCTTCCTCCCCAGACAAATTCTTCCCTTGTGGACAATAAACAAACAGGCCGGGCATGGTGGCTCATGCCTGTAATCCCAGCACTTTGAGAGGCCAAGGAGGGCAGATCACTTGAAGTCAGGAGTTCCAGACCAGCCTGGCCAATATGGTGAAACCCCGTCTCTACTAAAAATACAAAAATTAGCTGGGTGTGGTGGCATACACCTGTAATCCAAGCAACTAGGGAGCCTGAGGCACAAGAATCACTTGAACCTGAGAGGCAGGGGTTACAATAAGCCAAGATTGTGCCACTGCACTCCAGCCTGGGCAACAGAGTGTAACTCTGTCTCAAAATAAACAAACAAACAAACAAACAAACAAAAATTTGAAAGGAATGATAATGCCTACAAAAACATCTTCACAGTTCTAATTTATTCCAGTCATAAAGATAAGTGTCTGAGCAGAACATCTTAAGAGTGCATTTTCTTGATCCTATTGGGTTCTAAACCAGTTCCTGAACCAGTCCCTGTGGCCAGGGTACTGCACTACTCTGCTCTGATTGGCGAGGCCTGAGTCACATGCCACCAATCAAAACACAGGGACTGAGATTTGGGGCAGGAACGCTCCACAGGGGAGTCCAAGTGTTAAAAGACGTCCCATTAGAGAGCAAATGTCTGGTAATACGGTATAGTGCGTTGAATACACATCCCATATACTCAATGAGTTCATCTGAAGACTAAGAATATTCAAAAGCACAATTCAACCAGACGAGAGTACAAAGGCCTGTGTTTGTTTGATATCATCATGCAGCCAAAAAAGGTAGAGTTATACACTTGGTATGTATAGAAGACATGCAAAATCTGTGTTACAATACAGGGTTCCATCAAATACTTCCTTTGAAAAACAGGATTCTGTTAAATAATGTTTGGGACCCAGTAGGACTAAATGAGGGAAGGTAAGGACTCTCCACCACCACCCAGCTCCCTTTTAAGTAGGAAAGAGCTTGAAAATCCCCACCTCTGAGAAAGGGGCCTTGCGGGGGCTCTGGGGCACATCTCAGAACAATTCTCAAGGCAAAGGCTCTTGAAAGATTCTGAGCTCAGATAAAGTGATGTTTAAGGAAGCTCTTCTGGCAAGGCATGAGCCAATGCACCCAGTTCTCTTAAAAACAAGAAAACAAAAAACAAACCAAAAAAACCAAATAATATATTGTTTATGCACAGATACATTTGTGATAAAACTATAAAACATTGGAATGATAAATATGAAATGTCAGATTGTGGTTATCTCTGGGGATAGGAAGGTATATGGGAAGACCATCTGGAAAACTGCAAGGTTTTTTAAGATGAGGTGTCACTCTGTTGCACAGGCTGGAGAGCAGTGGCACGACCAGGGCTCACTGCAGCCTTGACCACCTGGGCTCAGGTGATCCTCCCACCTCAGCCTCCCCAGTAGCTGGGACTACAGCTGCACACTACCATGCCCAGCCAATTTTTTTGTATTTTTTGTAGAGACAGGGTTTCACCATTTGCCCAGGCTGGTCTTGAACTCTGAGGCTCAAGCTACCCTCTTGCCTCAGCCTCCCAAAGTGCTGAGATTACAGGCGTGAACCACTGTGCCTGGCCACTTTTTCCATTTAACATTATGTTTCCAAGATTCATCCATGGTGTATCTGTGGCTGAAGCACACTCATTTTTCACTGCTGTGTAATGCTCCATTGCATAATATCCCACAATTTATTTATCCTTTTTTTTTTTTTTTGGTTAACAGATATTTGGCTTGTTTCAAGTTTTTTGCTAATATGAACTGTGCTGCTATGAAGATTCTTACTTATAACTCCTGGTGCATATGTGTAAGAGTTTCTCTAGGGCATATATCTAGGAGTTGAATTACTGGGTTTTACAATGTAGAAATATTCAGCTTTAAAAGGCAAGTGTCCGGAATTTTCATTTGGCAATATTGCACAAGCATTTGTCTATGTCATTAAAAGTGCTTTTTTTTTTTTTTTTTACATAAAGAAAAAGCAAAGTAAAAGTATAAAACATTATTCAGATGCAAGATACTATTATCTTTGTGGATATTCTCTGACCATAGCGGGGTCTGGTTACATATATAATAGCTTCAGGGCAAAGGCCACATTCATACATATTGTTAATCAGCACCAATTATTTATAGAGAACTCACAATATGCTGGTGTGAGGTATTAAAAATAAACAAAGCTGGACACTAGTTGCTATAGACTTCTTAATGTTTGTGTCCTCCCCCTTCAAATTTATATGTTGAAACTCTGCTCTCCATTGGGATGGTATTAAGAGGGGAGGACTTTGGTAGGTGATTGGGTCATGAGAGTGAAGCCCTCATGAATGGGATTAGAGCCCTAATAAAAGAAATATTGGAGAGCTCCCCTCACCCTTCTGTGTGTGGTTACAGGGAGAAGAGTGCTATATTAGTCCGTTCTCATGCTGCTGTGAAGAAATACCTGAAACCAGGTCATTTATAAAGAAACGAGGTTTAATTGACTCACAGTTCCGCATGGCTGGGGAGGCCTCAGGAAACTTATAATTATGGTGGAAGGCACATGTTCACAGGGCAGCAGGACAGGGAATGAGTGCAAGCAGGGGAAATGCCAGACGCTTATAAAACCACCAGATCTCATGAGACTTACTATCGTGAGAACAGCATGCCAGAAACTGCCCCCCATGATCTGGTTACCTCCACCTGGTCTCACCCTTGATATGTGGAGATTATGGGGATTATAATTCAAGGTGAGATTTGGGTGGGGACACAGAGCCAAACCATATCAAGTGCTATCTATGAATTAGGAGGCAGGCCCTCAGCAGACACTGAATCTGCGGGTGCTTTAATCTAAGGCTTCCCAGCCTCTAGAACTGTGAGAAAAAAATTTCTGTTGTGTATAAGCCATCCAGTCTATGGATGAGTCTGACCCCACTTGTCCCTACTCACCATCTTCCAGCCGCACACCCCTTCTTTCTAGTCTCCAAACACTAAGCTGGCTTCCCCTGGAGACTTCACTCTTGTTCCCTCTGCCTGGAATTCTTTGAAGCCAGAACTTTGCAAGCCCCATCCTTTCTCATCCTTCTTTATTCAGCTCAAGATGTCGCCATCTCAGAAAGGCCTCCCTTCAACATCCAAGCATTCTCTCTCCCATCACCCTGTTTTTTCTTCATAGCTCTTCTTGCAAAGTGCAGTTATTTATTACATTTTTGTTTCCCCTGCCAACCTGGGAACTCAATGAGGGCAGCGATCTTGTCTGACGTGGTCGCCACGGTGTTGCCAGTTCCTAGACTAAGGCCTGGCCCTTGGATGGCGCTCAAGAAGGAGTAAGAAATTCCTTTAACTTAGGGAATTCTGGAATCGCTTTCTCCCGGCAGAGCCGACTCTAACCAAGTGGGAAAGGCGAGGTCCGTGGCTGCCTGTGGCCCAGGGGTGACGGTTTGGCCCAAGGCCCCACCTCCGCCCCGCCCCCGGCCCCGCCCCTGTTCTTGTCCTCCCCCACGGGTCTCCATAAAGTTCATTTGGCGTCGCACCGCGCGAGGGCTTCTGGGAGCGGCCAGCCTTGGCCAATCAGGAAGCGGGGGAGAGCGGCGCGAGAAGCGGCGGCCGCGTCCTCAAGCCGGCACCTGAGCGGCGGAGACGGCTGTAGCACAAGGTAAGGGTGTGTCTGGTCGCGTCCTTGCGACCCTGGGCTTGTCCTTGAACCCAGGACCCCGTGACTGGGTGGAGCGCCGTCCCCACGCTCGGAACCCCGCCGCTCATACTTCCCGTTCTCCTCATGGCAGCCGGGCACGCCTGACGCCGGCGACACAACGCCTTGTCGAGCCGCCCCCGAGGCTTGGAGTCGGGCTGCATCCCTGGGGGTGCCTTTCATTCGTCCACTTTCTGAATGCAGAACCTAGGCCTCCCGACTCCCCCTTCCCCACTGTGGTGCCCTCGCGCCACGCCCCTGCCCTCACCTCCACCTCGTGCCCCGCGAGCCCACCCTGCCTAAGCCTGCGCCACAACGCCCCGCCTGCTTACCTTCCTGACCGTGCCCTGCCTGCTTGCCTACCCCTCGTGGACACACCCTGTAGGGAGGCGTTGCTCTGCGAGGGAAGGGGTCTTTGGGGCGAGGGGAACTTATCCCAACCCTTGGCTTACCTTTTGTACATCCAGGAGGATGCTGGTGATTGGAACCCAGGGGTGGCCCACCCTTCTCTGTGCTTACTCCATCCCGTTCCCTGCAGAGGCGATGCCCAAGTTCACTGGGTTTCTTTTGAAAAAATTATGGGGCCGACCCCATGGGTCCTTGGTGAAAGTATGAAAGACACGTTGACAGAGCCTCTGGTCTGGATTTGCCCTTCTGCCAGACGTGGGAAGGAGGTTTTATTTATTTAATTTTTATTTTGACCGAGTTGTCTTTCAGCAAAAGCGAGGGTCACCTTTTTGTATTCTTTCCAGGGTATGTGGGAGGGTATCCTCGGTCATCCTAGCTTTTCTTCTTTATTTTTTTTTCTTTAAATTCTCCTTTGTGCATTTGTGTTTGCAATATTTTTATTTTCATTGATGGTGATTTCATAGCATTAAATACATACATATCAGAGGCTAACAGATTCCGTATTTATATCTCCATCGCAGGTCTCACCCCTGACTTTTATCCAGCCACCCACTTAATATCTCCACTGAGATGGGTTATAGGCAACTCAAATTAAACATGCCAAGAGAGGGCTAGCAAGCTCCCCTTCATTACTCTCCCCAAACTGCTCCTGTTGCCTCTTTTTTCTCATCTCAATAATAGGAAAGACCTTGGCTAATAACTTTTGAGCCATCGTTGACTGCTGTCTTTCTTTTTCTTTTCTTTCCTTTTTTTTTTTTTCTTTTGAGACAGTCTCCCTCGGTCGCTCAGTCTGGAGTGCAGTGGTGCGATCTCGTGTCATCGTGTGACTGCAACCTCTGCCTCCCAGGCTCAAGTGATTCTCCTACTTCGGCCTCCCAAGTAGCTGGGATTACAGGCGTGTACCACCTCACCTGGCTAATTTTTGTATTTTTAGTAGAGACGGGATTTCACCATGTTGGCCAGGCTGGTCTTGAACTCCTGGCCTCAAGTGATCCGCCCATTTCGGCCTCCCACAAAAGTGTTGGAATTACAGGTGTGGGCCACCACACCCAGTCTTCTGTTTTTCACGCCACAAATAATACTTGCCACCCTGGGCCAGGTCACCACCTCTGGTTTGGATTATTGAAATAGTTTCCCATTTGGTCTTCCTGCTTCTGTCCTGGCCCCTGTTTTTTGCACAGCAGCTAGAGGGATCTTTTTAAAACACAGGCTGTCAGATCGTATCATTCCTTTACTTAAAAGAAAAAAAAAACCCTCCAATGGGTCCCCATCTCATTAATAATGATAGACAAACCCCTTTACAGTGAGCTATAAGGCTTTACATAATCTGACCCACTGTTACTTTCCCAGTCTCATTTTCTGCTCCCTCCCTTTCCAAACGTCAGACATGCTTTAGCCTCAGGGCATTTGTGCTTGCAAGTTAATATCCATGTAGTTTGCACTCACTTCTTCCAGGTCTTCACTAGGGAGGCACCTAGTGAGGCTTTCCCCATTTCCCGCCTCCCTTCATTGCTTTAGTTGTTCTTAGCACTTATATTTCACGTATTTTTCTTGTGTATTGTTGTCTTCCCCCTGTAGAATGTGAGTGAGGGGATTTTTATCTGTTTTGTTCACTGATGTGTTCCTAGCACCTAGGTCTGGCACACAGTAGGTGCTCAAAAAATATGAACTAGATGAATGTTACTGGCACTCTTGCAGGCATGGGGATGCAGTGGTGAATGAGACAGGCCTGCCCTCATTGAACTGATAAGCCTGTGGAGGGTACCACTAGCAATAAAAGCACAGATAGGAAGTGTGATGTCAGGGCTGTTTCTTAAAGGAGGACAGGGATATTTGAATAGAGACCTGCTTGAAATGAATGAGCAGGTCATGGGACTATCTGAGAGCATTGCTGGTAGTGGGTAGAGCAGGTGCAAAGACCGTGCAGTGTGAACAGCTGGAGATGTGGTGAGCCTGAGGGTCTGAACCAGCCTCTTCATAGACTGATGTAGAAAATAAGGTTGACAGAAAGATGGATGTGCCAAGGAGGGGGACAGGTTGGAGCAAAGATCCGAAGGTGAGAGGGCCCACTCCTCATGAAAAAGTTTATTTAAAGAATATGGAGTTAGAGGGAAGATCTTTCACTGGTGTGTTCAGGGAACAGGTCACTTTAATTCAACAAATATGTATCTGATCCTGTTATGTGCCAGACTTAATGCTGAGGACTCAGAGTTGAGCATCTGTGGACCTTACCCTATAGGAAATTTGCCACTAGAGAGGGAGACATATGTGTGATGAAATAATCACAACTGCTGCACTAGGGAAGAACAGTATAGAAGATTCAGAGTAGTGTGGGAGGGGTTGGCATAGGTGGGACTTTCCCAGCTGGCTGCAGCATACATAGGAGTTCCCCATGTGACAAGATAGGGTTGGGGATGTGTTATAGAGAGTGTGTACTTAGCATGTACAGGAGTATGAAGGGAGGAAACAGGCACCCCAAAGAATAGAGAATTGCTAGGGTATATAATTGGGGGAAGGCAGCGAGGGATGAGGATAGTAAGGGTGGCAGTGTCTGTTCTATGGAGAGCACCCTTTATAGCTCTGTCAAAACATGAGCATCTTATTCTGTAGGGGATGGAAGGTGTCCCTGATGGACTTAAGGCAGGAAAGCATTTCAGAAAGACCTCCCTGACCATGGGGAGGTTGATTGGAGGAACAAGAAGGCTTAGTCGGCGTGCAAGTCAGAGAAGGGGCGAGAGATGAGGGTATGACTTTGCAAAAGGTTTGAGAAGTAGAGCTTGAGATTGGCTGAGTGTTGAGGAGGTGAAAGGGGCGCTGGGGTGACTTGAAGGTGGTTCCTGGCTTACCTGACTGTGTGCTAATTGTTTTACGAAAAGAGACTGGGAACCCACGAGAAGGAAGCATTGGTGGTGGCAGTGGCTAAGGAGAGAGAAGTGATGAGTCTGATTTGGGACATGTGTAGTTTGAGGCACCCATGAGTCATCCAGGTGTAGGTATTAGGTGGACAGTTGGAAATACTGGCTTGGGAAAAGAGTTGGGCTGGACATAGAGATATGAGAATCCCCTTTGTTTTGATAGATTAGAGTCCTCCTAGCTCACTTATTTGCCTTGTATTAATGTCTGTTAATACCTCCATCTCTTCTCCCCTGAATAACATAACGTTTGAAATATTTTATAGCTTTATACTTTTTTATAGCTTCAACTGTGTCCTCAAACAGCTAGATCCCCCATACACAGTTGCTAAAAGCCAGAAGAAACTTTCTCAAACCTTGCCAAAAATTCCTACATTGATCTGTTAGGTACACCAAAGTTATAGTCTTCTCTTCCTTCCTTCATTCATTTAACACATATTTATTGAGCATTAGGTGCTGTTGTTCAGTGTACTGGGAATGGGGCTGTGGACAGACCAGACAAGGTTCCCAGACTCAAGGAGCCTGTTAGGAGACAGACAATAAATGAACAAACAGGTAGGCATGTGATGCCAGAAATTGATAACATACTACCAACGAGGTAAAACAGAAATGTGGTAGAGTGGACGGTGGGGCTGCTTTAGCTGGGGTGTGCTGAGAAGCTTCTTTAAAAAGGAAACCTTTGAGCAGAGATTTGAAGGAATTAAGGGGGTTAGCTAGGTAGGTATTTTGGAGGAGAATATTCCTGCAGATGCAGAGGAAACAGTGACTGAAAGCCCAAGTCAGCAGTGTATTTAGCATATTTGAAGAAGAGTGGAAGGCCATAGGACCAAAGTACATAATCCTGGGGAAGAGTGGTAACAGAAGGAGTTGGGTCGGGGACAGTCATGTAGGCCTCACAGCACAGGGTAAGGACTTTGGATCTCAGCCTGTGAGTGACGGGGGCTATTGAAGGTTTGAGCCCCTTTAGAGGATCCTTCCCAGTGTGGTGTGGAGAACAGACTGGGAAGTGGGAGGGGACAAAGTAAGAACAGGGAGACAGGAAGCTACTATATCACCCAGATGTGACACATGAGAGTGGCTTGCACCAGGATGATAGTGGTAGAAGAGACAAAAAGTGGGTCTGACTCATGTATATATGAATAAATGTAGTGTAGAAATGAATTGCTAATGTAGGGTATAAGAGGAGAAAAGAAGTCAAGGACAATGCCACGGTTTTAGACCTGAGCAACTTCTAGCATGAAGATACTATTTACTGAAATGAGGAAGATGGGGAAGGTCCAAGTCTTTGTTAGATGCTAGAATACGGCCTTCCTCCCCCTAACCCCTCCCACTCCATGCACCCTACTGTCTGTGCCCATCTCTATCTTTCTGACACGGCTGTTGCCCTGCTGAAAAACCTGTGTACCAGTTGGTCCCTTTGGACACCAGAGGTCTGCTGTGAGGATGACATTAGATTATACAAATAAAGCCCATAGTGGGGACTCATACACAGACAGAGCTCAGGAGATGATGTCGGGCAAATAAATGAATGGAGTAAAAGGAATTTAGATGAGGGAAACTTTCTGTAGGTAATGTGTATTGAGGAAGACCATTTGGTAGGTAGGACTTGAGTTGGTGGTAATAATGATAGCTAATGTTTATTGAGTGGTTACTTTGTGACAGGTGAGGGAGATGCAGTTATTTTTCCATTTCACAGATGAGGCCCAGAGAGAGTAATTAATTTGCCCAAAGTCATCGAGCTAAAGAGTGAAGGAGCTGGCTGGAGCTCAGGGCTGCAGTGGAAGGTTGGGTAGGTGTTTCTTTTTGGGAAAAATGGCACAGAGCAGGACATGTGCAAGGATAGTCAGGGACCAAGTAAATCAAGTGACTGGTACACAAGGTTTATTCTGGGAGGTAGAAAGTTAAAAGCAGTGACTCACCTGGATGGATCCCTGTGAATGGGAGCCAGTGAGGTTTTTTGAGCAGGGGCAACAGCCGTGTCAGAAAGAGAGATGGGGTCGGGCGCAGTGGCCCTCGCCTGTATTCCTAGCACTTTGGGAGGCCAAGGCGAGCGGATCACTTGAGGTCAGGAGTTCGAGACCAGCGTGGCAAACATGGTGAAACCCCAAAAATTAGCTGGGCATGGTGGTGCGTGCCTGTTATCCCAGTTACTCGGGAGGCTGAGGCAGGAGAATCGCTTGAACCTGGGAGGTGGAAGTTGCAGTGAGCTGAGATCTCATCATTGCACTCCAGCCTGGGGGACAAAAGTGAAACTCCGTCTCAAAAAAAAAAAAAAAGGAAGCTAGAGGTGGCCACAGAGAGTAGGGTGCATAGAGTTGGGGGCAGGGCTAGGAGGAGGAAGCCCATGTTCTAGCATGTAAGAAGGACTTAGACTTAAAGGAATGAAGGTCTGGCCTTAGGTGGTAGTGATGGGGATGAAAGCAATAGTTAGAGGATGTTGCAAAAATATAAATACCCCATGCTATTTAAATCTGTTTAGGAGCTGGGTGCAGTGGCTCACGCCTGTAAGGCCAGCACTTTGGGAGGCTGAGGCAGGCAGATCACCTGAGGTCAGGAGTTCAAGACCAGCCTAGCCAACATGGTGAAACACCATCTCTACTAAAAATACAAAAATTACCCTGGCGTGATGGCACGTGCCTGTAATCCCAGCTACCCAGGAGACTGAGTCAGCAGGAGAATTGCTTGAAACCGGGAGGTGGAGGTTGCAGTGAGCTGAGATCACGCTATTGCACTCCAGCCTGGGCAACAAAGCGAGATTCCATCTCAAAAATAAATAAATAAATAATCTGTTTCGGTAATGAGAGTTTGGAGAGTGAGGAATATCATGTTATCTGAGTCTGTAGTATTTCGTTTCCTGAGTTTTAGTTAGAGAGTAGCAATAGTTTGGATAATGAGGAATACCTGCCTGCTTGCTATGGAAAAATGTATCTACATGTGTTTGGTTTCTGAGTCTGAGAGTGGAGGGACACCTGTAAGTAAACAATCTGAGGTAACACAGAGATGCAAAGGAACAGGGTGAGTTAGAACCTGGGAGACAGAAGCCAGGGGCAGAGGCGGAGGAGGAGTTGGGGGTGGATAACTGCATTTGGAGACATGGTGGGTGTGACAGTTATGTGCTTGAGAGGAGATGCACCAGTGGTGCCTGGAAACTCACGGTTGGAGTTTGAGTGCACGGGGGCAGGTGTGGATTTGACAGTCATTGCCATTGAGTCTTCAAGGGCAGTGGTGAGACACACACTGTGAAGTAGGGAATTTAGAGCAATATTAAAATTAACAAGTTATTAAAAATTATGTAAGATCACATATACTCATGGAAAAGAATTTGCCCTGACAAGGGAATCAAATGAAAAGTAGAAAAGTCTCCCAACTCTCACCTTGGTAATGCTAGGTTGTTTCTTGCTAAGTCAGTGCTTTGTTTCTTGCTATTCCTTCTAAAAAACTGTGAGTCAACCTTAAGTATACAGCTTAGGGAATTTTTACACATTTATTCACTTATGTGACCACTGTCCATATTGAAATATAAAGCATTTCTGGTACTTTGGTCAGCTCAGATCACCATAATAAAATATCAAAATATCTGTTGTTCTGGCTTAAACAGAAATTTATTTCCTCACAGTTTTGGAGGCTGGAAGTCCGAGATCAGGATGCCAGCATAGTTGGGTTCTGGTGAGGGCCCTCTTCCTCGCTGCTCAGTGTGTAGTCAAGACCTTTCTTTGATGTGTATGTGTGGGGAGAGGTAGGTGGAGGAAAGCAAGCTTTCTGGTGTGTCTAAGGGCACTTATCCCATCCTGAAGACCCCACCCACGTCACCTCATCTGAGTCTAATTACTTCCCAAAGACCCCATCTCCAAATAGCATCACATTGTGGGGTAGGGCTTCAACACAGGAATTCTGAGAGAATACAGTTCAGTCCTTAGTACCCGAAAAGCTCTGCTGTGCTTTCTCCCAATCAGCACTCCCCCTACACTCCCAAGGATAACCAGTATTCTGATCTTTAGTCCCATAGATTCATTTTTTCTGTTTTTAAGATCCATATAAATGGAGTCATACGGTGCTTTTTTTTTTTTCTTTTTGTATCTGGCTTCTTCAGCTCATTGTGATGTCTGTGAAATTCATCCATGTTCTGTGTAGTCTGTAGTTTCTTTTCCATTGCTGTGTGTGGTATACCAAGGTATGAATATACTGCCATAAAAAGCCCAAGTGGGATAATTCTGTAAATGCAATGGTTTTAAAATTATAATGGTAGGGACCCAGACTTTTGTTAGAATCCGCACACCTTCTGCCTCCCAAGTTGTGACAACCAAAAATGTCTCTAGCTATTGCTGAATGTCCCCTGTGGGGCAAAGTTGAGTAGCATTGGTTTAGAGAGAAGAGCCAGAGCCAGAGCCAAAGCCACAGGCCCTTTGGGGCCGACTTGGTGATCTGCCCCTGTTTATGCTAGTTGTAAGACAGAACTAGTATCATTCCTAAGGTTCTCTGTAGAGATAATTTCCATCACCACTAAAATGGGGCTGTTTCCCAGGAAGCATCAAGTAAGTTTAAAGACCGAATTAAAACATCTCACATTTGTAAATTCTTTAAGGTGAGCAGGCCCTTAGAGATCACCTGAGCAACCCCCTCATCCAGAGACGATCCAGCCCCAGGGTCAGAGGGCTGGCGTGGGATGGAGCCAAGCTGTAGTCCACAGCACTTTCTTCCCAGCTGGGCCTTCTGCTGGACAGCCAAGAGTTTATCAGAAAGTTACTATGTGGATAATTTATTTTTCTTTGTGATGCCAGGTTATTACTTCTCTTTGCTCATTGAAGAGGAAATAATACAAGTGATATTTTATGTATCAGGAAAGCTGATACTACCCATTCCTTATTGCAAACATTGAGTCACTGAGGGCAGTACTGCTACTAAATCACCCAAGTCTTTTTCTTCTGTCTAGGTTAATTTATTTTAGGTCTTTGTTTTCTCCAGAACTCTACCTTTTGAATAATGATAAGGTCTCTTTTACTTAGTCTCACAGGGCTGTAAAGAACTTTCCAACAATTTTTTTTTCCCTCTCCTCTCTCTTCCAGAGGCATCTGAAACAATGATGTCTGTCAAGATTTAATTTTTTTGGGGTTGTTGTTGTAATTGACAGCTGACAGATAATAGTAAAAAGTGGAATGATATTGTCATCTAGCTAGTTTATGTATTCAAAAGAGAGGAGAACAGAATCAGTATTAAACTTTTGATACCTTGGGTGGAGGTTTTTCTCATCAATCTTGGATGAGAAAAGAAAGAATCATTCACAAGAATGTTGAACACCATTCTTGTGTTTTACTCCTGTCATAGTCTGATTAATAAGGTTTGAGGGCAGAGTTTCTGCTTAAAATTAAATGCTAAATTTCTTTTTTTTTTTTTTTTGCACCGCCCTTAATCCATTTAATCCTGAGTGGACAACACAGCACATGTTTCAGAGAGCACAGGGTTGGGGGTAAGGTCACAGATCAACAGGATCCCAAGGCAGAGGAATTTTTCTTAGTGCAGAACAAAATGAAAAGTCTCCCATGTCTACTTCTTTCTACACAGACACGGCAACCATCCGATTTCTCAATCTTTTCCCCACCTTTCCCGCCTTTCTATTCCACAAAGCCGCCATTGTCATCCTGGCCCGTTCTCAATGAGCTGTTGGGCACACCTCCCAGACGGGGTGGTGGCCGGGCAGAGGGGCTCCTCACTTCCCAGTAGGGGCGGCCGGGCAGAGGCGCCCCTCACCTCCCGGACGGGGCGGCTGGCCGGGCAGGGGGGCTGACCCCCCCCACCTCCCTCCCGGACGGGGCGGCTGGCCGGGCGGGGGGCTGACCCCCCAACCTCCCTCCCGGACGGGGCGGCTGGCCGGGCAGAGGGGCTCCTCACTTCCCAGTAGGGGCGGCCGGGCAGAGGCACCCCTCACCTCCCGGACGGGGCGGCTGGCCGGGCGGGGGGGCTGACCCCCCCCCACCTCCCTCCCGGACGGGGCGGCTGGCCGGGCGGGGGGCTGACCCCCCCACCTCCCTCCCGGATGGGGCGGCTGGCCGGGCGGGGGGCCGACATCCCCACCTCCCTCCCGGACGGGGCGGCTGGCCGGGCGGAGGGCTGACCCCCCCACCTCCCTCCCGGACGGGGCGGCTGGCCGGGCGGGGGGCCGACCCCCCCACCTCCCTCCCGGACGGGGCGGCTGGCCGGGCAGAGGGGCTCCTCACTTCCCAGTAGGGGCGGCCGGGCAGAGGCGCCCCTCACCTCCCAGACGGGGCGGCTGGCCGGGCGGAGGGCTCACCCCCCGACCTCCCTCCCGGACGGGGCGGCTGGCCAGGCGGGGGGCTGACCCCCCCACCTCCCTCCCGGACGGGGCGGCTGGCCGGGCGGGGGGCCGACCCCCCCCACCTCCCTCCCGGACGGGGCGGCTGGCCGGGCAGAGGGGCTCCTCACTTCCCAGTAGGGGCGGCGGGGCAGAGGCGCCCCTCACCTCCCAGACGGGGCGGCTGGCCGGGCGGAGGGCTCACCCCCCCACCTCCCTCCCGGACGGGGCGGCTGGCCAGGCGGGGGGCTGACCCCCCCACCTCCCTCCCGGACGGGGTGGCTGCCGGGCGGAGACGCTCCTCACTTCCCAGATGGGGTGGCTGCCGGGCGGAGAGGCTCCTCACTTCTCAGACGGGGCAGCTGCCGGGCGGAGGGGCTCCTCACTTCTCAGACGGGGTGGTTGCCGGGCAGAGGGTCTCCTCACTTCTCAGACGGGGCGGCCGGGCAGAGACGCTCCTCACCTCCCAGACGGGGTCTCGGCCGGGCAGAGGCGCTCCTCACATCCCAGATGGGGCGGCGGGGCAGAGGCGCTCCCCACATCTCAGAGGATGGGCGGCCAGGCAGAGACGCTCCTCACTTCCTAGATGTGATGGCGGCTGGGAAGAGGCGCTCCTCACTTCCTAGATGGGATGGCGGCCGGGCGGAGACGCTCCTCACTTTCCAGACTGGGCAGCCAGGCAGAGGGGCTCCTCACATCCCAGACGATGGGCGGCCAGGCAGAGACACTCCTCACTTCCCAGACGGGGTGGCAGCCGGGCAGAGGCTGCAATCTTGGCACTTTGGGAGGCCAAGGCAGGCGGCTGGGAGGTGTAGGTTGTAGTGAGCCGAGATCACGCCACTGCACTCCAGCCTGGGCACCATTGAGCACTGAGTGAACGAGACTCCGTCTGCAGTCCCGGCACCTCGGGAGGCCGAGGTTGGCGGATCACTCGCGGTTAGGGGCTGGAGACCGGCCCGGCCAACACAGCGAAACCCCGTCTCCACCAAAACCAGTCAGGCGTGGCGGCGCGAGCCTGCAATCGCAGGCACTGGGCAGGCTGAGGCAGGAGAATCAGGCAGGGAGGTTGCAGTGAGCCGAGATGGCAGCAGTACAGTCCAGCTTCGGCTCCGCATGAGAGGGAGACCGTGGGGAGAGGGAGAGGGAGAGGGAGAGGGAGAGCGCTAAATTTCTTTTGAATCACACCTTCATTATGGAAATCTGGATTTATAATAAAAAGCATATTTGGTAGTGGGCAATACAACATACATTTAAACATTTTAATTGTCTTCCAGAAGTTCTTACTTAATGATATAAAGTTGTGATTAAATAAGTTATAATTTGGGATTAAATATTTACTAAAAGATTTTTTGAAGCAGAGATGTTTATAATTAAATGATAAAATGTTGCCAAATTGGCAACTTGGGAAAAAAGCTAAAATAGCATTTTACAATGATATAAATCAGCAGAGTTTATAAGATAATTTTATGTATCAACAACTCCTTGAAGTAGGTAGGAATTACCATTTTTGATTGATGAGGAAATTGAGACAGAGAAATTGGGGTTTTATCTCAGAGGTAAATCAGTTTATCTGCTAGTAAATGAACAGTCTGGATTGGAACCAGGTGTTTGGGTTCACAGTGTAATCTTCTCACCCATTCCGTCTAAAATATGTTTTTATTTTCCATTTCTTTTACTGTTATTAAAAACAGTACTGTTTACTGTTATTTTACTGTTATTATTTAAAATATCGAAAATAATCAAAAATAATTATTTAAAATAATCAAAAAAGGAAGATCATTGTCAGTTGTACATTTGGAAGAAAGGATATAAATAGCAACATCTGTTACTTTCTCTGATGTATATAAAATCTCCCCCTTTGACAACATCAAAAAAAATAGCAGTGCTAACAACTGTCTTTTTTAGGTTGCATGATCTTTGAAGTTGAAAGAGACAATATTTGGGTATGTTACTACATACATTTTACTAAATTAGAATTCCTCAGTCAGTATTGTTTGATTATATTGAAATTCTGCAGGAAAATAGCTGGTGTCATCTCCCCATGCAAGTCAGTGAATGGAGAGAGATTTCTTTAACATGGAAGAAAAGACAGATGGCTTTGTCTTTATTCTTTCATCTTTTTCTCAGCCCTTTGTATTTCTTGCATAACTGGGCTGTTTGGATTGTGGGTGATAAGGAAAAGGGAAAATTCACATGGGTTTAATATGTTGCATTATACTTACAAAGAGCAGTGGATTCCCTTTAGCATCCTGTGCATTAGGTCAATGGGACAGGCATCATCATTTACAAAACAGATTTCTTCCCCAAATATGCTCTCCAAATGAACAGTTTAAAGAGGAAACGAGATGGCAACACACCTATTGTGTCACTCATTTTATCTTTTTAACAGTGTTTTCACACGGGGGCCTAGTTAGGGTAGCTTACTTATCAAGTCTAGCTTAAATACCTTAGGCCCAAGAGTTGGCAAACTATGGCCTATGTGCCAAATAAACTAAGAAGGGTTTTTACGTCTTTGGATCCTTGGGGGAAAAATAATCCAGAGAAAAATATTTTATAACCATGTGAAAATTATATGAAACTCAAATTTTAGTGTTCATGATTAATGTTTTATTAAAGTACAGCCACGCCTGTTGGTTTACATATTATCTATGCCTGCTTTCAAGCTACAACAGCACAGTTGAGTAGTTGCTACAGAGCCTGGCCTACAAAGCCCGAACTATTCACTACCTGTCCTTTTACAGAAGAAGTTTGCTCACTCTTGCCCTAGGATACTAGAAACTGGGCAAGTGTTTGGCAGATATGTCTAGGATGGATGGCTCTGAGGCTCTTTTGTAGCTTCCTTTGTTTCATTTTCCTTTTCCCTTTGTAGCTTTGGTGCTTTAATTTTCTGGAGTATATCCTGGGAGTAACATAGGCTTAAGTCTAGAGAACTAGTGAGTAACAGCTATTTCTGGGATGACTCAGTGATTCCCCAGCTTGAGAGTCCATAAGCCCTGAGTAAAGGAAGAGAGGTATTCTACTCATGGCTGATGCTTTAAAAATAAAAGAAACCAATGAACTAATAATATCAGAAAACAGATATGTGGGATTTTAATATAATAAGCATGAATACTATAACAGATTAAGATTCAGACCATCTACAAAATCCTGAAGGGGGCCACTCTTTGAGAATACTGATTTACAATGGTTTAGAAGTGCTTGGCTGTTTGAATATTTAGGTATCTACTCTTTCTAGCTCGATTAAATATTTAACATAGTTATTATATTCAGAATGTGGAAATGATTTTATTTTTCATAAGACTCACATGTTAATAGTAAATGAACTGAAATTATTTTGTGCATTTTTGCTCTGCCTTTATATTTAGTTCATTTCACCTTATATGCAGTTTGGGAATTTTCTTTCCACCTCATTTATGAATGTTGATATGCCCTAAAGGGACATGTGTTTTAGACACTAAATGACAGGTGAACGCAGACCAGCATGAGGAAGTAGAAGTTTGGCCAGCCCTTGGTTTAGCTCTAGGTAGGAGCCCTCTCTTTCAAACTGTGGGTTTTACTTTTTTCATTTAGTTAATTTGCTCAGCATCCTCTAGGTGTGGTGAAGAGATCTGCATTATGGGAGCTTCCCACTGAGAACATTCCTTATTTTTAGCATAGTGGGGTATCCTACTGCAGCTTCTGAAAAAAGGTGGGTCATTGTCCTTTGTTTGATTGGCAGCAGCAGTGGGGCGGGGAGCTTTTTATTGAAGTATGATGCACAAATCATGGGTCTAGATTGACTAATTTTCTGAAAAGTGAGCATACTATCAACCAACGGTTAGATCAAAAAACTGAAAATTGCCAGCCCCCTTGAAGCCTTCCTCATCCTTCCACTTCTGTCCTTCCTCCCACAAGTGTAACCAATCCTGCCTTCTAACAGCAGTGATAAGTTTGCCATTCATTTTAAGGTTCTCAGTTGCCCAGGTTGTTGAGGAGTTTCTGTGGAGGCTCAGTAGCACTTCTGCCAAGTCCTACTTATAGGGAGAGTAATTTGTTGCCCAAGGCCCTGATACTTTGCGATGCTCTCTGAAGTGCCTGCCAGTGTTGCCTTGCCAAAAGATTCCCAATCACGCTCAAGGGCTTAGTCACTGCTGTCATAGAGGAGCCCTAGTGCTGTTCTGCTGTCCCTGCTGGCCTTTTCCTGTCCAGCCCCAATTGTGCTGCATTGACTGCTCCGGGTCCTGCTTCCGTGGTTTCTTAGTGTTGCTTCTTCCTGTGCCTCTCCTCCATAGTTCCCCAAGGATGCAGCTGGTGTCCAGGCTACATGGCCAGATTTTCCCAACACATGGCTTGGACTTCAATTTTTTTCCCCCATAGATCATTTTAATTGTTTCTGCTGGACAAAGCTTACCGAGGTTATTTTCATGATTAGTTTTTAGTCTCTTGGGTCAAAGTTGATTTAGTGGTTTAATCTCTCTATTTTGTGGCTAAATTGATATTTTGTGGTGAGGATAAAAATTGTCCTAAATTTATGAAATTAGCCATAAATTGAAGCATTTTAGCGCAGTGGGATGATTAATATATCAAAGTATAGATTTAATTGCACAATGATGGTAACAAAAAATGTATAAATTTGGAAACTTTAATAAAACTTTTTTGTATAATTAATTTCTACTGATTGAGTAATAATGCAGGACAGATCCAGTTTTTCCCAAATATAGTATTTCATACATATCTCTCTTCTTCTGTGCAGATGTGGAACAAGCTTATTTTCTTTTTACTTCTACCCTGAAGTTATGTAGCAAAATTCTTTCTATATATATCTGTTTCTTTTGGTTTGTAATTCCGTTCACCTGGTTTTTGGTCTTGGTATTTAGAGGGAAAGCACTAGTCTGGACCAAGTGTGATATGAATTCATGCCATTTAGACTGTCACTGCCTTATGCTGTGCTGCCTCAGAAATGTTAAGTATCAGTTGGTAGTCTGATACCAACTGGAAGGGAATGTTTCTGTTCAGATCTCTGCTTGCTAGTGGGTGCCCATTTGGCAAAGGAGTGCAGGAAGCCTTTGAGAAGGACAGACTCTCACCAACGGAAGAAAAAACACCTCCTATTCATTCAAAAAATGAGTACCTGCTATGTGCCAGGCACTGTTGTAGAAGCTTGGGTACGTCAGTGAACAAAACACTGTGCTTGTGCAGCTTATATTCTCGCAGAGGTGACAGACAGTAAAGGAGATGGGGGATTGCTGGGGGTGGCTTGTATTTTTAAATAGCTTTCTAGGTTGGCCTCAAAGGCAGAGTGACAGGTGAGCCGAAACAGATAGGGAGTCAGCCTTGAGTGTTTCTGGGGGAGGAGCATTCCAGTAGAGGAAACACGGAGTGCAAAGGCTGTAAGGCAGGAATGTGCCTGATCTGTTGGGGACCAGCAAAGAGGCCCCAGAGTGGCTGGCACCCATGAAAGGAGTGGAGATAGGGCTGGAGATGAGTCTGAGTGATGAGGGGGGGTGGGGCCCCTTTTGTACGGTTTCATTCTGTACAAGAGATTTAAGCAGGAGGGATGTGATCTGACTGACTGTAAAAGGATCACTGGTTGCTGGGTTGCTATAGACTGAATAGACTGTGGGAGGCAAGGGCTGAAGCTGGGAGGTTAGGGAGGGAGACTGCTGAGAGAGTCTAGGGAGGCAGCTTGGATGTGGGGAGGTGTCTAGGTAGAGATGGCAAGGACAGGCAGATTCTGGATATATTTTGAAGGTAGATTTGAAAGGCTTTGTTGGTTGATTGGATGTAGGATGTGAGTTATGGGGCCATCATGGGTTTTGGTCCAAGCAACTGAATAATGAAGTCTTCACACAGTGAGAAGGCCAAGGGGCAGGTTTTGTGGATGAAAAGTTAGAGCCCAGTTTTGGGATATTACGTTTAGGATGTTGTTCAGAGATTCAACCTTTATTTTACCATTGTCAAAAACAATTCTATATAATTAACTTAAAAAAATCTTTATTAGACCATGTTAAAGTAAATGACTGATTCTGTATTAATTACTTAAATTCATTGCTCAAAATCTTGGGGGTGGGCTGGTCATTTGAGAAGGTGAGCATTTCCTTTGTCTGACGTAGGAATGAAATATTAGTTGTATTTCTTTCTTCCTTTATCTTTTTTTGTCTTCTTTTTTAATCATAGAAAAGTTTTGCTTCATTCAGTTCTTTATTTAGGGATTTCCAAAGTTTTCCTCATGAAAGAAAAAAGTATTTTCTTTTCCTTGACTCTGTTAGAAAAATTATTTTTATCTTAGAGTAAAAATAATGGGCGGAGGGGTGGGGTGGGGTTCTGGAGAAGGGAATGCTTTGTTTTTCTTTTCCCTTTCTGGTGAATGACCATGGTTTCGTGTAATTAGTAGAATGTCATTGGCCTTGAACATTCCTGAGAAAACACATTTCTCTATCAGGCCGGAGTAGTTGTTTAAAAATGCCCCTCTTCTCAAAATTCTTGTGTTTCCTTCTCTCTCCCTGAGGATACCTTCCTAATTCTCTCATCTCCATTTTCTCACAATAAAGATTGCGAATTACAGCCTGATTATATGGGTCAAAAAAATTACAATATTTGTTTAGAAACTTGAGGTTAAGAGTTATTGTGTACGTGAATTTTTGTTGAAGATTAAAGTCAGCTTGGAACTTCATAAAGAATACCAAAGTGTCTTTATGTTTACTCCAGCTGAGCTATTTTTAACCTTTTGCCTTTGCCTTTAAAGTTAATGTCCTTTAATGCTCATTTTTAAAAGTTCTTAATGGATTTATGGCAGTAACAGTGTCCTTTTGACAATTAACCTGTGCTTCATAGCTGACATATAATTATTTGCCAACATGGCAAAACCCATCTCTACTAAAAATACAAAAAAGCTGGTAGTGTCACCCCGGCTGGGTGTGGTGGTGCATGCCTGTAATCCCAGCTACTTGGGAGACTGAGGCATGAGAATTGCTTGAATCTGAGGCGGAAGTTGCCGTTGAGTCAAGATCACACCACTGCACAACAGCCTGGCTGACAGAGCGAGACTCTGTCTCCCAAAAGAAGGAAAAAAAGTATAACAAGAGCTATTGTACAAGTAATTTTTTTAATGAAAGATTTTCTTCTTAACCTTTTAGCAATGTAATTTTTTTTTTTTTTTTCCAAGACAGAGTCTCACTCTATTGCCCAGGCTGGAATGCAGTGGTGTGATCTTGGCTCACTGCACTCTTCCGCCCCCCAGGTTCAAGTGATTCTCCTGCCTCAGCTTCCCGAGTAGCTGGGATTATAGGTGTGTGCCACCATGCCCAGCTAATTTTTGTATTTGTAGTAGAGATGGAGGTTTCACCACGTTGGCCAGGCTGGTCTTGAACTCCTGACCTCAGGCGATCTGCCCGCCTCGGCCTCCCAGAGTGCTGGGATTACAGGCGTGAGCCATTGTGCCCAATTTTCTTACCATGGTGCTACTTTTTATTTTCTGTTGATTTAATTAGTGGTAGGAGTTAAAAACATTCTCTTGGTCAAGAACCTTATATAAGAATAGTGCAGTATATATTCTGTACTACTGGCATTTCTAAAAGTAGCAGGTACAGTAACAAATCTAATGTCCCGAATGTCATATATAACAAGCAGGCACAGATCTGTGCTCTCATTAACCTTGTAAGATAAAGAATGTGTGAATGGAGACCTGGACATGAGTATTAAAAAAAAAAAAAGAAGAATTTCTTCTATGTTAGTGAAGGAGCAGGTGTGTTAGAATAACAGTAGGGGAGAGAGGGAGAGTTAGTGGTGGTTAGTCCGAAGAATGCCTTTGTTTTCCTGGTCTTGGTTCAGCCAAATCACAGTAGAGAGTATTCTTGGCATGTAACTCAGCCTCTGTGGATTGGAATTTGTTCTTCTTTCTTTGTTCCTCACAGAGTGGTTATGAGGGTCATTTGACATAAGGTCTTATAAATTGCCTGGTGCTTTTAGGGTGGTAGTGTTTTTCTAAGATGGGTGGAGAATAAGAGGTGCAGGTTGACTGTTCTTTAAGCCTCCTAGAGTGCCACAGTGGTTTCCATTTCCTTACCTGCTTTGAGTCTGTGGAAGGAGACAGGAATTCTGGTCTGTGACTTGATATCTGTGCATTTGTTCTGATGGCAGAAATCAATCTTGGGGCTGTCAATATGCACAGAAATGATCTGTTTTTTCACAGCCTGACTCATTTTCTCTGTCAGGCCTGTTCTTGGGCTATGTTCAGGAACAAATCCTGCTTGTTGATGAGCTGTGTCCTCGTCTGTTTACAAAAAGTTCTGCTGTTTTGTTAAGCTTGTAACAGATTCAGGCAGTGTTTGAAACCTGTCTTTCCCTTGATTTAGATCTTTTCATTTTTTCTCCCATCTAGGATCTGCATCTCCAATGGATACTGAGGGGTTTGGTGAGCTCCTTCAGCAAGCTGAACAGCTTGCTGCTGAGACTGAGGGCATCTCAGAGCTTCCCCATGTGGAACGGAACTTACAGGAGATCCAGCAGGCGGGAGAGCGCCTGCGTTCCCGTACCCTAACACGCACGTCCCAGGAGACGGCAGATGTCAAGGCGTGAGTACTGGTAGGGAGACAGCATTAGTACTGGGTGGCTTGCGGGCAGGATCTGTTTCTTCTTTCCTGCCTTGAATTCAGATCCAATCTGTGAATGACAGCCACTAGCCAGATTCTTGGGAACTCAGAAAGTGTTGTAAACAGGACAGCAGCCTTGGTTTGTTTCCCTGCCTCTCAGGTTTTCTAGCCTGTCTGCCTCACCAAGTTATGAGCTGATATCACAGGGAGAGATGATCACAAGGTGGGAGGGGGTGAAAGAGCCCTGTCATGCTGAATCTGGTCACAGAAGTTCCTGCTTGGGTTCAATGATCATTGGGTCATAAATGGCTCCCGTTATGTTAATACGTATGGACCCCACAGATAAGTTTTACCTTCAAAGCTAGAGAGCACTCAGTGATGAGGACAGTTTTTAAGAGCATTTGGAAGAAATTGATGAGCAGTTAGTGATGAGAAACCATCCAAGTGAGGAGTGATTCTGTCTGCTTGTTGTCAGTGACCCGGGAGGCTGCTTCTGAAAGGCCTTGGAAATACAGTGCCCCCAGCTGATTGTAGAACAGGAGAGTGGGTGAGCCCTAAGAGAGTGCAGCTGGGGAAAAGTGCTGACTGACTGAGCTGGCAGCCACTGCTGCCACACAGCATCAGTTGGGCTGTTGATTCCACAAACGTGTTTAAGGTCCACGCTGTGCCAGGTCTGGACCATCTCTGGGGTGACAGCCATGAATTAGACATGGTTCTTGCTCTCAAGGAGCTTATAATGTGGGGAGTGGGGCAGAAAAAAACTATGCTGCTTTCCTTAAGAAATGTGATTTACTGGTTATTTACTGTGTGTTACAAGCTTGGCTAGACGTGAGATTTTGCTTAATTTTCACAACCATCATTAGGCTACAATCTCCACATTAGAGTTGAGCAACAAAGGCTCAGAGAAGTCAAGTAACTCTTCCAGATCACACAGCTGGCGAGTGGTAAAGTCAGGATTCAAACCTAGTGAGGTTGACTCCAGAGTGCATACTCCTCTGATTGTGATGGAAGGGCATGGGAGGATGGAGAGGGTGCTGCTACTTGTGCCTTTGATGGGTCCGGAAAGACACTGAGATTCTGTGCAGGAAATATGGAAAATTGTCGGTCATCTCCTCAGTCTTCATCCCTTGAACTTGAGAAAGAACTAAGTGCTGGTGTTAATGTGGGACATCGTCTGCTCTAAGCATTTAACAGATGTCACAGGAGTATTATGTAGGAGTGGGCTACATTCTTGTTCTTGAGAGCTGAATGTTTTGGCTGCTCTGTCGAGTCAGTAAGGATGTTGTGGAAATTCTTCTGTAGACCTCCCCAAAATGTTATTTTCTAAAATAACTAGTTGGTTTTGGTTCTGTTGGCATTGGTAAAGGCAAATCAGAGGAACCCTGGCAGGGATTTTTTACCCTGCAGCCTTGCAGCTAAATGCAGCCAACTGCTTCCCTACACTGCTTTCTCACAGCCCAACCAGCCTTTAGACACTTCTGCTAACTTGCCTTCCCTGCAGGCTCCTTACCTGCTACTCCTGGCTGCCTGCAGTTACCCCCAGTCTTGAGCATGCAGGCTCTGTGCTGTATGCAAAGATACTGCTGGAGCGAAAGGCCCATGATGCCATCTTAGTTGCTATAGTTATAATTTAATTGCATCAGCTTTACAGCCTATTAAGAGCAAAAAGGGAAAATGTTTTCTTGGTAACAATTATCGGTCATGCTCTCTTGTAAATTTCCATTCTTTTTCATTTCTTTCTACCTTAAATTCATTATTTTAGGGAGGAGGAAGTTGGAATGTTGAAAGAATGGGCATAGGGTGGGGCAGGTGCTTAAAAAGAAACCAAAGGGCTGATGACTGTGTTTTTCCATCTTCTTGATAGGCAGAGACATAAAGTGTGGTGTGAATATTTTAGTACATACAAGATGAGGGCAGAAGAGAGAACTGAGTAGGAAAAATTTTCTTACATGAAATAAGTTTTGAAAGAAAATTCTGTCTTTAAGATTTTAGATTGTAAGATTTAAGATTGAAATGTTATGTGCCAAATTTATTTATTTGTCCAAATACACTGTGTTGAATATTTTGTTTTAGAGAATAGCTTTGATAGCTTTTTTTACGTGTGTGGTTTGATCTTTTACAATTGTTAAATTTTTTCACACATGAAGAAGAGTATGCTTAACATATATAAAAATGTAAATCGGGTTTTACAGCCCATGAGCCACATACAGCCTTAAAGTTTTATTGGAACACAGCCAGGCTTATTTGTATTGTCTGTGCTGCTTTTGTGCTACAGTATGAGAGTTGAGTAGTTTTGACAGAGATCATGTGCCCTGCAAAGCCTGAAATGTTTACTATCTGCTGTTTACAGAAAAAGGTTGCTGACTCCTGGTATAAATAATAAAATGAATGAATACCCATGTGCACATTTTATCAACTGAAACAGAATATTGAGCTGGGTGCCGTGGCTCATGCCTGTGACCCCAGCACTTTGGGAGGCTGAGGCAGATGAATCGCTTGAACTCAGGAGTTCAAGACCAGCCTGGACAACATGGCAAAACCCATCTACAAAAAATTAGCTGGGCATGGTGACACGCACCTGTAGTCCCAGCTACTCGGGAGGCTGAGGTAGGAGGATTGCTTGAGCCCAGGAGGTTGGAGGGTGCCCATCATCAATTGCATATCCCTCTTTTCTCACCAAAGACACCACACTAGATTTTTCCATTCAAACTGAAATCAGGCAAGCTAGATGTGTATAAAGAAAAAGCCAGTAGTCACTCTTTCTCCCTAACTTTGTCATCCAACGTAACCAATGTTATTAATTTGCTTATTTTTTCACATACTTCTCCATGTTCATGCAAAGCATATGTAAACATTTATTACCCCAAAGTTTTACAGCAGATTATAACTCTCCTTGTGATAATACTATAAGCTGTTGTTTAAGCTCTTACTGTTTGTTAGGCGCTGTGCCACACACTTTACACGCATTATATAATTTCTTTTTAAAATAACCCTGTGAAAGTGTTATCTGTGTTTTAAACTTGAGGAAAGTCAAATAGTGAGTGGCCAAGCCAGAATTTCAAATCCAACTTAGTAGGAATTCCTCATATTTGTATGGTACTTTTCAGTTTCTGAAGGATTGTCACAGGCACTTTCCTGACTGGTCTGCAGTGCCTGAGAGGTAGGATAGGCATTTTCCCCCACATTCAACAGAGGAAGAAACTGAGGCTTAGAAAGATTATGTATCCAATATTTTCAGTGAGTGACAGGTGAGACTTGAACCCAGGCCTCCTGACATTTTATATGCTTCCCATGTATGCTGGGAACAGTCCTTGTCCTTCTACTCTCCTGGAACTGGAAGGAGACTCCAGCTTCCATGACTTTCTGCTCATGTGGGACTGCCTGGCTTTTGGGAATTGAAGCAGGTAGAAGGCAGGGAACCTTCCAAGGATTTTTGCACCCTTACAGACTGAAGTTTCTAGTACAAGCTTTATTTATAAAGCCGTCCCTACCCTAGATTCCCTGTCTCCTTCGTCAGTCCTTTCTCTCCCTGCATATGCATTGCATAAGCCGTACACTGCATAAGCCACACACTGAACAGTTTCTACAGGTGTCAACTACTTAAATGACCTTTCTTTTCTGACAATTCTAGTAGATAATTTTTAAATTCTGAGGTTCTCAAAATCCTGGTATATATTAAAATTATTTTGGCACTGGATACATTCTTATGTGTCTCTGGTAGAGTACAGCACCATGGGACAAAATTTAGACATAGCTAGCAAAATTGACCCAGCAATTCCACTTCTAGGGTTTTGTCCCAAGGATATACTGGTAAAAAACACACACAAGAAAACCCTGTGCACAGGGATATTCATTACAGCATTATTTGTAATAGCAAAAATTGAAAACAAACAAATGTCCATCAGTAGGTGACTAGTGGAATAATGTAGTATGTCTATGTAGTAGAGTACTCTTCAGTAGTACAAAGGAATGAGAATATACAGTAACATGGAGTGATTCCAGGACATATTATTAGGTAAAAAATGCAGGGTAGAGAAAAGTATTTAGTACTCTATCATTTGTATAAGAAAGCAGGTGAAAGACATTCCATGTTCATGGATCAGAAGACTTAATAGTAAGATACTAATACTCCCTAAATTGGTCTGCAGATTCAACACAGTCTCTATCAAAATCCCAGCTGGGATTTTTTGCCGAAAGTGACAAGCTGATTCTAAAATCCATATAGAGATACAAGAGACTTAGAATAGCCAAAACAATCTTTAAAAAGCAGAAGAAAGTTGGAAGAATCACACTTGCAATTTCAGAAATTACTACAGAGTCACAGTAATTAAGACTATGGTACTGGCATAAGGATAGACATGTAGATTGATGGAATGGAATTATTAATCCAGATAAATAAACCCATGTGTCTGTGATCAGCTGATTTTCAACAAGGGTACCTAGACCATTCATTGTGAAAAGAACAGTCTTTTCAACAAATGATGCTAGGACAGTCACATGTCAGAAGGACCCAGAAACCAAGTTGAAGAGGCTTCTACTGGCCAAAGATGAGATTATTTGATCATCAATTAGGATAATAACTGCATTGGATTGAAACATATCAAATATGTTTAAAATTTATGAGTTTATGTACTAAAACAAAACTCATTGATCGCCTTTGGAGAATACTAGAGAACCAACTCATTATTCAGGGTAATTACATAGTTGATTTTAGAGTTTCTTGGAATGGAAGTATTCCAGCTAATGAAGATGGAATTAGGATACCACCATTTTGCAACTACTGAGGAGTAAATGGGTCTAAGCAATCATCATCAAGACTGCAAATATTTCAGATAGAGATAACCAGATATTAAATACCTCTTGATGAAAAGTATATAGTAATCTAGCCATAAAAATAGTGGCACCTCAATCTAATCAAACCCTTGGAACTTTGAATTTGCAGGAAATACAGAGGATAAAGGAGCATGTTAAATGATATCATGGGGATTCTGTCAGTAAAACATTTTCTGTGGGGAACTATAGCCTTGCTACTTTGAGTGTAGTCAATGGATCAACAGCATCAGCATCAACCATGAGCTTTTTAGTAATGGAGACTCTCAGGCTCCATCCCAAACCTATTAAATCAGAATCTACATTTTTAACAAGCTTTCCAGGTGATTCATATGCACTTTTTTTTCTGCTCTGTACTTTTGTCATCACATGTGCATTTAAAGCTTGAGTAACACTGCTTTACAAGATAAATAATCCAGAATCTTCAACAAAGATTATAAGAAAAAAATGAGAGGGACAACCTGTTGATGAAAAGAGATTTAGGAGGCATATTAATCATCCACAAGTAGAGACTTTATTTGGATTTCATTTAAACAAACACAACTTTAAAAGTTGTGAAAAAATTAGGCAATATCTTGGCTATAACAAGCATATTTGTTGATAGAGAAAAATAGGTAGGGATGTAGATGAAACAGGGTTGGCTACGACATGCAAATTGTTGGGGCTGGGTGATGGGTATGAGGAGGTTTACTATTTTAATTTTTTTTTTTTTAATGAAGAAAAGAGGTTTAATTGATTCACATTTTCACAGGGCGTACAGGAAGCGTGGATGGGGAGGTCTTAGGAAACTTACAATCATGGCAGAAGGTGAAGGGAAGACAGGCACATCTTCACATGATGGAGCAGGATAGAGGGTGAAGGGGGAAGTGCTACGTACTCTTAAACAACCAAATCTTATGGGAACTCACGGTCATGAGAACAGCAAAGGGGAAGTCTTGCCCCTATGGTCCAGTCATCTCCCACTGGGTGCCCCCTCCAATGTTGAGGATTACAGTTCGACATGAGATTTGGGTGGGGACACAGAGCCAAACCATATCATTCCACACCTAGCCCCTCCCAAATCTCATGTCCTTGTCACATTTCAAAGCACAGTCATGGCTTCCAAACAGACCCCCAATGTCTTAACTCATTCTAGCATTAACTCAAAAGTCCAAGTCCAAAGTCTTATCTGGGACAAGGCACGTCTCTTTGCCTATGAGCCTGTAAGACCAAAAACAAGTTAGTTACCTCCAAGATACAATGGGGGTACAGGCATTGGGCAAATGTTCCCATTCCAAAAGGGAGAAATTGGCCAAAACAAAGGGGCTACAGACCCCATGCTTTGGCTCTGCAGGGTACAGCCCTCTTGGCTGCTTTCATGGGCTAGTGTTGAGTGCCTGTGGCTTTTCTAGGCACATGGTGCAAACCATCAGTGGGTCTACCATTCTGAGTTCTGGAGGATGGTGGCTTTTTTCTCACAACTCCACTAGGCAGTGCCCCAGTGGGGACTCTTTGTGGGGTCTGCAACCCCACATTTCCCCTCCACACTGCTTAGTAGATTCTCCATGAGGGCTCTGCCCCTGTAGCCGACTTCTGCCTGGATATCCAGACATTTCTCTACATTCTCTGGTAGCTGTTCGGAGGCTCCCAAAATTTTGTGTTTTTAATCTTTTTCTATAATAGCTTTAAACAAGTGGGCCACTACAATGGCTGTAATCAAAAAGATAGTAACAAGTGTTGGCGAGGATGTGGGAAAAATTGGAATCTTTATACCTTGCTGGTGGGAATGTAAAATGGTATAGTTGCTTTGGAAAACAGTCTGGCATTTCCTCAAAAGATTAAGCATAGGGTTATATGACCCAGCAATTCCACTCATAGGTATATACCTAAGAGAAATGGAAATGTATACTCACACAAAAACTTGTGAAGGAAAAATAATAGCCAAAAGTGGAAATAATCCAAATGCCCATCCACTGATGAATGGATACATAAAATGTGGTATGTCCATGCAGTGGAATACTGTTTGGCAATAAAAAGGAGTGAAGTACTAATACATGTTTCAACATGAATGAACCTTGAAAGCATTATGTTAAATGAAAGAAGGCAGTTAGAAAGACTGTATATTGTGTGATTGCATTTATGAGCAATGTCCAGAATAGGCAAATTTATAGAGACAGAAAGTAGATTAGTAGTTGCCAGGGGATGGGGGAGGTTTGGGGGGAAATGGGGAATCACCACCTATTGGTCAGGGGTTGCTTTTTGGGGTGATGAAAATATTCTAAAATTGATTGTAGTGATGATTGTACAATTTTATGAATACATAAAAATCACTGAATTGTAGGCCAGGCATGGTCGCTCACGCCTGTAATCCCAGCACTTTGGGAGGCTAAGGTGGGTGGATCATTTGAGCCTGGAGTTCAACCCCAGCTTGGCCAACATGGAGAAACCCTGTCTCTAGTGAAAATACAAAAATTAGCTGAGTGTGCTGGTGTGCATCTGTAGTCCCAGCTACTAGAGAGGCTGAGGCACAAGAATTGCTTGAACCTGGGAGCTGGAGGTTGCAGAGAGCTGAGATTGCACCACTGTACTCCTTCCTGGGCAACAGAGCAAGACTGTCTCAAAATAAATAAGTAAATAAATAAACAAATTGTATACTTTAAATGATAAATTGTAAAGCTGGGTGCAGTGGCAAGCATCCTTAGTTCCTGCTACTTGGGAGGCTGAGACAGGAGGATCTCTAGAGCCCAGGAGTTTGAGTCCAATATTAATCACAACTAATCACAGTCGTTGGGAGGAAAGTTTGGACTAGGTTACTCCTGAAGCTACGTGATTCTAATGTGCAGCCAGGGTTGAGACCCACTCTTCTTTTTTTTTTAATTTTAAAATATTTTACTTTAAGTTCCGGGATACATGTGCAGAATGTCCGGGTTTGTTACATAGATATACATGTGCCATGGTGGTTTGCCACACTTATCAACCTGTCATCTAGGTTTTAAGGCCTGCATGCGTTAGGTATTTGTCCTAATGCTCTCTCTCTCCTTGCCCCCCCCCCCCCCGACAGGCTCCTATGTGTGTTGTTCCCCTCCCCGTGTCCATGTGTTCTCTGTTCAACTCGCACTTATGAGTGAGAACATGCAGTGTTTGGTTTTGTGTTCCTGTGTTAGTTTGCTGAGAATGATAGCTTCCAGCTTCATCCAGCTCCCTGCAAAGGACATGAACTCATTCTTTTTGATGGCTGCGTGGTATTCCATGGTGTATATGTGCTACATTTTCTTTAACCAGTCTATCATTGATGGGCATTTGGGTTGGTTCCAAGTCTTTGCTATTGTAAATAGTGCTGCAGTAAACATACATGTGCATGTGTCTTTATAGTAGAATGATTTATAATCCTTTGGTTATATACTCAGTAATGGGATTGCTGGGTCAATGGTATTTCTGTTTCTAGATCCCTGAGGAATTGCTACACTGTCTTCCACAGTGGTTGAATTAATTTACACTCCCACCAACAGTGTAAAAGCATTCCTGTTTCTTCACAGCCTTGCCAACATCTATTATTTCCTGACTTTTTAATAATCGCCATTCTGATTGGCATGAGATGGTATCTCATTGTGGTTTTGATTTGCATTTCTCTAATAATCAGTGATATTGAGCTTTTTTTCATATGTTTGTTGGCTGCATAAATGTCTTCTTTTGAGAAGGGAGACCCACTCTTTTAGAGAGTTAACTTTTTAGGATTATTAGAGGAGAGAGGCAAGATACGGCAACCTGGAGGGAAAGTCCCGGGGATGGCATCATAGTTGACGTGGAAGAGACAAAAATCTATAGGAAGGAACCTCTGGGTAAATGTAATCTGTTGCTGTAGTATTTATTGGATTAGAACTACATATGCGAAATCCTTTCTCTTCTCCAGTAAGTCTGTTAGTTCAGGATTGAAACTTTTAGGTGTTATACCTGTAGGTGTTAGGGTTACATGTGCTGCCAAATTCTCTGACTACTAAGTTACTCAAAGTGAACACAAATGTTATCAGTGAGAGTTTTTGGTACTAATTTATAATCCAAGAACAGTCTACAAATTAATGGGCTGGATGTGGTGGTTCACGCCTGTAATCCCGGCACTTTTGGAAGCTGAGGCAGGAGGATCGCTTGGCCAGGAGTTTGAGACCAGCCTGGGCAACAGAGCAAGACCCTGTCTGAAAATAAAATAAAATAGACTAGACCAGACTAGACCCGACCCGACCTGACCCGACCCCACCCCACCACTACACTACGAGTTCCCCTAAGTTTCTTTTTTACAGAGAGTGTTCTAGATATTAGTGCAACCTTTTCTTTAAAAAACTACCCTTGCATTGTTACATTGCCCCAGGTGAGTAGAAATAAAGATGGCTATATTATTCCCATTTCTCTTCAAAAGCATTTACTGATCAGATAACAGCCTCCTATATTATTAGACTGGGCAGCAGAGAGGGAACCTGCAGATGTGCTGAACATGGCGTTTGGCTTTTGAAGGGAAGCCATGGAGAACTGGCCTTGAATTCTGGTTTGATTGCCCCTGGGCAAATCATTGATCACCTTGAACCTTTAGTTTCCTTAGCTCATGAATGACGTTTATACTAGGTTACTCCTGAAACTTCTACAATATTGTAGTTCACTGTATTCATCTACGGAGGCTGTAAGTGTAGGATGGTGGTTAAGAGTTGTGCTGTACAACCCGGGAGGCTGAGGCAGGAGAATCACATGAACCTGGGAGGTGGAGGTTACAGTGAGCCGAGATCATGCCACTGCAATCCAGTCTGGACGACAGAGTGACACTCTGTCTCAGAAAAAAAAAAAAGTTGGGGGGAGCTTGTGCCACAGAACTAGATGTCCTGCCTCTGCCACTTCCTGACTCTGTGACTTTGGGCAAGCTGGCTAACCTCTTTGTACCTTAGTTCTCTCATCCATAAAATGGGGATGAATGATAGCATGCACCTCATGGGTTTCTTTACTATGACATGTTTGGAGCAGTCTAGTCTATGGTAGTAGTATCGTTTTATTCTAGACAAGGCTCTCAAATTCAGGCATGATTAGAACTTGAATCTGTTACTACAAAGTACAGTGTTATGGCTCTTATTCCAGGTGATGTCTATGGAAAGATATAAAACAACTATGTAAAAGTGTCTGGACAGTATATAGGAAGTTTTGAATTAAAAATGCTCTCTAGTATTTGATGAAGCATATTAGATGTCCTAATCCTAATCCTAATTTTCCCCTTACTTATATCTCCCTATTCTATATCCTCACATAGGTCAGTTCTCCTCGGGTCTCGGGGACTTGACATATCCCACATCTCCCAGCGATTGGAGAGTCTGAGTGCAGCCACCACCTTTGAGCCTCTTGAGCCTGTGAAGGACACTGACATTCAGGTAAGGGCTGCCAAGTGCAGGTGGAACCCAGAGCATATAACCCAGGCTGAAGACCCTGGCCCTTTATTAACTAGCAGATTGAGGAATTTCAGTTTTCTTTGTTAACTTTCTTCTTCCTCAGATATTAAGAGAACAGTAGATTCAGCTTTGGAGGTATAGTGGAAAACATTGGGTTATTTTCAGAGCTCTCTGTGTGGCTGAATTTAAGAAAGCAATTCCAACCTGCACTTTTTAGATTATTATAATTAGGAGAACAGATTTCTCTTCCTTCCTTGGGCTTAATCCAAGGCTCAGAGACATTAGTTGCAAGTTTCTTTCGCTTTCTTTGCTAGATCTCAAATAATTTTACTATTCGTCTTCCACATTTCTTTTTTACATCTTGCTTGTATTGGTTGGCAAAGAGCTGGGGAAAACTTAGAGTACTATTTACTGAAACCTACTCAATGATTTCCAAGAAGTGTTTGGCTGCATTAGTGGCACCAGGAAATAGTCTAATAGAGCACTCCAGTCTCATTTAACCAAACATGCCACAAGCAATTGATAGCTGTTTTAATCTAATCAGAAACTGACGTAAAATTGTTAAGGAAAAAACTCACGGTCTGTTTAGTTTTTGAGGAATTGGAACACTGCATTTGCATTAGAGTGAAGGGACAGTGGGGCACCATTTTATTTTTTTATCATTGATTTACCTGAAAATGAGAGGATGCCTTCTGCAGAGGCAAATTCTAGTAGAAATGGGCAATATTATTTGGGCTCAATTTGAATTAATACTCTCTATCCTAGTAACCTTCCTAAGAACCATTTTAGTCCATCTAATGGCCACATTTCTCCTGCATTTATTTGAATTCAGAAACCTAAAACTACTTTGAGTTGAGAGTTGAAGAACTATAGATATTTTTCCTATTGCTGCTATGTTCCCAAAGTATGAGAATCCAGTTTTTCCAGTTTTATATGCTAAATCATTTTTGCATGTCAACTTATAGTTGCCTTCTCATTTCCATGTAATCTTGAAATGGCATGTATACTTTTTAAACTTTTTTTTTTAAGTTTTAGCCCCCCTCCCCCGTACAACTGCTTGAGGCTCTCTGTTAACAAATACATGTAACAGGGATGAATAATCACCATGTATTTTGGGAGCATCCCTAATAATGTGGAAAGAAATGGCACCTGCTGAAAGGGTTTTTGTTCGTTTTTAATGTTGAAAATACCAGAGAAATTGTTTGTTTGAAAAACAAAGTGTTTTTTACATTTTCTTTGATATTCTTGGAGTAGGTATTTGGAATACTCAACAGCATTTTGTGATGCACTTCATGCATTTCGAGTGATGTGAAACTCCATTTTTTTACCTTAAGGTATTGACAGGTTTGTAAATGTATTGAGTCATAATGATCATTTCATCTAACCTTCTACTTAATGGAAGAATACTCTCCTTCAACACTGCCATTAGATGGTTTTCTAACAATATATGCTTAGTTACATCAAAGAGAATTTCTTAATTTGGAATGAGCGCATCAGAGCTTTGGTCCTGTACCACTGGGAAGTCTCTGAACTTTGAGGTTAAGGATGCTTCATTTCAAAAGTTCACCTCTTGGCCAGGCACAGTCGCTCATGCCTCTAATCCCAGCATGGTAGGAGGCTGACGTGGGAGGATTGCTTGAGCCTAGGAGTTCAAGACCAGCCTGGACGACATAGTGATACCCCCTGTATTTGGCCATCCTTGCATTGCTATAAAGACATACCTGAGACTGGGTAATATATAAAGAAAGAGGTTCAATTGGCTCACGGTTCTGCAGGCTGTACAAGAAGCATAAAACCAGCATCTGCTTCTGGGGAGGCCTCAGGGAGCTTTTACTCATGGCAAAAGGCAAAGTGGGAGCTTGCACGTCACATGGTGAAAGCAGGAGCTAGAAAGAGTTGGGGGCAGGGGCGGGTGCCACTTTCAAACACCAGATCTCATAAGAACTCACTGTCATGAGGACAGCACCAAGAGGATGGTATTAAACCATTCATGAGAAATCTGCTCTCATGATCCAGTCACCTCCCACCAGGCCCCACCCCCAACACTGGGGATTACAGTTCAACATGAGATTTGGCAGAGACATGTATTCAAACTACGTTACTCTGTCTCTACAAAGATAAAAAATGATCGGGGCATGGTGGCGCACTCCTGTAGTCCCAGCTACAGGGGGAGGCTGAGGCAGGAACATCACTTGAGTCCAGGAGGTTGAGGTTGAGGCTGCAGTGAGTCCCTCCTGTGTGCACCACTGTACTCAAGTCTGGGTGACAGAGCAAGACCCTGTCTCAAAAAAAACCAAAAAAAAACCCAGAAACAACTCACCTCTTCGTTGTGCTGTTCCAGAATAGCTTCAAAAAATGCAAAATGGTCAGTCCAAGATAACTTTTGATTAATTAGGAATTGATCATCTAGACCTGAAGTAAAAGTTTAAGGCTTACTAGTTTTGAAATAAGTTCTCTGTTCACTTCATCTTCTTGCCAGCAAAGGCTTAAAGGAGAAAATTTAGCTTTGGCCTGATCTGGGGGAACTCCGTTTTATCAATAGGGATTGGAGGTTTTAAGTTGTATTGTGTGGCTCAGTTGACCTGTGCTTAATAAACTTCCTATACACGTATCCTTCCCTGACTTCTTGTTTAGTAACCAAGCATAAGAGCCAAGCCAGCTTGCATTCCTGGCATGGAGTGATCCTCCTCTTAATTCTTCTCATAATGTGTTGGTTATCCAAGAAGAGTAAACTTGGACATTTTCAGTGATTTGTCTTTAGAAAAGCCAGATATACTATTCGATGGACTTTTTTTTTCATTTATTTTAATTGCTTAAATGAGATATAATTCACATACCATAAATGTGGTGGACTTTTGTAATTGAACTTTTGTTTTTCAATCAATGCATTTTTTTTTTGAGGTGAGAATGCACCCTAATTCCATGTGCTATCAGTCAGAGGGAAATTATTATGTCAGTTTATAAGCCACTTAAAGTACTGTTATAAAAAGGAAATGCTGATGCATTCTTTGACAAGTACCGTCCAGGACTTTGTACTATCCATCGTTTGCATTACTTATAAGCTTAAAGGCATTTTGCCACTTATGCATTGTCTTTTTCTATTTGGTAAACATTGATTATATTTCCTTCTGCTTCTAATGGAGCTTGAAATTAATATGGGTTTTTGTTGTTACCATTTTGTTGTTTGTCATAATCAATAATGTTTGCGTGCATTGTGAATGCATTTTAAAAAAATTGCTGTGACCACCAAAGGTAGTATATTAAAGAAACGCCACTTAAATATATGTAGGGATGATACTAGTAGAATTTTTTTAATGTTTATTGATTTTATTTTTTGGAAATGGTCATAAAGAAGGCCTACATTTGTGTAATAGAGGTGAAGAGTGATAACAGGACATACTACTAAAACAGCTGTACTGGATCTGTTCTAAATGACTTTGTGGTGCTTGGGAGTATGCGTCCTCTCACAGAGATCCACTTGCTCACTTCTGTCTTTGGAGAAAAAAATATTGATGGCATATTGCACATCTTTACTGTGGTCTGAACAGACCTAATGTGTCATGGATACGTGTATTATATAATAATAAAGTGCAAATTTACGTAGTCCAGTTATATTCTGGGTTTTTTCACTAGATTGCATGTATATTTCAAGAAGTCTGTGCAGAAATAGCCTGAATTGGCCATGAAAATGGGAGCTGCATTTTCCCAGCATTAGGCTATAATATTTTTAAATGGCATTAGACTTTCAAAATAACTAAGAGTGGAATTGGAATGTTTCTAACACAAATAAATGATAAACACTTGAGGCGAAGGGTATCCTGATTGCCGATTTGATCATTACACATTGTATGCTTGTATCAAAGTATCACATGTACAACATGAATAAATATGATGTATCCCTAATAATTAAAAATATTTTTAATGGCATTAGACCATTGCAGAGCAATAATAAATAATTGCCAAACTTACTATATTAAATTCCTAGGGATGCTGTAACAAAGTACTGCAAACTTGGTGGCCTAAAACAACAGAAGTTTATTCTGTCACAGTTCTGGAATCCTGAACTTTGAAATCAAGGTATTGGCAGCACCACACACTCTCCATAGGCTCTAGGGGAGACTCCTTCCTCTTCTGGCTTCTGATTGGCTCCTGACATTCCTTGGCTTAGGGCAGGGTATCTTCGGTCTCTTCCTCCATCTTCACGGGGTTCTTCCTTGTGTGTGTCAGGTCTACCTTTCATGTCATATAAGGACACCAGTCATTGGATTTAGGACCCACCCTAAATCCAGGATAATCTCTTCTTGAGATCCTTAATTACATTTGCAAAGGCCCTATTTCCAAGTAAGGTCATATTTACAAGGACCAGAGGTTGGGACTTGGACATATCTTTTTGTGGGACACACACTTCAACCCACTGTACTTATAGTGCCAGAAATTTTAAAACTGTTACTGTAAAGAATGAAACATCTTCAAATCTAACTCCATTTCATATCCATGGGCAGTATTGGGATAAGATATCCATTGCTAGTCGTTCAGTACTGCAGGTCCCAACTAAGTTTCTCATGTCATCCTCCTCATTCTGCTTTGAGCCTTTGGGAAATGAGGGTGACTACTTATATCTGATTTCAGAATTTAATAGTAGTTACTCTTTCTAAACATGTTAACAGTCTGTAATGTGTTTGAGAGATTTATCTAGAGACATTTTTCAACTAGAAACTCTCTGCTTCTTAAAGTATTAAATATGTAGTTTTTAAGGTAACTATAGATAGGATTAAATTTTGGCATTTTTCCAAGGTAGAAGGAACTGCTTGTGTGTGTGTGTGTGGGTGGGTGTGTGTGTGTATGTGTGGGTGTGTGTGTGTGTGTATGTAAATGCCCAACCCATTCTTTTTTCTTTTATAACATATCTTTGCTCACTGCCTTCACTTGTCCTGGAACATCCAAGCCCTAATTTCAGTCTAAGACCCTAAGGCTTTCCTTAGATATCACCTCTTCCACAGTCTTAATAGACCTGTTTTCCCCACAGCCTCCAAATACAGTATATTGGCTTCCCTGCTGAGGAAAAGACAAAACTTCCTGAATGTTCCCTTACAAAGTAAATAGAAATCTAGATTATGTTGTTGGAATTGACTTAGCCGCCAATTCTAATCATGGTTAAGTGAAAATTCAGCCCCTTCTACCCAAAAGAAAAAAAAAAGACTCTGTTCTGAAGGTCTTCATAATCTGCCTAAATCTCCAGATGGAAATCTGTCCTATATAAGTAAAGAGGAAAAGAAGTGATAAACAGGATAAAATAACCATAAAAAAATTAGTGTTAGGGAAACTGAACTATATATCATATGTAAGACTAAAGGTGTGATAATAATTGACTGTTAAAAACTTGTTTTGCTTGCCACACTGTATCTATAACATATTCATTATTTTCTTCCTTTTCCTGTCCTTGGAAATGTAGAATATGCTCAAACCACTTTTAGTTTGTCTTTTAAATAGAAAGAAGAAACTAAATGATTTTGGTAAGTTTAAAAATGAATCAATGGCCGGATGCGGTGGCCCACACCTGTAATCCCAGCACTTTGGGAGGCCGAGGCGGGCAGATCACTTGAGGTTAGAAGTTCAAGATCAGCCTAGTCAACATGGTGAAACCCGTCTCTACTAAAAATACAAAAATTAGCCGGACATGTTGGTGCACGCCTGTAATCCCAGCTACTCAGGAGGTTAAGACAGGAGAATCACTTGAACCCGAGAGGTGGAGGTTGTGGTGAGCTGAGATGGCACCACAGCACTCCAGCCTGGCTGACAGAGAGAGACTCTGTCTCAAAAAATGAATAAAATTAAAAAATGAATCAATAGTCTTGTAACCCCTTATCACCTGAATTATTTTTATAGTCTATCTTTTAGTTTTCTATCTTCTGCTCCTTAAATGCAGCTATATATAACAGCAAAGAGGAAAAGTAGTTGCTCACTAATTGGATGTTTGTAGTACTGGCAAGTAGTTGGTTGGGAACAGGTTGCGGAAATCCTGTGGCAGTTTGTTGGAAAGAGGGTCAGATTTGCCTAGAATGATTAATATGCGAATAGCTCTTCAGGAATTACTGGCAAAATATTAATATTGAAGGAAAAGTGCAGTAAAATTTCTTAGCTTGAATCAGTCAAGGGAAAGTACAGTCTGAATGGGTAAACAGTATCTTAATTCTAAGGCTGAAAGAAATGCAGTTGTCATTTTCATCTGTTTCTGAAACTGAAACTGCTAAGCATGTTTACCAAGGAAAAGCATTATTACCAGAGCTGCTTTAGCAAATCCGAGGAAGAGATGAAGTCCTTAAGAGTTGCATCTGTTTGCCTACTGATAATTTGTGTAACGATTCTGAGAAATGGTTTAAGTAGGCAGAACATCCCTATCTTCCATCTTGTTTCTGTTCTTAATATGCCTGAGTAGGCTCTTCTGCACAAAATGGTGATCTAGCCCAAATTGGATGATTTTGAACTGATGGACTGTGGACCCTGAAGGAATAAGACTTTGCTGTCTAAATATTTTCACATAATATAAAAATATAAGAGACTATTCCATGGAATCTAATGGTGTGAAGGCTTTTAGTTAAGCATTTGCATTTATTTATCTCCTTTGTTATATTCCTCTTGTCCCTAAGAGAATGAACAGGATGTTCATGATACCCTTTCTTTTGAGTTTTTAGAGGGATTTAATGGATATTTGAATCTTGCTGTTTCTCAGCTTATGACAGCTGCCCATCCTGGACTTAAAACAACCTATAGTTAATGCTCCTGGGCTCAGTAGGAGTGATGAATCTGATTATCACCAGATCCAAAGTCTGTTAGTTGAAGAGAAATCCTTTCCTGGAACACCAGGTACATTTTAGGCCAAGATTTGGGTGTAGTGACTGAATTGCATGTAGAAAAGACATTACATCTTACTGTGCCCTGTTCTGGTTGAGGGACAATAAGTGGTGCCAAGCTTTGTCCCCTATATGAACACAGTGGTGTCTACATCACACCTACTTAATAAACATATTTGCTGTTCCTTGTCATTAAACCCTGACCCAGTATAAATCTTAGAGCTGGTAAAAACCATTAAACCTGTACAAAAAAAAATATAATGTCTTCACAGAGGCAGGCTAATGTGCCATCCTGTTTCATGTTTATAATTAGGTAGCCTAATGCTGATCACAGTGGTAAGAAATTGAAATGATTTAATTTTTCTGCCTGTCCATGATAAGGGAAAAGGTAGGCATTGTGGTCTGGTGGCAAAGTATGCAATTACATTAAAGTATTCTGTGAATGGAATTAAAAATGGTAACTTTGGAATAAAAATGGGTCGGGGAAAATGTGAAAAACTGCTTTTATGTGAGCCAGGGATATAAGATTTCAGCCTTTTTATTTATCCATTCACACTTACTCCTGAATGCAAGGCTTTCAGAAGAAGCAAGTAAATGGATGCTGAATGCATTCTGAACGAGCGGGAAATGACAGGCTTTTTTGTCTTCTAGGAGGTTTCTTATATCCTGTAGTGAGCAAGAGAGTATCAATTACCAACTTAAAGAAGAAAGAAGTTGGAATGGTTCTCTAAGAGTATTTTGGAACAAGCCCCGTGGCTGAAACATTTAACATTTTAATAGAAGACTTCAGATATTGGCCAGGCTCTGGTGCCTTTGAACTGGAGTTGAGTCGTCCCCTCCCTCCTTCACCAGCTATCTCTTAACCTGCCGATACCAGTGATGCCCCAGCACTCTGGTGATGAGAAACATAGATTGACATCTTCAGTCTGGCATCTATAAATTGCTCGGTTGCAGGAACCAGAAATGGGCATGTCTTTTTATCTGCTGAACTATTTGATACTGGAGTGGTTGTGATTTAAATGGTGGTTAAAGCCTTGTCAAATATTGAATTGTTTTACTGTAGACCAGTCTGTTGTTCTCAGATGGCAGCCCTTTACCCATGTGCCACTTTGATCTGCTTGCCACAGCACCTTGTGATCTCTTATTTCTGTTTTTGGAATGTTCGATCCAAAGCTGTGCAGGCCTGCAGCCTGATGTGGCAGTTGGCAAACTGAGGCTTCTCAGTTACAAAACTTTGGGGCCCAGGTTGTTAGTGTCTCACTAAAAATCCATGATCTGCGATGGAACCGAGAGAGGGGATTACATAGAGGGGAGACCCTTGGCTTTACTTCTTTTCATTTGTTTGTTTGGTAGGGACCAGGAAAAGAAGCTGGAAGGTAAGATGGGTAACATCCCCTACTGACAAGACCTAGACTTAGAATTTTCTTGTGCTGCAGTGCTCTAAGAACCAGTGTGTATCGCTTTCTTTTAAAGCATCTTTCCATTTCACAGATGCTCAGCTTCCATCTTGCACTTCAGATTTGGAGAGGCTGAATGTGTTCCCCAAGCCCAGGTTGCTGACAGCCATGCTGGGGCTAAGGCCCTTGATTCTGACAGCTGCTGGTCTGCAGCGATCACAAGATCAGCAGTGGTGCACGCACCACTTTAATTATCCTGGAGGACAGAAGGGCCAGTCCTTGCCTCTCACTGTGGAGTGGCTGTGAGGCTGAGATGCCATCAGCAAAATCCTGCCTGTGCTTTCCAGAAAGCTGCAGCACTTGAAGCACTGCAGCAGAATCTGCTGAGCAGGGCTGGGCGTGACACAGCTGCCAAGAAATTATTCAGAAAGAACCCTTGTCTTATAAGACATATTTGCAATGAAGACTAGACTATTTGTTTAATTTATAAAACAAAAGGGAGGGAGGGTTAGGTCAGCAGAATGTAAGTGGGAGTATGGATTTACTTCCTGATTTTTAAAAATTACTGACTAATTTGGTTTATTTCTTTGAATGGGATGAACAAAAGGATATGGGGGAGAGTTTCCTCCACTCCTCCCTTTTCTTTTAAAAAAATAGTCTATTTTAAAATGCTGTTGCTATCTTAGGGACAGGTAGAAACCGCCATGGAAGGTTATATGATATGCTTGATTTGCTCAAGGTACCAAAATACACTAGTGTGATATTCCCTGGGAGTTTTCTCTCTTCTTCTAGTAGGTTCTCTCACAGTGCACATCAGTCTTTCTCAACAGGAGGACCCGTCTCTAAATGAGCAGGGCCTGGCGGACCCTTGAAAGTTTATGGGCATTTACAGGATCATTTAATTCTGTAATGAGGTCCTAAACTGCCCCAGATGTCTTAGCATTGAATGAATATAGTGGTGGGTGTTGTTCATTCAAAAGGTGCTTTTACTGAATCAGTGCTTCTCAAACCAGTTTTTTTCTTCACTTTGTCTCAGACTGAGAGATACTTTTATAAAATATAACAAAAATGAATTACTAGGAAAAAAAGACATGCAAAGTACAAGCCCTTTTTAAAATGGGGTTTGTTAGCTATAAAATTACTCAGTTTGCTGTAAAAATCTCTAAATCCTTATTGTCAGTCTTTGCACTTACCTGCTGCAGACTGGGAGCAAACCATTTGTGGACCGGTGCTCCTTTGACCATATTTTGAGCACCACAAGTTTAAATAGTTGTGTTTTTTTCTCCTTCCTTCTTCCTTCCCTGTTTCTCACCGTTGCAGTGAAACGTAGTACCAGAGACACATTACGTTCTTGTCTTTTGGCTGGGCGCAGTGGCTCACGCCTGTAATCCCAGCACTTTGGGAGGCTGAGGTGGGTGGATCACCTGAGGTCGGGAGTTTGAGACCAGCCTGACCAACATGGAGAAACCCTATCTCTACTAAAAATACAAAATTAGCTGGGCGTGGTGGCGCATGCCTGTAATCCTAGCTACTCGGGAGGCTGAGGCAGGAGAATTGCTTGAACCCGGGAGGCGGAGGTTGTGGTGAACCAAGATCACGCCATTGCACTCCAGCCTGGGTGACAAAAGCAAAACTCTGTCTCAAAAAAAAAAATTTTTTTTTTTGGCCAGGTGTGGTGGCTCACGCCTGTAATCCCAGCACTTTGGAGGCCAAGGCGGGCGGATCACAAGGTCAGGAGATCGAGACCATCCTGGCTAACACGGTGAAACCCTGTCTCTACTAAAAAATACAAAAAATTAGCCTGGTGTGGTGGCGGGCGCCTGTAGTCCCAGCTACTCGGGAGGCTGAGGCAGGAGAATGGTGTGAACCCAGGAGGTAGAGCTTGCGGTGAGCCGAGATTGCCCCACTGCACTCCAGTCTGGGGGACAGAGCAAGACTCTGTCTCAAAAAAAAAAAAAAATTGACTTTTGTCTTACCCCAGCTAACATCAGGGAAGCAAAGCCAAGGTTTATTGAGCATTTATTATGTTCAGACGTGTGCTAAGCACTTCCTAGGCTTGCTCATTTAATCTTCCCAGCAACCCTCTGAGGTGGATACTTACTGTTAACCCCATGTCACAGATGAGGAAGCTAAGGCTTACAGAGGCTAGATATGCCAGACCAGAGCTCCAGTCTGTTGATTTGAGTCCAATACTGTGCTCTTAGCTGCCTAGGATTTAAATTGCATTTGCAGACTAAGACTGTTTTAGTGAAGGAGGGAAGTTTTTCAGGATGTATTAGAAGGAGGAAAGTTAGTGAAAGTATAAAATAGAAGTATAATTGATCATTCATTTAGAGCAAAATAAAGAGTAGAAAGCCCACAGTGCCGGAGAAAAGTATCTTTTGAATGGATGTGGTAGGCATAGCTCTTATTTACACAAGCTTAGTAGTAAAATAACGTTGATTGAGGGAGAGGCTGGAGCGTACTTTCTCAACCCTGATGTGAACTCTTGCGGAGCGTTGGGAGGTGGTGGTTGAGGGGCATTCAGTTTTACAGAAAGACCAAACCTGCTTCATCCGTTTATCTCCAGGTGCTTGCTTTTTTTTGCCATAGTTTTCTGCTTGCTGAGCTGTCAGTTTAATTTACTGTCTAAAGCTCAGCCTATTATTTTTCAGGTTTGCTGCCCTACAGGTACACTGTAAAGGATTTCTGTGAAATCCTGGAGCAGCTTTTAGTTTCAAAATGCCAAAGCTTTGTGCTTGTGAAAATAGGTTGTGTTCAGCTTCTTGCTTGATCATCTTTGTTTTGTTTTGCTTCTGAAGCTGAACTTGAGTTAGAAGCATGATGCTAGAAGCAATTTAAAGGGCACATCAAATTTTTACTGTAATACTGAACTATTGATTGTTGACTTATTTGTAGGTTTAATGCAAACCCATTTCCTTACTTAGCGTCTGACTGGCCATTAAGCCCTGGCAGTGTGCCGGAATGTTGAAATCTTGTATTGTATAATATGATTTGTCTGTCTAAGGGTATTATGTGTATTTGGTTTTAAAGACACAAAGCCCTCAACTTTGTGTGTATATTCCAGAATACAAGACAGATTTCTCTACAGCAAAATTATTCACGTCTAAGAGTATAAAAGTGAGGAATTGACATTCAGCTGAACATTAACACCTGATGTCTTGCAAACTGGTACTCTTTGGGCTATCTGGCTTTTATAAACAAACGCAAACTAACATAACAGAATCAGGAAGAGAAGACTAAGCAGGGAAGGGAGAAGGGGTGTCAGTGAGTATGCAAGAGTAGGTGACAATTAGGTTTGCCTGGTTCCACTCTGCTGGCATGGAGTTGAAATTAGAATCTAGCTGAAGGGCTGGTGCCGTGTCCTGTTTATGGAGAGAGCTGGCCAGGGGCTTAGGAGTGGTTGGAGAAGTCATCATTGGTCACAAAAAACTTTCACCATCTTCTTTCACAGCCTGGGCATCTTTTGACTGGAATAAAGGGTGTGTTTTCACCCCTTGAGTTAAGGCTGAGGGAGTGAGATGACAAAAACATTAAATCTGTGACTTTGAGAGTAAATGAGAACCGAATGGCTTTAAGGGGGGAAAATTGACTTCCGCCACCCCCTCCAGTCACACAAATAAGATGGACTTACTTCAGAAAATTTGGAAAATGGCTCCATAGTCACTTTCTTGACTGTTGTACTCCCCCTTGAAGTTGTTAGAACAGATACCATTTGGGGAGTGTTGAACTTTTTAAACAGCATACTTGAAACGGTAGCCATCTTTTGTTTGAAATGACAAGGAAAATTGATAATAGAGAAGTGAGGGACTGGTACATGAAGTGTGTGTTAGAAATAGACTGTAAAAGTGGCCCTCATAGGCCGGGCGCAGTAGCTCAAGCCTGTAATCCCAGCACTTTGGGAGGCCGAGGCTGGTGGATCACGAGGTGAGGAGATCGAGACCATCCTAGCTAACACGGTGAAACCCCATCTCTACTGAAAAATTAAAAAAAAAAAGAAAAAAACACGTGACCCTCATAGCTCAAAATTGGTCAATTCCTATAAATTGACACACAGTCTGTTCCTTTATTCTGTAACGGAAAAGCTTCCTTATGTGCTAAAAGGGATCAGAGATGTGCTGATTTCATGAACAACCCTTACATCATTTCATTGTCCCCTCAAACTATTTGGAAGGCTGGTTATTGAGAAGTTCTGTGACTTTGTCCTAATTTGGAAGATTTAGGGGGAAGTAATAGGCCTGGAACTTTGTATGAAGTTTGAGGGACACATCATCATAATCTTTTCATTTGTATAATACTTTACAGTGGGCTTTGTCATTCTCTTGTTCCACACTGCAGTGTATGAGATGGATTGAGTGAGTGTTGGCATCATCTTTATTTAAAAGGGGAAGAAATTGAGACTAAGATAGATTAGTTACTGTAAAAGGTGGAACTTGAACCCAAATAATTCTTTATACCTTGTCGTGTAGTCTTACTTTTCTTATGCCTTGCTGAGGAAGGCATCAAGTGATGGATTGGTTGGGTAAATGCCGTATTATTCTTTTCTGCAAAGACACTAAGCCAGTTCTTTCACCACTGGTCGAATTTCTTAATGTTTTGTCCCTGCCTTTCCTCTGACCATTTCTTACCTGTTTTCTATGGGATGACATTTCCATTTATTCCCTCCAGCACGAAAGACTTGCTGGTTAACTAAATTAGAGATGGAAATGCTACTTAGAAGAGTAATTTGGCGTGATTGGCTTCTGTGGACTGTGCACTGAGTGGTGATAAACCTCATTTTTTCCATCTGAGATATACTTTGGAACAAAAAGTGATACTGATGTTTGTTGATACTGCTGACATAGTTTACTGCTGTTTTCCTTTATGTGACTTGGTGCTGAGTTTATGCTGTCTGAGTAGGTCATTGCTCCCAAGCAAATGAAAAGTAGCAAACTGAAACAAATGCCATATTTGGAACTTTAGGTGGACTGGAAGGAATGTCAGGGGTTTTAGAGCAGATTGAAGGAAAGATTTTTTGGTTTTGTTTTTGCCATTATTTTGCTTTCTGTTTTATGCTGGATACCACCTTCTCTGTTCCCTTCCCTTTCATTCTTTTTCTTTTTCTTTTTTGGTCTTTTCTCCTTTCTTCCTTTCACTTTTGCTTTCCTTCTGTTCTTTGCATCCCTCTCTCTGCCACCTGTCCCCTTGCCTCAGCCTTTTTAGACTGGCTGTCAGCAGGAGCTGCCATTGCTAATGGGAGTGTACCGGATGCCTCAGCGGTATTGAGGGCAGAAAAAGGATAAAGAACATGGTTGGGTAGAATTTTTTCTCATTTTTCTGATCAAGTGTTAGCTGTGAAAACACGGCTGTTAGAATGGCTCCCACAGCTTGGCAGTATGCACCCACCAAAGCTATCTTCCTGTGGAATGAACACAGTTGGAGAGTGAGTTTGGACTCCGGATTCTTTATACCTTGTCCTGTAGTCTTACTTTTCTTATGCCTTGCTGAGGAAGGCATCAAGTGATGGATTCGTTGAGTAAATGCCATATTATTCTTTTCTGCAAAGACACTAAGCTAGTTCTTTCACCACTGGTCGAATTTCTTAATGTTTTGTCCCTGCCTTTCCTCTGACCATTTCTTACCTGTTTTCTATGGAATGACATTTCCCCATCAGGGGCCTGGAAGCTCTGTGGAAGCCTAGCCTTGCTGTCTATCAGAGGTGGGCCTCTTCCTTGTTTCTCCACTGCCCTACATACTCTCCTTACTTGTGTTTTCTGCATTTGCAAACCCCAAATAAATGGAATTTAGTTTTATTTGTCTAGCCAGTTTGCTCATGTTCTGCTCTTGTAATATGTACCCTGAAGTGCATTTCCTTACTTTGGCCATTGCCTGAAGCCTCTGCTAATTTTCTACCTTTGTTTTTTAGTGTCTGACTCAGCTTGGTATTGAGGGCCTGTAAGAGTTTTCTGTTACAGTACTGTGATAGTGCGAAATATGTATTTGGTCTTGGACCCTGTTTCCTCCAGCCTGCTGGGAAGAGAGAGGATCTGAAGGTTAAGTTGATCACCAGTGGCCAGTGGTTTACTCAGGCATGCCTACATGAGGAAGCTTCCATAAAAACCCAAAAGGAAGTCTTCTGTGTTGATTGTCATTGTGTGGTGAGAGCAGAGTAGACACAGTTTGAATTGGTTTTTCCTCACAAGTACTTAGTAAGTCAAGGTTTGAGGTGAGAGTTGCAACTTATTTATTATTAGATGATTGATTATACATTAAAGCCAAATCTAAGTAGGGGGAGAACGGGGAAGAAACTGACCAAGGAAAAGAAGACATTTGGTTGCGTTTCTTGTGTTTCGGAAATGAAGTTGTAAATTAATCTACCTCCCAACCTCATATATGCTTTTCACTATTTGTTAACTATTCATTCTACTTTCTTTTTTGAGGATGGGGCAGTGTTATGGGATGGGGTTTATTTTGGAGCAACAAACGCATTGCAGAGCCTTTCAGGCATCTAGGCTTTTCCTTGGGGGTTAGGAAGGGGAAGGAGCCACTGATCTCATCTCTGTCTTTGTATTAACTTTCTAGCTCAGGTTGGGTTTAATTTCCTCCTCCATTCCTCTCCTGCCCTGAACACCTTTGGCAACCAGAGAAAAGCCTTTTGGTCAGTGATTGTAGAGTGTGGCGCTCAGACCAGCAGCATCAGCATCACCTGGGAACTTTTAAGAAATGTGATTCTCAGGCTCCCCGCAGACCTATTGAATCCAAATCTGTGAGGGTGCGACCCAGAGTCTGTGTTTTAACAAGTACTCCAGCTTGAGATGTACTGAATTAAGTGATAACAGAAGTCTACTGTAGGTAAACCTGCTTTTCTAGGTGTCTCTGCCAACTTTTAAACTCAGTCCACCTGTGGACTAATACTGAATTTTCACTAAACAAACTGTAAACAAAGCAGACTGCAAAGCAGTGTATTTATCTTTTAAGTGTTTGAGTCCATAAAGAATTTATAAGCACCTTTGTTTTTATCTTTGCTTCATCAAGGACATAGTGTTCAATATAATATATGTTTAAAACATATATATTTAAAAACTTATGACTTAATAATTTGTCAGTTATAATTGTTTTCATCATAGAGGTATTGAATCTGATATTAAGGCTGTAGCTCAAAATATACTACCTAAAAAGTAGTCAGAGCCCAGAGGAGAATAAAGAAGAGAGGGAGACATGGGAAAGGGAAGTGGGAGGATTAATAATCCCATCTTAGTTAATCATCATTATCCTCTCTGATTGCTGTGAGCGGATGTGCTGTTGCTTCTGCAAATGTTAATAATTCATGGATGGACTATGCCAAAAGGAGGCCTTAAATCTGGTCTCTCAGCAGATTAAATACACCGTCTGCTATCAGTAGGAGCCAGGAGAGATGAAAGATGGACTTGTTTTTATTCATTAACCTGATTTCTCTGCCTTTTTCCCAGCTCCTCTCATTCTCATTTTGTTCACCTTTTAATTTGCTTCTCTCTGTATGCCCCCCACCCCCACCATTAAATGTGTGCTAGAGATCTTGGGTCTACTGTTAATGACATTAGATTTTACTTTTCCTTAGCTGCTAGTAACAACAGATGCCATGAGAGAAAGCAGAGAAGCAGAATAAGTATTTCTTTGGAAATGTCTAAATCAGTCTGCATATTTGAAAAATGTATTAAAATGTGCTGCCTGTGTTTTAGAAATCATTTGAAATGGCTTCTCTTGGCTTTGAAGAGAATCCTATTGTATAGATGGTTGAAAATACATGCAGTGCTCTTACTTTATGCTGGTGTGGTGGTATTTTCTCATTTCGCAGATGAAGAAACTGAGGCATGAGGTGGATGATTTGGTTGCCTAGAACCCAGTTGTTCTGACTCTAGCTTCAGTATGCTTTCCACTGGACTTGATCACTGCTTGATTTTAGAAATCATATGTGGGTAGTCCTATCAGTCACCAGATTAAGGTTTTTTTTGTTTTTGTTTTTGTTTTTTTTTTTTTTGAGACAGAGTCTCGCTCTGTTGCCCAGGCTGGAGTGCAGTGGTGCAATCTCTGCTCATTGCAACCTCCACCTCCCAGGGTCGAGTGATCCTCCCACCTCAACCTCCCGAGTAGCTGGGACTACAGGCACATGCCACCATGCCTGGCTAATTTTTTGTATTTTTGTTAGAGATGGGGTTTCACCATGTTGCCCAGGTTGGTCTCAAACTTCTGAGCTCAAGCGATCCACCTACTTTGGCCTCCTAAAGTGCAGAGATCACAGATGTGAGCCACCGCGCCCAGCCCGAATTAAGTTCTAGTAATGTGTAGGTAGCTTCATAGGAACACTTCACCAGATTAAATGCTAAATGATAGTTTGCCAAGAAACACTACAGTTGGAAAAGGCTGATGACCATCTGGAGTTATGTAGACATTTCTAGAACTTCTGAATAATAATACTCAGCAATTTATAGGTTAATCAGTCATGTTGAGCACTTATTCTGTGCATGATGCTGTGTTAAGCACTTTAAGTGGATATAATATAGTACCCATTCTTACTACAGTTTCAGTGTTGTAGGTTTTCCTGAGGGAAACTGGCTACTTAAAATGCTCCAGTATCTTAAGGGTGTGAGATGGCAAAGTAGTAGAACTGGAAACGTTTTGGTCTCCTCAGTAGTTTGCTGGAGGACTTACTGTTAAGTAGCATGTCAATAAAACTGGGCCATTGTTTTTAAAACCATTTGCCTGTCCCTGCTGGAAGCCTGATGGAGAGAACAGTGTGGGGAAAGCGGATTTTAAAATCAGCCTGTTTTTCCCAAAAAAATGTTAGAATTGCAGATCCTTGTGCCCCTATTTTGAGATGAGGAGGGCACAGGTATAGCGATGAAAGCCCAACCCAGTATTTTATAGGGCCCCATAGACAAGGCCACCCCTCCCTTGCCATGGTTGTCTATCCTGACCTGAAGTAGGGGTAAAGAAAGGCAGGGGCCCCCTCACCTCTTGCACCCTTCATGTAGGACCAGTAACCCACAGGTCATCACCATAGTTGCTGTTTCAAATTCATTTTACTGTCATTTCTCATCATTTTTACTCTGGTTATTTTATATATTTTTTTTTTCTTAAAGTTTATATCCTTGCATATACTTTTATTTGTTGGTGCCAGATTTTTTTTTTTATTGCTTTGAGGAATGCTATTTTCAATTTTATAATAGGGATTGATGAAAAAATAGAATTTTGCGTTTAAGTTTTCTTCATAGAAAACTTTGAGAAAGCTACATTTTATTTATGTCAGTGTGTAAAATTATAACCTGATAATGAAAGAAATACAGTTTTTTCCCCCCTTGTTTAAATCGTTGAGGGTTGGATAATTTTAATAAACCTTTTCTTTCCGTTGAGGAGTCTTTTATTTTGTATTTTTCTTACCAGTATCTGGCCATATCACTGTTTTCCAGATAGTAGCACAAATAATAAATATGTGCAAAAACTATATAAAAATTAAGGTTTTAGTGTCTTTTCTTTAACATAATAGTAAAATTATGATGGACTCTGCTTTTAATAAGCAAATCCAAATCTGAATATCTAGATTTGTAAAAGAAACCTTGGGACAATGTTCAGCTTTAGTATTCCTTCAAATAACAGCTTCCCTGCTGAATTTAAAATAGAATTTGTTTAAAAGAATTCTATTTACAATCAACCTGGCAAGAAATACATCTGTTGTGAAAAGTACATTGGTAACAAGAATTAACAAGCTAGAAGCTGTTCTTGTGCAACCACCACCATCCCCCATGTAATGACTTAAAATTCCATGAAATCTGGGGCTCTAGCAGGCACCCATGCAGTTTTTCTCAGTACGTGTCCCATAGTGCTGTGCCAAGAGCTCTCTCTGTAAGGAAACAAGAAAGCCAGGTCTTGGCCCAAAGCCAGGACCTGGGCCAGAACCTGAGTTTGAGTCTCTTTGTGCCTGAAATTTTGTGGCTATGAATCCAGTGAACATATATCTTATTATTTCATGTATTTTTTACTGTGGTAGAACTTCTTCACATATTCTGCAAGTTCTTGCTGAAAGTCTCATTTGTTCCCTCTGTCTAAATACCAAGGCTTAATAGATGCTGAGAGAGAGAGTGAGCGTGTGTGTGTGTGCACGCACGTGTGTGTGTGTGACAGAAACAGAGACAGACTGATAGGAAAAGAGCCTTTCCCATTTTGATTTTTAGAAATCTGGGAGGCTGCTTAAAACTGTAGTGAATTGCCCTGGAGAAATATTGAGGACTATACTTCCTCTTCCCATTTTAGCCTCTTCCCATTAGTAATTGCTTTTATTGGGGAACTACTTCTTGAAAACACATTTAAAATGGAAATCTTACTTCTGAAATTTCTTTCACCGAGGTGCATTTCGTATCTGGCCCACTTATAAACCCTGCTCTCACTCTTTTGGTTTATAGTCATATCAAAGTCAGAACCACCACTCTGGGGCAGCAGGAACTTATTAGCTGGGAAAGCTTACTTTTCCCTGTTGTTTCTTAACTCCTGGGCAGTCTAGTTTGGGTATCAGCAAGAGAGAATGAACTGTAATTTGTTTTAGTGCTAAATAAGGCTGTGCAGAAATCTTCTCTTTTTTTTATTGACTGCCTAAATCTGGTGTTCCTCACTTAAAATAATATTCAGGATGAAATGTCTGCAATAAATTAGCAGAATTGCTTCTTCATTCTCAGCTAATTAGTAAGGACAGATGAGCTGTGAATGCCATACCACTGACTTTGGGTCAGGCCGTCTCATTTTCCCCGAACTTCCGTGGCTGTAGTTGCATATAATGAGGAAGCCAACTTTGGGAATTGAATACTGTTGGTAATGATGCTTAGTCACAAAGAAGAGCTTAGTGCCTCGGTACATTGGCCAAGAACCGCCTTAGTATGTTACCACCTAAGGCTGGAATTATCTCAGGGAGCTGAAAAGATTTGAAAGAACAAGCAAAAGTAATATTTAGCTCCCCTTTAAGTATAACTGCCTGCATCTACCTGGGCAGGGCCTAGTAGACACTAATAAAAGTTAAGAAGTGGTTTTGTTCAGTGCCCGTTAAGGACAGCACTATGGAGATAATTCGAATAAATACAAATTCTGGATGCTGCCCTCTGGAAGTTTGTCTTCTACCTATAGAGCCAACACCGACATTCCTGCAAGATCAAACTGTCCAAGCTGTGAAAAGTGACGGACAGACTGAATGAGAGCGACACAGGATTCTAAATGCCATGGGAATTCAGAGGCGTGGAAGCGGTTAATAACGAATGAATTCTGGGGTAGTTGGGAAAGACTCCCTGGAGCAGATGGGCCTTGAAAAATGAAATGGGTTTAGCTTGCCGGAAGTGAAAGAAGAGTAATAACCTGACCAAAGTCAGGGAGGTAAGAAATGGAAGTTATGTGCTAAGAAGTAAAATCTGTCAGGGAAGGGCAGTCAGACATGGAAGGAGTGACTGCCAGGCAGTGGAGTGTAGGCGGCAGGTGTTGAAAGTTTCGAAGCAGGTAAATATTGAGCAGAAAGGAGGGAGGGCATGGCAGTACTTATGGAAGTTGGTTTGGCCAGTGGAAGGATAGCTGCTAGATGACATTCAGAGGCAATTGTAGTAATACAGCTTTGAGGTGACAATAGCCAGGACCAATGTGGTAGCTGAGAAAACAGAGGAAAAAGATGTGTGAGGGACATTTGGGATAAAACATCTGCCACATGTGGTGCCTGATGGGCTTAAGAAGGATGTTCAGAAATTACGTGAGGTTTGGGGCAAGGAGAAGGATGGGTGCTTTTTGTTGAGGCTAAGGAATTGGAAGATTAACTAGATTGAGAGTTGAGATTTCATTTCCGTTTCTGATGTTCTGGTAAGCTATCACTGTGGAAATGCTCCTGAAGCATTTGGAGATGGGGTAAGAAAATTTCTCAGAAAACAGCTCCATACAGAATTTTCAAGAGCCACAGGCCTAGAGAGAAGAATTGTGGCAGTAGAAATGAATGTGTAATAGGAGAAATGTTTAGCAGGAGGCAAAGGGCCAAGGTCTCAGTGAGGAGAAGAAGCCAGGAGGAGGTTGGTAGTGGTGGGGTGGAAAGGGAGCAGGGACCCAGCTCTCCCAGCTGTATCTCAGAAAGCTGGGAGTTTGCTCATAGAGGGAGTCATCACTCAGCCTCACCTGGCTTCCTTCTTTACTCTTAAAAGCACTTACCCACCAGTACTATTGATCTTCCCAGCAGCCTGGAGAACCTGGCAGAAGACAGAGCAGAGCCCACCAAGTATCTGTAAAAGTTTTTCTGGGTAAAGTTCTATATATGGTCACTGTACTGTAGAGCCCTACAGTTGTTCACTTGAATATTATTTTACCTGGCAATTATTATAGTTCTACTTGAACCACAAAAGTTCAATAGCTCCCTTTTCTAGACTGTAATCTCTACATTTGTTTAAGTGAGCCCACTTTAATCCCTTATATTAATGAATGCTGGACCCGTTAGTTTTTAACCCTTTTCTTTTTGCTTTAGTTTTTGGTGTCTAGGGTTATGTAAAGCCAAAATACAAAATTAAACAATGGACTACCAAATTTAGGAATAGATCACTTTATGTTCAGTTAGTGACGAGTAAGTAGAGAAGCACCTCCTTTGTAAGGTGGCTTCTTTGTAGCATTTTTGTTGTGACCTCCTTACCTATTCAGGCATCTGGGGTCTGAAGGCAGGATAGTTAACACTTCTGCTCAGAGGTCCTTTCCAGCCAGCATATCTTGCAACTCCAAGCCAGCCACTCATCTAGTTTCCTTGGGATACTCGTAGATGGAGGAAGAAGGGGCTGAGCTGATTTAGAATTTATTCTAGCATAAAGAAATACCCTCTTAATTTATTTGTTGGCAATACTAAAGAGGAAAAACGTCTTAACAGTGACTTGGTGAAGTTTTTTTCAGTAAATAAAGAGGGTTTTCTTACTCCCCTGTAGTGAACCTCAGATGTATCCCTTGGGAACAGGTTTTACATCCGTGAAATAGTTTGACTTTAACCACACTTGGGTCTTTGGGTTCTTTTCATCCCCAGGCAGAGATTCCTATTGCTATATATCCACCATGCTCCAGTACAGTATTTATTTGATCAGAAACAAAAGAGTTTGCTTCTTGTACTGGTTCAGAGAGGTCCCCCAGGATTGTCTTTTGTTCAGTAATTGGAGCATAAGCTGAGCCTGGTTAATTTCAAAGCTACCCTCAACACACACGTTTCTCCCTCCCTCCTTGTGCAGTTTTCTCAGCTGTTAGTGGTACCTTGTATTGGGTCTGGAACAAAAAAAGCTTGATTGTTGAATGTTAGCTACAACTACTGTGACATCTGCTATGGCACCACATAGCACTGTTGGTGCAGTTAATTTTAAGTTAGGGTAAGAAAACTAGAAAGCTCTTCAGCTTTACAGTGCTCGTTAACACATGCACCTCCAAATTATGCATTTGGTGTTATCACAATGAATAAAACAAAGGAAATCATGAGTTGATTTTTATGCTAGTAACATAAGTTCTTTCATTGTTATTCACTGTTCAGACACCAGTGTGTTCCTATGTTCATTCTTTTTAGTTTACTTGGGGTTTTTTGTTTGTTTTTGTAAGGCAGAAATGTCTGAAACATCTCAACTCTGGGTATTTATTTAATTGGCAAAAGTTCTGATGTAAGAAATAAGTTAATTATATTTATTCTTTTAAAGGAACAATGTAAGTTGGTTTTGCTTCTTAAAATACAAAAATGATGATGGTAGCTGAGTAAGAACCGTCAGTAGTCAAATTCTGTATGCTAAATAGCCAAGTTAATATTTATATAAAAATACATCATGAAATTGGCAAATATTATGTGTCTTTCAGATTCTGCAGTATAGATGTTGGTTTTGCAACCAACAGATTGCAATCTTAGGGTTTGTGGTTTTTGTTTTTGAGGAGAGAATGGTTCTATTTTCCTTTTGCAGTCTGCACCATGATGATGGCCCATCACCTGACCAGCCTGACTTTAATCATCTGGTGCCTTGGTCTTAGCGTGGCTCTGTCTTTGCTTTTTCACAAGCTTTCCTATAATTGTACAGTTGTTTGCCGCACTGAATTTCCTTTTTTGACAGTGAAAAACATGATAATATTTTAATGTAGTCTTCAATTTTCAGGTTATATGTTAAAACGTGGAGGAAAAAAATCCCTTCCTGAGGAGCACTTTTAAAAATCATTGCAGTAGAATGGGAATATTCATTACTTACACATCATATATTTTCCCCTAAATGTTGTGCAAAGAAGTGACAGTTGAGCTGAGCATATGTTAATAAAAGGTCTGCATTTTCCTGTGTCAGTGACAGTTTCATTGGCTGTATATTCCTGAAATGCAAATAACCTCTGTTCTTTTCAAAGCTATAATTAATCTGAATAGTTATTAAACAGTATCAAAATCTTTTAACTACTAAGAGGCCAAACATTTAAGATGGCGAATTTACTGTTCTGCTTGAAGGACAGTACAATTGACAAGGGCACAATGATCCGAGATGCTTCTGTATGTTGTATCTACACATACTGTAGACTAAAATGGCAGAATCTGTCTGCTGCTGTATAAAATCTTTTAACTACCATTTATTTTAGCATCATGGCATGTGCAAATTCCTGCTGCTCAGTTAAGGGACCAGCTTCACAACTGGTGTTACAATCTGTGGCCACAGCACTGCATCACAATGCAGCAAATGCATTTTCCACATTAACCAAACATGACAGCTGAAGCGATTATTAACCATGCAAGATGTCGGAAGTCATCAAAGATTCACATCAGAGTAATTGCAGTGGTTTGGGTTGGGGAAAAAAAGTATCATAGCATTCCTTGCCTACATGTTGTCTCTCCCCCTCTTAAATCTTAACTTGGTACAGTCCGTTAACAATAAAATACCCTTCTGTAACCTATAAACTGTTACTCCCATCAGTTTGTGCTTTCAAACTGATGGCTGACTTCTCTGAATTTGTGTAGCGCACAACGAATGGTGATGCTGTGCTCCGGGGGCTGCAGTGCACCCTTTTTAAAGGGACCCTGCAATCTCATTGTTTAATTTGACTCTTTAGTGCTTCAGTCACATCAGCACTTGCAGAGGGGTTGTTCTTTTCCTTTTTCTTCTTTCTCTCTTTTTCTCTTCTCTCTGTCCTTCTCCCCACCCCCATCCCTCAATTCAGGCAGTTTGGGGTGGGAAAAACTTGAGCACTGGTTCCGACAGAGCTCATCTCATATAAGAAGGTTTGGAAGAGCTGCAGTGATCGACAGCATCGACCGTTCTGTAACTCCTTAAATTTAAGAGCTGCAGGTAGGATTGGCCGTGTTTTGTAAAGAAATTAAGACAAATGCACCCTGGTAAATAGAGTGGCAGCATGTTGTTGCAGTGCCTCTGAAAGACAAGGTCTTGGTTTGTTTGAAAATTTGAGATAAATTTGGAAGCAGTTAACTCATTTGATAGAAGAAGTACTTGATTCTTCTGAGAATTGTTCAGATTTGTATCTTGCCATTCTAATATTTTTTCTTTTAAAAATGTATTGGGTGGGGCAGAATTTGCTTAAATATTTAAATAGTTGGTTATTGGGATTTTTGTGAACTTCTTCTTTAAGTAGCAAGTAGTGTGGTCTTTAGGATTTTTAAAGGAGATACATGTGAAGTGCAAAATTCTTGTATGAGGTGGAATATGAAAATAGAATTTATTTTATTTACTAAAACCAGATCCTTCTTTGGGATTGCAGGTGAGAGTGAGTGAGTGCGTGTGTGTGTTTGTTTGTGTCTGTGGTGTGTCTGTGTGTAGGATTCTTTAGGAATTCAGTCCTTTATATTTGGTGATTAGGGAAAAAGTACTATTAGAGATTTTTTTGAACTATCTCACAGGAAATGTTTTAGCATAAGGCTTGAAATGAGAAGAACTAAACAGTAACACCAAAGAGGAGGATTCCTAAGTATTTACTAAATATTGGCAATTTAAATTGAGATGGTTCTTTTTTATTTCTTAAATTCAGTCTCAAAAGAGATCATAGGAGTCCTTTAAGTATATTTCAAATTTTTGGCTAGAGAATATAATTTGTGTAAGTGAAATGAAAACTTCCTAAGTCATGTAAGCATTATCTGGAGGGTGATAGAATTATAAATCTTGCCTGCAATACTTTTAATACCTTGATTAATATCAAAGATACAATACATTTAATTCGGCATTAAAAAGCAGCTTGTTTGTTGTCTTCTCTTAAAAGCAACAACAAAATATGATGATGCATATGGCTTTTTATCCTAAGGAATGTATTTGTATTGTGGGACCTGTGGGGTCTGGACCTCTTTCTGAAGCATGTACTTGGAAATTGTTCACCCTAGTTGAGGGGTTTATTTCCCTTTGGAGGTGTGGGGACTTTCTTTACTCTTAACAATAGGAAGACTTGAGGAGCTGTCAATTGGGGAATACAGGAGAGCTGCTCAGCAGAGGGAGAGGAACTGTGAGAATTCGGCTCCTCTTGGCATTGGAGTTCTGGATTTACCCATGACTAAGATTCCTTTGAAACTCTGACCCAGTGCAGCATTGCAAAGAATCGATTTCTGAGATGAGACAATGAGATGTGGTTTGCATTTTGTAAAGATGGAGGAAACCTCTAACACTGACCCTGTATGGGAGATGACTCAATTATCCACGCCTTGGTACAGTTGCAAATTATTTCCCTTTGTCTGAAGTGGGTGGATGCCAGCGCCTTCATCAGAGCTCCTTAATTTAATGTATGGAAAATGTCTCAGCCACCATTTTTAACAATTAGCTGTATCATGGTCGAGGTGAGCTGTATTCTGAAGGCAGCTGCAAGGCCATTTCATTTACATTAGGTTCCATGGCACAGGAGCTTTGTTACTGTAAAACTAAGAAAATGAATTTGCACATTGTATAGAAGAGTTCTTTAGGAAGGTGGAGAATATTCCCAGAAAGAAAATGGAATTCTTTTGTCTACAGTAAGTATTTCTTGTACTCATATAGCAGGGAGAGGTTGAAAATTTGCTTTTGGTTGAATATGCAAAATAGACTTTTAAATGAACGCTGCAAATATGAAAAGTGTAACGCAGAGGTTCTGCGTTACACTGGATTTTTTTTTAATGTATTTCTCAAAAACCAGGTGTGATATATATACTTAAAAATAGGTTTTGTGAGTGATTTTAGCACATGATTTTAATTATTCATCAGTAATTTAAGTTAATGAGAAGTATGAATTTGTCACTAGTCATGAATGGAAATGACACTTGAGAGGAAAAAGAAATCTGAATATAGTAAATTTAAAAGAGTTCAGGTTTCTTTTCACTGTCTTTTAAAAGCAGTCTGTTTTCCATTCCTGAAAAGAATGGCTGGATTTTAATTTTAGTGTCTTATTTTTGCTCTTGTTTTTAATGAAAATGCTTCCGGGTTAATGACCTATAATAGCTGATTAAAATACACAAGAAACAAATGTTTTGACAAAACAAGATTTTTGTTTTCAAAGATCAATAGATTGAGGCTTTCACTCTCACTCATGGGGATAATTTTTAGTGCCTTCTACTTAATTAATAGTTGTGACTTCAAAGCTGCTTGTGTAAAACTCCTGTTTGTAATTGTAAGCTTATAAATCTTGATTCTTAAAATTAATTGGATTTGACCCGGCTTATTTCTTTGTTCCTTTATACTGTTACTAAGAGGAAACAAGTGGATTTTAACTTTGATTTGTGTTTCTTTTAAAGGCTGAATAATTTTTATCTTTTAAACCCTGAAGAATTTATAGTGCATGTATTTTATAGTAAACTTTACCATGAAGAATTTGCTCAACATGCTTTATTAGCTGTTTCAGGAGTTGAAGCTTCACAGAACTGGGTATCTGAAAATCCTTTTAACTTGATATCAAATTTATAAAGCCAGCTGTTCTTCTAGCTCTTGTTGCACTAGCTCCTGTTTATCCTACTCACTGAGTGCTGTCTTCTCTAATTAATAGATGTTGGAAACTAGGGAGACAATGATTTTCTTCACATCAGCCTTTTCATTGACATAGGAAGGTTCGGTTGTTGTAAGCCCTGGTTAGAATCCTACAAGATCCATAAATCTGTGGCGCAAATATTAACTTACGGAATAAGAGCCTAGATCTCAGCATAATTTTTTAATTATGGGGACAGCATTTAACATGTTTAAATATATGGTAGAATGCAAAGGGATTCTTTTCCCTTGGTTTTTATGAGGCTTGCACCTTGAAATGAAAGAGTTTTAGGTCAGCAAATTAGAACTCCATTTTAACTGCAGATTTGTTTGCATAAAATGTTTGGTTGGATGACATGGGGGGTATCACAGAGCCTCCCTTTGAAATTTTTACAGTAAAACTTTGTTGAAGATCCTGGTCTTTTTTCCTTTTGTTGGCTTTATAATAAGGCTAGGTGTTAAGTACCCTGGGGGAGGTAGGAGAGACCCAGTTTCTTCCTGCTTTCTTTGCCTCCACCATGGTCTACTCAAGTTTGGCTGCTCGGAAGAGCCTCTCCTTTCTGGTACTTGTAGGGGATTCCTGAACCTCTTCAATCTGGAAACTCTTCAGTTTTCTCATGAAATTTTAGCCTGGCTGATAGTGAAGAGTCAGGGATTGGTTCTTTTTGCAACAAAAAATGTATTTGTATCAAACCTTTTACTGCTCTGACAGTACCATAATGTGGATAAGCAAGCATGTCAGCCAGCTCGCTAGGAAACATTCCGTGGTACTAAGATGGCAGAGAGGAAGGAGTAAAATGGCGTCACCAGGAACACTGTGATAAGGGGTGGACCGCACGAATTATTTTCTTTAAATTAGGTTTGAAGACACCTTTAGGAGCACTGCCTTGCCTATTTACAACCACTTTTTATTGTTAGAAGATAAAAATTTTGAGATTTTCGAAGTAAAGATTTAATTAGCACTTATATGTAGATGGCTTCAAATGTTCCTTCTAAGAAATTGATGGCAAGTATGGTTAAAATAGAATTTAAAGTACTTTGTGTTAATACTTCTGAAATGCCTTGCCTTATGCTTTCTTTTTCTTTTTTAGTATAAAAATTTACTCCTTCCAACACAGGGTGAATTTTTAGAAAACAAAAGACAGTGTGCTTCTTTATGGTGAGGTGAAGTAGCATTCCTACGAAACTATGTTATTTGTCTCTGGTTTTCATTCTAGCTCTTTGTGGGTTTTAGTTATTTTATATATAAAATATATATTTTGGCCACCTTCAAAAACAAAGCTTATTTTCTTTCTTTTGTGGTTCAAGGTATGGATTATTTTGCATGTGAACAATAGTCATAGTGGTAATGACAGTGTTGATTTCTCACCTGTTCCCACCTCTCATGAAGTTGGAGTTCTGTTGCTGGCCTTAGGGTTTAGTGCAATCAGCTCATGTTATAGTTAAGTAAAGGAAGGCTTAACTGCAGTTAAATAACTTTCTCAAGGTCATACATCTGGAAAGCAGTCGATTTTGCCCTAAATCTGGACCACCTGACTCCTAATCTGTGCTGCACTGTGTCTCTGTCTGCATCTGACTCCATTTCTTTCTCTGCCAGCTTGCTGGTGACTGATTGATCTAATGGATTGAGCTTTCAGCAAAGTCTGTCTTGTCTTTGCCTTAGCAACCTAACTCACAGAGATGTTCATTTTCAGCTGTGCCAGAAATTACTTACTGAGCTGTGCTTGGAGTCTTCCTGGGCCTGTGTTGAAGATGATAAGCATTTATAAACAAACATTTAAAAATAAACTCTATCTTGCAAGTTGAGCTTTTGGGTCCATTGTGTTGGCTCGGCATGAACGGTGAAGTCTCCTGGGATGGGCAGAGTTGTTACGTTCATGTGCTGTAAGCTAGGATGGAGCCAGGCATTCTGACATGTCCTTTTAGTGGGTCACGACCTTTTTAACTCTAGGTTTGAGGGGTCCTGCAGGGCAGAGTCTCCCCTTCTCCTCCCAGTAAGGATGAGCTAGGTGAAAGGTTTTAGCTCGCTGTCAGTTTCAGGCAATTTGTATTTGAATAATGGTCTTACCATCTCTCTTTCTGTTGCCTGTATTTGCCACTCCAGCTAAGCAGTGTTTCCAGTTTTCCATACCTGTGGTGACAATGGTGAGTGTTGCATTCTGCAGTATTCCTCAGCTCTGACAGGGTAAAGTCACAATGTTTCCAAACTTAATTAAGGTTTTAGAGAGTGTGAAATCACCAATACTGTTAACAAAGGAATACCTTGATGAATTCCATTTAAGAGAACGTGAAATTACAAAAGGGAAGGTCTGTTTGTTTTAGTAGTCTCCAAACAAATCCATTTTTGAAGAAAGAATGTTTGAATAAGAAGAAACTGCAGCAAAACCAGAGCTCCCTTTTCTGTGACAGATCTGTGATGATTGGTGCTCCAATCCCATCAGCATAAGCATTGCTGCATAGCAGGAGGAGCTGTGATTTTCGACTGCAGTGTAAATGACTGACACCGTATACCAGCAGGGAAATGTGAGACTTGGTTCCCAAACATTGTCCTGACTAACAGTGCTCCTTGTGCTTGCTAAGTAGAACTCGAGGCTTAATCCTGAGCGCTGTAGAAACCAGCCTGGCAAAGCTGCTCAGCTCCTACCTGACTGACTGCGAGACACACCCTCTGCTATCCTTTCCTGCTCGTGGCCCCCAAATCTTGCTTTTGTTTCTTTTTTCCAAAGGGAAAAAGACACTAGATATGACAAAGCTGGGGATCTGTGTGTGTGCTTTAAATAGTAAAGAACTGCTTTAGTGGGTTCTTGTAGGGTGGGTTTCGGGAGCTGTGGGAAGGAATGCTGGTCATGATAAAGGCCACTATTGATGCATTCCCATTTTATACTGCAGTGCGGTTTTAGCATCCAGAGTCCTTTGGAAGTGGATTAATGCATTTCCAAGGTGGAAATCAGTTCCCTGAAGACATATTGAAACATTTTTTATCATCCCTGAATGTATCTTCCTTATCTTATCTTGCCCATCACCTTAGCGTGACTGTGATTAATATTTTTTAGATCTATTTATACCTTGGGTGAGGAGAGGGCTCTGCTGCTGCTCTTTGAAGCCAGACATACTGTGACACACTGTTAATATTCCATTTGTGAAGCTAGATTGAACCATTTTCTCCTCCAAATCCTCTCTTTTCTTGCGTCTCCAAAGTTTAGCCCTAACCTTTTTGGAGTGATTGCGGGAAGGGGATAAAATGCTCACAGTTATCCCTGCTTTCTCTCCTGGGGTTACCTCAGCAGTCTGACAGCAGTTGCCTGGCTGCTCTCCCTCCCCCACTGGACTTCTGTTGGTCCTGCTTCCCCTACCCTCCCAGGAGAGGAGAGAGAGGATGGCCAGCAGAGGCCCTTCCACCACAGCCTGGCACATCCTGCTGCATCACGGCCCTTCTCACTAGGACACGGGCTCTGGCCTGATTTTCTGGAGGTGGTAAAGTAGCAGTACAGAGCAGTCAATTCCTTTCCCTATCCCTCTTGTGACCTCCAAAGGAAAGTTGCTTCTACAACCCTACAAGGGTAGCATAGGGCTTTGCTGGATTTTGGAGAAGAGGGAGGTTCTGCTGAGAAGCATTTTTTCCATTAGTGCCTGGGTGGCCATCATTTATCATTTTATTCATTTATATTATGCCCTTAACTTGTTTGCACTCCATACGGAGTCTCAGAGCCCTTCAGTAACTGAGCCGGAAGGACTGCTTCCTGGGATGACCAGAGAGAGAAGTGCAAATAACAGAAATGCCCCAGGGCCCCTGAAAAGGGCAGAACTGGCTTTGCAGTAGTAGCACGGAGATTTAAATGGCCATCATAGGAATGCCCTTAACCTTGGCCTTCCTCCCCAAGTGCAGCAACAGATGCGCTAAGCAGCCCTAGCTTGATACTGTGGTGTAGGTATCAGAAGAGCCATCTAGTAGTTATGTGCCTACATTGTGTTGACAAGGGAGATGTGTCATGCATCTCTGGTCTCCTCAGTACCCCACCACAGGAATGGCATGTCCCCATTATTGCAGATGACTTTCCCTGTAGCTTTCCCCTCTGGGTCATGGTGAGTCCCACCTCTTAATTTATTTTATTTTTTTTTACCCGATGCTGAAATCTTTGAAGTTGGGTTTTTGTTGCATGATAATTTTTTTTTCTTTTTTGGGAGGTGGAGGGGTGGTAGTAGGTAGGGTCTGCAAAAGGCATTTGGATAGACTTACATTAGTGTCTCTAAGGCCTGTGGCTTTCCCAGAAGGCAAAGGTGCAAATGGAGTTATATCACAGCTGTAATGGCATGCCCCTGAAGGGACCAAGCATGCCAGCACACTTGGGCTAAAGTGTTGCCTGTAAAGCCCTTTGCTGGTCCAGAAGGAGGCATTGCCCAGTGCCATGTGTTGTCAGGTTTTGAATCACCTTATGCACATTCAATTCTCTTTAACCTGTGAGAACTTATAGACCATTCTGAAAACCAATTTAAATCATGGGGGCAAATAATTTGTTTTGCCTTAATGGACACAAATCCGTCACATAATTGTGTGAACCTTTTTTTAGCCCAATAGCAGAAACCATGTACAAAATGGGACCCAGCAGTCTGACAGTGACAGATGGCCTGGTGCCCACACAGTGCCATGTTATATCGCCAAGGTCTGCCACCTGTGGCTCCAGAGCTGCCTGCAGCAGTGATGGATCTGCTGAGCTGGCAAATGGTGGAACTCCACAGCCACTCTTACAGCGTCTGCTGCCACCTGCTGAATGAGAGCAACTAGGCTTTTGCATAAATGCACAGCAAGAAATCATATAACAGCATTAAAAACATATTACAGTTGGCGAATATCAGCTCTGCCCGCTTAGCACTGCTTTCTGCAGGGTTATTTTTGAAGTTATATATGCAATCTGTGAACAAACAATTTAAAGTATTAAAATTTTTGTAGAAAACAAGCAACAGGGCCAGGTGCAGTGGCTCACGCCTGTAATTCCTGCACTTTGGGAGGCCGAGGCAGGTGGATCACCTAAGGTCAGGCGTTCAAGACCAGCCTGGCCAACATGATGAAAACCCGTCTCTACTAAAGCAGAAAATTAGCTGGGCATGGTGGCGTGCGCCTGTAATCCCAGCTACTCAGGAGGCTGAGGCAGGAGAATTGCTTGAACCTGGGAGGCAGAGGTTGCAGTGAACCCAGATGGTGCCACTGCACTCCAGCCTGGGCAACAAGAGCAAAACTCCATCTCAAAACAAAACAAAACAAAACAAAACAAAACAAAAAAACAAGCAGTGGTACTTTAAATATCTGAGTTGGAGAATAAAGCCTGGACTTTTGCTATTCAGTCTGTATTCCTTGCAGAAGGAAATTCAGTGTCTCATGGGCCTTGTAAGCTGACGTTTTATATATTCTTATTTTATTTCAGTAATAGTGTCTAATGAAATAACCAAACATGCTATAAACCCTTATGGAAGTTCACCCAAATCTTGAAACTGCTCAAATTAAAAAATTTCTCTGTTCATTTTCTGGGCTTTATCAGTAATGAACATCTCTTTGCACTTGAAAAAATCCTTGAGGCGCTCTCCGTGTAGGCACCACAAAAGGGAGCTAATGAAAAGCGAGTCCACACCGTCTGATAAGCCCAGAGGCTCTCCAGGTACTGGTAGGATTTCTGTTGTGCTCATCTGAAAACAGTATCTTATTTCATCCTTCCTCATTTTCTCCATAAGTAGTTTTTTATCTTTGTACTAATTTTATCCAAGAGAAGTTTTTAGAAGAGGTCATTCATTTGTTCAGAAATTGGCAAGAAGGTTTGGGAGAGGTTCAGGGAGCATTTTACTTAGAATGAGCTGAAGCAAAGTAATGGTACAACTTACATTCCTGTCTTCTTAGAATGTGGATACTTCTCCATTGCACTAACTAAAGTACTAACTTTAGTACCAACTGAATACTCAATAGTATTCCAATACTTATTGGACTTCTTGTTTTATCTTGGAGCAGATCCTTTATTGATTAATTTTTAACTGCTTTATTATATTTTCTTTCTTCCTTCATTGCTTTCTAGCTGTTGCTTGTGTCTTAGCAATGGTTTTTCAACAACAATGACCATTCCTGATGCCACTGCTCATTTTGTGTTGATGTTATTTTGATTTGGAATGTTGGCTGCAGATTTCCTATTAATTTGTATGTATTGTACATATTAAAATGAGAGATGATACATGATTTTTGTAGCACCCGGCACCTATTTTTATGTCATACCAGATACCTTCTGGTAAATGTTCAGCCTGCTGTAGATGCCTCACTTTTACATTTTGATATGGTGGATTGCTGGTTGGTCTGTTTAATGGAAAGAGACATGAGATAGTCTCTTGTGTTTTGAAGGTCATGAAAACATGACTATTGCCTTGTAAGCCCAAATTAGGCTCTTGTTTATTTATTTTAACAGGAAATTTGTGTGTTCATCAATTCAGACTCTGTGTAACTGTCCAACTGTCCAATCACTTATCTGCTATAGGTGGGAAGGACAGAACTGTGAAAGAACCAATGTGAGCACTTTTTTGCCATCTGACTTTCCTGGCTAAGGTGGACACTGAATGTTTTTTTCACAAAGGCCCTTATTTATTGTAGTTTTCACTTTTGGGAACAAATAAGCCAAGAGAATTTGGCCATTTGGCGAAAACAAACATCCTTTTGCTCGCTCCCTTTTTCTACAGTAGGAATTAGCTGCCATCTGTATTCTGAAACCCAGAGTTTGCATGATAGGTAAAAATAAGGCAGTTTCATGCCTTTCTTGACCTGAGCCATTTAAGATCCACTTTGGCTGCCAGGTCCTTGAGATGTGACTACACGTTCCTTAGGAGAATCAAGTTAACCTTGATGTTACGTTCTGGGTTGTTCTTTGCCAGGATACATTGCAAAGCAGCGAAGCACTTTCTCTGTCAAAGATGGAACACATGACTGGAGATACTGCTTGGACAGATGTGTAGCATTTATTGTTCTACAACAATAATAGTAGCACTATTTTGGAACACTATGGTGTTGACCTCTAAAGCAATGAGTTCAAGCTTTTAGACTGTGACTCATACACACATACAATTACATATATATAATTGAAACAAAAGTTTCACAAATCAATACCCATACCACATATCTCTGTTGCATTTATTTTATTAAAAAATGCTGATTGGGCCAGATGTGGCAAGAATGTATAATCCCAGCTACTCCGGAGACTTAGGTGGGAGGATCACTTGAGCACAGGAGTTTGCGGCTGCAGTGAGCTGTGATTGTGCCACTTGTCTCCAGCCTGGGCAACAGGGTGAGACCCCATCTCTTAAAAAACAAAAAACAAACAAAAAAACAAAAAACTGGTTGATTTCATGACCCAGTTATGAGTTCTGATTCATATTTTGAAAACCACTGTTCTAAAGGAATGCCAAAAACTTGACATTTGTTGTTTCATTTCTTTCCTATGTAATGTATGGGGGGGAGGAATAAATGTGCAAACATAAAATATCAGTTTATCTCACCTTGATTTGCTATGATGAGAGATAGCATGGAGCGTGGAAGAGGGAAAACAAGGGGTCACAAAATTTGGGTTCTGAGTCTGAACTTTGCTACGTATGAACTGGGTCATCTGGACATAGAACCCCAAAGAGCTTTTAAGTTGGTAGAGGCTCAAGAAACCGTTTTGTACAGCTCACTCAACTTTTAAATCTCTATTAAGGATATACTTCAAAGTATGATCCAGTTAAGTAGTATTGAGAGACAGTAGCTTTGGGTTAAAAATAAGGGCTAGAACCAGATGTGTGTAACACACTTATACCTGGCACAAAGTGATCACCATTTAAGTGTTAGCTATTATTAGTATGCCATAAGCATACTCTGAGCCTCAACTTTATTGTTTGTAAAGAGTAGCCTGATGATGAAAACAAATTTAAGGAAATTTTACTCTCCTCCTGGGTTCCATCCTTTTAGAGAGAGAAATTTTTTTTTATTTTTGCTGTTTAGAGGTTTACTCTTCCCTAAGTATCTCAGAAATAGTTGGTCTTGAGAGCCGGAACTATGTTTGAATGTTGCCTCTGCCTCTTCCTGGTCGGGAATTTTTGCTCAAGTTAGTTAAATGTGGAAATCTCAGCTTCTTACCTGTAAAATGGGGCAGGGGATGGGGATAGGGGAGAGTGGGATGATTATGTCTGTTCTTTCATATTGTTAAAGGATTAGCAATAATGTCTTTGAATTGCCTAGAGCAGTGTCTGGCCCTTAATTGCTTCCTGAATGGTGGCTATTATGTGTTATAGAAAGCTGGAAACCAAAACACATTTGAGGAGCCAGTCAGGCAAGGGTCTGTTTCAGCACCCTGGCAGTGAGGAGCAGTACACAGATGGGGAAGTCAGGAGGAGTTAGTTTACCTAGCTGGCCTGCAGATGTTTTGGGAGGTGTTCTTTATTGAGCTGACCCACAGCAGAAGGATCAAATGGGGGACTGTGAGCAATTACAAGTGCTTGTTGATGGGAATGAAGGGATAGTAGTGATGGGGAGCTCTGGGGGTCATCATTAGATGCTGGCATCTACCAGTGGGAGGTGAACTGTTGGGCCTTTTCTGTACCCACGGGGCATCTCAGTGGCAGGGAGCCAGTTCATCCTTCACGTTCCAGCTCCCTTCTCCAGAGAACTCATTTTCTCATAAGCTATATGAGTACATCTCCTGGGTGAGGCATGAGAGGCGTATCACAGGAGAAGGAGTTTGGAGAGAAAGGAAACACATGGGTAGGAAAGGGAAGTCAGGAGATCTGTGGGGGACCTGGACTGAGGCAGCTATGGTTCTGCCCAACTTTTTAGTTCTTTAATTCCATTGGGCTGTTACTTTTCCTTGAGGTGTGGGTTATTTGAAAGAAACTCACTGCCACTAGATGGCACACAGATCCCAGCAGTATTCTGATGTATAAATTACTATTTTATACTTTGGGAGGCTGAGGCGGGCAGATCACGATGTCAGGAGTTCGCGACCAGCCTGACCAATATGGTGACACCCTGTCTCTACTAAAAATACAAAAATTAGCTGGGTGTGGTGGCGTGTGCCTGTAGTCCCAGCTACTCAGAAGGCTGAGGAGGCAGAAGAATTGCTTGAACCCGGGAGGTGGAGGTGCAGTGAGCCGAGATCACGCCACTGCACTCTAGCCTGGGTGGCAGAGCGAGACTCCATCTCTAGATAGATAGATAGATAGGTAGGTAGGTAGGTAGGTAGATAGATAGATAGATAGATAGATAGATAGATAGATAGATGTGTTATTATTTTTAAAAATATTTTGAAAAGACAGAACACGTGTGTTTTTTAAAATAAAATATGATGTATAACCTATTTAGCACTTCATTTTAGAAAGGAAGAAAGGATGAAAAATTAAAATTCAAAATCTATTTTGTGGGCTCAGTTTGTGCTTAGAGCCCAGTTTTTTAAGTATGTAATGGTTAATGGTCTTTGTTTATATGTGGGTGAGGTTTGACACACACACACACGCTTCATTTAATTTATTGAGAGTTCTAAAATGCAGCTTTATAGTAAATAAAGACCAGAGTAATCTATCCCAAAACAATAATGTCTTTTTTTTCTTCTGTTTCATTCTTACTTGAAATTTCATCTCTCAGAAATTTGGGAATTGCATTTCTTGCAGAATATTATTTTGCTTTTCAACAAATGTGGTCATTGCTTTGCATTTGTGTTGTAAGTGTGTGTGTGATAGAGAGAGAGAGAGAGAGAGAGAGAGAGATGTGAACATGGGTGTCATTAAAAGAATGGGATAGGCTGGGCGCGGTGGCTCATGCCTGTAATCCCAGCACTTTGGGAGGCCGAGGCGGGTGGATCACGAGGTCAGGAGATCGAGACCATCCTGGCTAACACGGTGAAACCCTGTCTCTACTAAAAATACAAAAAATTAGCTGGGCGTGGTTGCAGGCGCCTGTAGTCCCAGCTACTCGGGAGGCTGAGGCAGGAGAATGGCTTGAACCCGGGAGGTGGAGCTTGCAGTGAGCCGAGATCGTGCCATTGCCCTCCAGCCTGGGCGACAGAGCGAGACTCTGTCTCAAAAAAAAAAAAAAAAAAAAAAAAAAAAAAAAGAATTGGATAGGCTGGTCATTATTGACTGGGAAGAACAGAAGAAGCCCAGAGAAGGAATATGACAGAACACCAGACTTAACCCAGGTCCCTCCCCTCCCCACAACCAAAAAGAAAATATTAGACCAGGCTTTGTGAGGCAGTGGTAATCCCCTCCCCTCTCCCCCACTACCCCCAAACGTAGCTTGTTTGGACAATCAGCAGCATAGCGGCAGCCACAAAAAGGTGCCACAGAGCAGAATCCATGCCTACTCATTGTTTGGGAGCATTAGTCATTGATAATAGTTTCATAGCTTTGTTTGTGAACCGTGACACTAAAGCCTTTAGCTTTAGCCACATTGGAGACCACTAATGAAAATGTGTTTATACTAAAGGTTTGTTGACTTGACATAATCATTTGCTGTGAAAGGTACAAACAAGGCCCATTAAAATCTGCCATTGTTTTGTGTCTGGGTCCCCTGTGATAGCCAAAAGCAGGTAGGTGGTGACAAGCTGCCCCCTTCTGAATGAACCATGTGGGTTCCTAGCTTTATGTGCTCTGGTTTATTAATGTCATTACATTATTAGGCAAATGACCATGCCATTCGCCATCCTACCCCCGTTATCAGTATATGTATTTGCAGAGTCTTCATGTTGTGTCCTCAGAGCTGCCTGAGAGGCTGTGCTGGAGGAATATTTTTATTTTTATTTTTATTTTTATTTTTATTTTTTGAGATGGAGTATCTGTCACCCAGGCTGGAGTGCAGTGGCGTGACCTCAGCTCACTGCAACCTCTGCCTCCCTGGTTCAAGCAATTCTCCTGCCTTAGCCTCCCGAGTAGCTGGGATTATAGGCGCCCGCCACCACGGCTGGCTAATCTTTGTGTTTTTAGTAGAGACAGGGTTTCACCATGTTGGCCAGGATGGTCTCGAACTCCTGACCTCAAGTGATCCACCCGCCTTGGCCTCCCAAAGTGCTGTGATTACAGACGTGAGCCACCGCGCTCGGCCATGGAGTCTTTAAGAGGGAACTATTTCCTGGGCTGCTGGTCATTGTTCCTATCCATCCCAGTGCACTGCCCAGGTTTTTGGGGTGTGACAGCACCTGTTGGGGAGACATAGGCCAATACGTAAGGAATCTGGGAAATCTATAATTAGTAATGTTTTATTTAAATGTATATCCCCAATATTATCCTGCCTCCCGACCTGCCTCCCCCACCTTCTTAAAAAGACTGAACAGAATACACTAATGTGCCACATAATGATGTTTTGGTCAAGGACAAACCCAAATATACAACAGTGGTCCCATAAGATTACAATACCATATTTTTATTGTACCTTGTCTATAATTAGATACACAGATACTTACCATTGTGTTACAGTTGCCTGTAGTATTCAGTACAGTAACATGCTGTACAGGTTCGTAGCCTGGGAGCAACAAGTTAAACCATATGCAGCTTGGTGTAGTAGGCTATACCATCTAGGTTTGTGTAAGTATATTCTGTGGTGTTCACACAATGATGAAATCGCCTAGTAGGAGCCTTTCTCTGAATGTATCCCTGTTATTAAATGATGCTTGACTATATACTAAAACATTACAGTTGCTAAATTATAAAATGATCAAAAACTAATTAACCATGACAGTACGTTTCCAATGCAAGAAAACGATTGTGTTTTAATTTAGCTTGTCATTTGAAAAGCTTTTGCCAAATTCTACTTTGTATTACATTTTCCCACAGTTTCTTTAAAAAGCAAAAACACAGCTGGGTACGGTGGTTCACACCTGTAATCCTAGCACTTTGGGAGGCCAAGGCGGTTGGATCACAAGGTCAGGAGATCGAGATCATCCTGGCCAACATGGTGAAACCCCATCTCTACTAAGAATACAAAAATTAGCTGGAGTGGTGGCACGTGCCGGTAGTCCCAGTTAGGAGGCTGAGGCAGGATAATCGCTTGAACCCAGGAGGCAGAGGTTGCAGTGAGCCGAGATGGCGCCACTGCACTCCAGCCTGGCAACAGAGCGAGACTCCATCTCAAAAAAAAAAGCAAAAACACGAGGCTGGGTGCGGTGGCTTACGCCGGTAATCCCAGCACTTTGGGAGGCAGATCACTTGTGGTTGAGCCAACGTGTTGGCCTCATCATGGCCAACATTGTGAAACCCTGTCTCTACTAAAAATACAAAAACTAGCAGGGTGTGGTGGTGCATGCTTGTAATCCCAGCTACTTGGGAGGCTGAGGCAGGAGGATCGCTTGAACCCAGGAGGCTGAGTTTACAGTGAGCCAAGATTGTGCCACTGCACTCCAGCCTGGGTGACAGAGTGATTTTAGACATGTATAAATGCACCAGTAGTGACATGCTTGTACCTTGCATTGGAGTATAGGTGGATCTGATGTGTAAGGTAACTTGAGTTCTTCATATTACAACTAAGACTTTGATCTCTACATGTCAATTGATGGGTCATCTTCCTTGTTCCTACTCAGCCCCCCACCAGCCCAAGCTATGGAAAAGAAACTGCCCCCTTGTATGAAGAGCAAGGTGTTGGCGGGGAAGTGCACTCTGTATATCTGTCTGTCTGTCTGCAACTGTGGCTATCAGAATAATGTCTCAGCCCTTTTCCTGTCAGATCTCGGCTGAAGCAAATAAGGACAATGAACAGCAGCAAAGAGGTCATCCTGGGCATCTCTTTCACTAATGGAAGTCACCAACAGATCTAAATCTAATCGATCCTAATAATAGAGCTACATGTATTGAGCCTTGGGTCAATAACTTGATTACATTATCTTATTTTTTTTACAAACAAATAAGCTGAGGTTTAGGGAGTTTGGGCGACCTGGCTAAAGTCCTGCTACTAGTAGTAAATGGAGGCACTAGGATTTGAAACTGTCAAATTTCAAAGCCTATCCTTTTGGCCATTGTGTTACAGGCATTTAACCTGTTTATATTAAACTAGACTTGTAGGCTGTCTTTTCACCTCACCTGTATTAAACGAGCAGTGGACATCATCAGACCTGAAACAGAGAGTGCACATGGCAAAACGCTGGAAGAAATGTGTAAAGAAAGGATTTTTAGAATTTCCCAGATATTGGCCAACAAGTGAAAAGCACATAGACAAGTGGGCAATGATGATGTCATCAATGTTAGGAAGAAATTAATTTAAACCAACAGAGAAATATAGACTAAGGAACAGTTAGAGGAACTGTGACTAGCTCCATCACCAAGGCTGTATCTGCAATATGAGCCATTTAGGAATTTTGAAGGACAGTCTTGACTTTCCACTTTTTACATGTTTATGGGATATAGAACCCCACACTGTTGTTTCATGGGGACTTTACTTTCTAACAATCATCATGTGCTCCCAGAATGGAAGAAACTAAGAAACATCTGTAAAAGTCATCTATGTTGATGTTTTCAAGTTGGGAGAGTTTTGTGAGGTGTAGGTAGCATAGTAGATACCATTATGGTTATTGTTTGCCCTGCAGTATACTTTTGATTTTTTGAAAGTTAATTTTAAGTTGTGTTAATTTTCCCCCATTTATAGGGCTTCCTGAAGAATGAGAAGGACAATGCCCTGCTGTCTGCCATCGAAGAGTCCCGGAAGAGGGTAAGAAAATTAACCAAAATGTAGATGTATACAGATGAGGGCAAGAGGGCTGGGCGTGGTGGCTCACATCTGTAATCCTAACACTTTGGGAGGCTGATGCAGGAAGTTCGCTTGAGCCCAGGAATTCAAGATCAGCCTAGGCAACATAGTGAGACCCCATCTTTACAAAAAATGCAAAAAATTAGCTAAGCATGGTGGCACACGTCTGTGGTCCCAGCTACTCCGGTGGTTGTGGGAGAATTGCTTGAACCTGGGAGGTAGAGGCTTGAGTGAGCCGAGTCGCGCCACTGCACTTCATCCTGGGGGACAGAATGAGGAGCGAGACCCTGTCTCAAAAAAAAAAAAAAAAGCAGATGAAGGGTAGCAGTATATACTAGGGGAGTGTGGGATCTGGAAGCTGGAATCTATCCTATGCCCAGTTCTCTCCTACAGAGAGAGTTCTACAGGAACCATTTTTTGAGGAGAATACCATGCTTTATAACTCTGTATGTATTTAGTGACTGAAATGCATCTGAGACACTGGACTGGACAATTAACTATTAAATTAATCTTGAAATGGAAAGACCAGAAAATTAGTGGTTTCATTGTTATTGTATAAATGGCATTTTGGTTTCTACTGAATCAGCAGTTCAGAAAAGCAGCTGACAATTTCCTTCAACTTAGTTTCCTTTTATTACACAATATGAGTGGACCACCTTTTATATTAACAATTTCTCCAAGCTCAAAAAAAATAAAAAAAGCACACACGCGAAACTAGCTCCATGCTTGAAAAGATGGTAAATAAGTCCGCCAAAGACCAGCCATTATATGTGCAACAATATTCTGCAACAAGCAGTCCTGCAAGATACTCAAAGATTGTTTACTAACATGTGAGTTATCTCCATTTATTTCTGACAAGGATCCAAATATCAAAACCTTTCCATAACATCCCATTATAGTGAAAGAGATTTTTGGGCCACTGGGGCCTTTTGATGAGGGAAAAGAAAGGCTAGTTGTCCTGTGGAATTGGTTCTAGAAGTGCAGCTTTCCCCAGGAAGGAGGCTGGCAGGATACATTCCATCAGCTAGCAGTGGCCCTCTCTGCAAAGGGTGTAGGCTTGAAGTGACACCTCTGTTTTGCTGTTTACTTATTTAATTCTTATATCCAGTGAAATTTATTTATTATGTAGTTCAAAAATAATAAAGTGAAAAAAATGCTGCTTCTCAGTGTGCTTTATTAAAATATTCTGTGAAGGTGAACATGTCTCAGTAGTACTGAGGTGAAATAGGGCAGCAGGGAGACTTGCCAGCTCCATTTTATAAGGAAATGTTCCAAAGTCGTTATTTAAATGACTGATATGTTTAGTTATCAAAATAAAATTCCCATCATGCACAGTGGCTCACGCCTGTAATCCCAGCAATTTGGGAGGACAAGGCAGGTGGACCACTTGAGGTCAGGAGTTCGAGACCAGCCCAGCCATCATGGCAAAACCCTGTCTCTACTAAAAATACAAAAATTAGCCAGGTGTGGTGGCGCACACCTATAGTCCCAGCTACTCAAGAGGCTGAGGCAGGAGAACCGCTTGAACCTAGGAGGCAGAGGTTGCAGTGAGCTGAGATCGTGCCACTGCACTCCAGCCAGGGTGACAGAGTGAGACTCTGTCTCAAAAAAATAAATAAAATCCCCAAAATTTCATTAATTATATTGTTGGCAATAGTACTTAGTCATAGATACAGAGAAATTCACTTGATTCAGATCTGAAAATATTTTTAAAAGGGTTTTTTTTGGTTCACACATTAAGTGAGTTACTCACCAACATTGATTCTCCTGCTGTAAAGGACCAGTGAAATTAAATTAGGATTGTTGAATGCTACCAAGCTTTATTAATCCATTTACCCCGCAGAATGTGTTTCTGGAATTGGCAGTCTCTGAACATTGTGCCATACTGAGACTAAATGTGCAGCCAGCCAAAACATTTAGGTGACATACCACAGTGCAAAATGTGTGCATATGTGTTTGTGAGGGAGGCATTCCAGTGTTGGGAGCCAGCCTAGGGGGAGACCTTTGACCTGTCTGGACACCAGGAAACTGCCACTGAGCAAGAATCATTTTCACACAAAAAGTGAGCAACTTTCTGGTATTTTTGTGACTATTTCATGTTTGAATAACTTGCCAGTGTCCTGCTGAAATGCCAGGAAAACAAGCTACAAAACCACAAGTGTGTCCTGTCTTTCCCCATTTGGTACATCCAGGCAAAAACAGAACAACATTATCAGAACATATGCAGTGTTTCTAAAAGCCAGCAACAGTGCAGTAATAAACGGGTGTGAAGTCAAAGCATATTGCCCTCTTCCCTTTATGAAAATGGGGTTCAAATGCTCCCCACCTGCTCTTAATTCAGCTGTCCAATTCTTCCCATGCTTTTTTTCTTAACTGTGTTCAAAGAGAAATATTTTCCACACATAACAAAAACTTGAAAGATTCAGATTTAATTTATAATAATTTCTCCACTGTTTTGTCATTTTCTGTGGATTGTTTTGCCTTCCTTTTAATTTTTAGATCTCTCCACACTTCCAGTTTATCCTTTTTCTTGTCTATTGAGTTTCTTCTTATCACTGCTTCCCACCTCACCTTAGACTCTCATTGCCCTCCTCTTCTCTTAGTTATTAGTTGAGCAGTTCTGTTGATTCCCTCTCATTAGTTCCTCTAGTTAGCATTCTTCTTTGCACTTTAGTTCAATGGTTCAGATGTGGATATAAACAGAATAGATTGGAATGGGACAGATGGGTGGCTGATCATCCCTGGTTAGCCCACAGATTGAATGTTCCATTACCTCTAATGTAATTAAGATAAGCTGGGGGTGATGCAATTAAGGGAAGAGAATTTTGATATTGGATCATTTATTTATTTTTTGAGACAGGGTCTTGCTCTGTCACCCAGGCTGGAGTGTAATGGTGTGATCTCGGCTCACCGCAACCTCCATCTCCAGGGTTCAAGTGATTCTCCTGCCTCAGCCATCCGAGTAGCTTGGATTACAGGCGTCTGCCACCATGCCCAGCTAATTTTTGTATTTTTAGTAGAGATGGGGTTTCACCATGTTGGCCAGGCTGGTCTCGAACTGCTGACCTCAAGCAATTTGCCCGCCTGGGCCATTTATTTTTATTTGAAGCTCTTTATCACACTAATGGTAAATAGAACTACAGCACTGTTCATTCAGGTTGTGAGGGTGTTTCTAAATGAGTAGCCTGGCATACTTTCAGATATATCTGAGGATTTGAACCCGGAAAGCTGATAGTTTTCAAAGTACTTTCAAAGTGCTAAGCAGGAGTTCTTGGCACACAGGCAGGCAGCCCAATTAACAGGGAATGGTTAATTCCCACTGTTGTCATTCTGACCCTTACCTGATGCTGAAAGTCTGTCTCCACTGTCCTCTTCAGCAGTCTCTGTGGGTGGTGTATTGTCTGTTTTCTTTAATTGCCTTTGCTACTCTGCCACTCTTAGCCAGAGGTCTTGTCCTTAAGAAAAAAAGACTTGCTACACTTTGTGGTGTGCTCACCCCGTGTTGCAGCTCAGTAGGCTGTATAGCGTATCAACCTCCCCCTGCCTCCTAACTTCTACCCTACCTGATCCTTATGCCACCTGGCCCTCCATTTTACCTTGCTGGGAGAGGCTAGAGGCTGAGGAGGCAGTTGGTTTGACCACTATGTAGGAAAGTTTTAGACAAAATTGTGGCTCACACTTGTCCATTCTTTCTGGACAACTTCTAAGAAAATTATCTCTTCCCCCCCACCCCCACCCCACCTTTGTGTTCCATCATACTTCTCTTGATTTAAAATGCATAACTTTCATGTTTAAAGTTTACAGATGTGAGCAAGAAGCAAAGGTTTTTCTCGGTATTTTTCAGCTCAGGCTAACTGACTGGTATGGTCCATTCTGCCTGACTCAGTGAAAAGAAAAAAAACAGTTGGAAGACTGTTTTTAAAATTTGTAATTATCATTTCTCCTGTGTCTGCAGAATATGTATTAGAAAAGGGTCCAGCAACGCACCAACCTTCTTCCTAATCACGTGTCATATGTGTATGTATGTCTGATGTCCTTTTTCACATTTTAATAAATATTGGTCTGAAACAAAACATCCCAATTGTAGGAAGAGTATATGTATGTGATTTTTCTAACAGTTCCCCAAAGCTCATGCATATCAATATTATCAGTATAAATTATCTGTGTTGCCAATAATAAAGCAGGCATTGCTAATACTCATTCCCTTATTGCTGCCTAATTAGATGCCAATCTGATTGTAAATGAAATGGCTTTTTGAAAAGGCTTAAGCTGATGGGAAACCTGGTCTGCCAATTGGAGAATAATAGGCTGAGAATGGTCATAATTCAATCTATCTATGTTGTTTTAATTCTCAGATTTTTTTTGGTCATCTTCCTTCTTCCCTCTCCCACCCCCTCCCCAGACTTCCTTTCTTTTTTATTTTCCTTCTGAATGCCTTTATTTTCGCAGCTACCTGCAACTACCAGTAGACAGTAGCTTTTCAGTAACTTTGAGTAGCTTGGTAGGCAGTTTAATCCCAGAGGGCTCTTTTTCTTTTACTGGTTTGCTTCCTCCTATGAAAGTTTAGTGTTTCTTTAAAAAATCAAATCAAATCACTGGGGCCTAGTGCAGTGGTTCACACCTGTCATCCCAGCACTTTGGGAGGCCAAGGCGGTCGGATCACTTGAGGTCAGGAGTTCGAGACCAGCCTAGCCAACATGGTGAAACCCTGTCTCTACTAAAAGTCTTAACACAAAAGTTAGCCAGGTGTGGTGGTGCATGCTTGTAATCCCAGCTACTTGGGAGGCTGAGGTGGGAAGGTGGCATGAACTCAGGAGGCGGAGTTTGCAGTGAGCTGAGATCGTTCTGCTGCACTCCAGCCTGGGCAACAGAAAAAAATAATAATAATAATAATAAAACACTGGGAGAAACTTGTTTTTTCTTATCTTAGATGTTTATTATATCGTAAGATACTATTGATTTTATAATCCGTCATTATTTTATATGCTACAAAGAAAAAATACTGCTATGACATACGATCTAATTTCAGAGCTTTTATAAAGATGTTTATATTAATAAACACATGGAAAGATGCTCAACATCATTAATCATTACGGGAACATAAATCAAAACCACAGTGAGATACCACTTTACACCGATTAGGATGGTTACAAGCAAAAAACAGGGAAAAATATATATATATATATATATGGTTTTTATGTTTTTGTTTTCTGTGACAGTCTTGCTCTGTTGCCCAGGCTGGAGTGCAGTGGTACAGTCACAGCTCACTGCAACCTCTATTCTCATGTCGCAGCCTCCCAAGTAGCTGGGATTACAGGCACACACCACCACACCCAGCTGATTTTTGTATTTTTAGTAGTAATAGGGTTTTGCCATGTTGACCAGGGTGGTCTTGAACTCTTGACCTCAAGTGATCTGCCTGCTTCAGCCTCCCAAAAGTGCTGGGATTACAGGGATGAGCCACCACGTGTGACCAGAAAACAACGTATTAAGTGTTGGTGAGGATGTAGAGAAATTGAAACCCTTGTGCACTGCAGGTAGAAATGTGAAATGGTACAGCCTCTATGGAAATAGTATGTCGGTTCCTCACAAAATTAAAAATAAAATTACCTTGCAGTTCCACTTGCAGTTCCACTTCTGAGTATATACCCAGAAGAATTGAAAGCAGGGATATTTGTACACCCACGTTTATAGCATTATTCACAAAAGCCAAGAAGTGGAAGCAACCCAGGTGTCCATCAGTGAATGAATGGATAAAGAAAATGTGGTATATTCATACAGTGGAATATTTTTCAGCTTTAAAAAGAAAGGAAATTCTGACACTTGCTACAACTCTTAAGGACATTATGCTGATTGTCTCTGGCTTATTTCACTCACAAAAAGACAAATACTGTATGATTCCATTTATGTGAGGTACCTAGAGTAGTCAAATTCACAGAAACAAAGTAGAGTGGTGGTTGCCAGGAGCTAAGAGATGGTGGTGATGATTGCACAATAATGAGAATGTACTTAATACCACTGAACTATACACTTAAAAATGGTTTATGTGGGCTGGGCACGGTGGCTCACACCTGTAATCCCAGCACTTTGGGAGGCCGAGGTGGGCAGATCACCTGAGGTCAGGAGTTTGAGACCAGCCTGGCCAACATGGTGAAACCCCGTCTCTAGTAAAAATATAATTAGCTAGGCGTGGTGGTGGGCGCCTGTAATCCCAGCTACTCGGGAGGCTGAGACAGGAAAATCACTTGAACCGTGGAGGCGGAGGTTGCAGTGAGCCGAGATCGTGCCACTGCGCTCCAGCCTGGGCGACAGAGTGAAACTCTGTCTCAAAAAAAAAAAAAAAAGTTTATATTTTACCGAAGTTTTATTAAAATGTCTTAAAATCAGTGAAATACGGTATGTTGCAAACAGTTGTCAGTAAGTTTATTTATTTATTTATTTTTTTGGAGATAAGGTCTTGCTCTGTTGCCCAGGTTGGAGTGCAGTTTTTTTTGTTTTGGGACAGGGTTTTGCTCTGTCACCCAGGAGGGAATGCAATGTTGCGATCACAGCTCACTGCAGCCTCGACTTCCTGGGCTCAAGTGATCCTCCCACCTCAGCCTCCCAAGTAGCTGGGACTACAGGTGTACACCACCGTGCCCAGCTAACTTTTTGTAGAGAGGGTTTTGCCATGTTGCCTAAGCTGCTCTCGAACACCTGGGCTCAAGCAATCTGCCTGCTTTGGCTCCCCAAAATGCTGGGATTACAGGTGTAAACCACCACGCTCAGCCAGTAAATTCTTCAAAGATAATTTTTAAAGTAGATTGCTTTTTCTCTACCTATGGAGAAGTGGTTGGTCTGGAGGGCTTTAGGTTTCTGTTGGGTCTTAAACCATGTTTTTTTTGTTTTTTTCCTGAGGGTCATTGTTCTCTGTTCCTTTCTGGCAGACCTTCGGCATGGCTGAGGAGTACCATCGGGAGTCAATGTTGGTTGAGTGGGAGCAAGTGAAACAGCGAATTCTGCACACACTGCTGGCATCAGGAGAAGACGCCCTTGACTTTACTCAAGAAAGCGAGGTAGCTTGAATGCAAAAGATAAACTACTGTTAATAAAAACATGAAGTCAAAGAATACTTGTCTACTTGACTAGTATTTTTGGCACAGTGGATCACTGTCTTCCCCTTGAAACACTTTCTTCACTTAGCTTTTAGGATGCCGCATTTGCCTGGACTTCCTCCAACATGTCTGCCTGCTTCGTCTCAGTCTCCTTTGCTGAGCTTTCCTCAAATTCCCTGACCTCTATAGGTTTGAGTGTCCCAGGGCTCAGTCCTTAACCTCTTCAGTTTCTCTCTCAATCGCTATCCTGTGATTTCATCTGGGGCTTGGGGCTTTAAATACCTATCATCTATATGTCAAAGAGTTTCAGATTTACGCCTGCAGCCTTGAACCTTAGTGTTAATTTATCTGGTTAATTTATCTAGCCAGTGTTAATTTATCTAGTTGCCTTCTTGGCTCTGCTTGTGTGTCTCATTGCCCTCACAGGCTAAATATGTCCAGAATTGAGTCATGATAGCAACTCCTTCCCTATCCCCCTTCTCTTCTCACAGAGTTCCCTATCTTTATAAGTGGCAATTCCAGTTTTTCACTTGCTCAGATCAGACACCTCAGCCTCACTTTTGTCCTCTCCATCTTGCCCATCTGACACCCAGTCTCTTTCACATGTTGACAAATCCAGTTAACCCTACCTTAAAATATACCCAGAATCCAACCACTTCTCACTGCCTCCACTTTTAACACTCTGGTACAAATCACTGTCATCTCTTGCTTGGATTATTGAACTTGGCCTCCTAACTGGTTGTTGTTATTGCCGTGTAACAGATTACTCCAAACCTTGTTTGTTGAAAACAAGTGTGTAGCTTCTTACTTGGTATTTCTGGCTCAGGGTCTCTAAGCACAATCAGGGTATTGGCCGAGGCTGCACTCATTTCAAGGCTAGACGCAAGGAGCATCTACTCACAAGGTCATTCACATGGCTGTTGGCAAACCTTAGGTCCTTTCTGGCTCTTGGCTGCAGAAATTATTTTCTTTTCAAATGGGCCTCTATATTGTGCTGCTCACAACATGATAGCTTGCTTCCCCTAGAACAAGAGGGAATGGGTCCAAGGGAGAGCTAAATAGCCCCCAAGACAGAAACTATCATCTTTCTATAACTTAAAAGTAGTATCCCACCTCTGTTGGTTAGAAGTCACTAAATCCAGCCTACACTCCAGGGGAGAGGATTATACAAGGGCTTGACTACCAGGAGGTGGGAGTTATTGGGGCCATCTTAGAGGCTGCTGACCACTCTGGTCTTTCTGCTTTTGCTGTTGCACGCTGCTACAGTCTCTTCTCAACACAGCAGCAAGAACGCAACTATTAAAGGACAGGTTAGATTGTGTCACTTCTCTGCTCAGAACCCTTCAGTGACTCTCATCTCACATGGAATGAAAACCAAAGTCTTCACTTTGACATGTGGGTCCCTACATGACATGGTCTTGTTGCCTCTCCAAGCTCATCTTGTGCTGCTTTCCCTGTTGTTCTTGCTGCACCAGCCGAACAGGCTTCTTACAGGTTCCTTCAGCAAACCTGGTAGCCCTGCTTCTGCCTCCAGTCCTCTGTGCTTCCTATTGCTTCTGCCAGGAATGCTCTTCCCCCAAAGGACTGCATGGCAGTCTCTCTCACTTCCTTCGGATATTTACCCATTGCCATCTCAGACCTTCCAAGGCCCTGAAATCCAAACCAACCCCTTCTTATTCAACACTTTGCATATCCCCTTCTCTTGCTGTATTTTTCTTTTTGGCACATCCTTCTATGTGCCATAGTATATGTTTTATGTCTTTATATTGTCTCTTTCTCCCATTAGAATGTAAGCTTATTGAAGATAAGGATCTTTGTTTTGTTTATTCCTTTATCTCCAGTGCCTGGAATACTGTAGATGCTCAGGAAATATTTGTTGAGTGAATCATTTGGCTGTAGCTAACTTCGTACTAACTGAACTGTTAGGGATATATTGAAGCAGTGTATTATAGAATGATTATGTTAAGTAGCCCTTTTCTTAATTGCCAGTGTTAATTGACTGACAGTAGTGCTAAGTTGAAATTTTTTTCCCTCTTTTTAAAATTTAATTTTAAAATATAGGCAGTGTGGCCCGGGCGCGGTGGTTCACGCCTATAATCCCAGCATGTTGGGAGGCCAAGGAGGGTGGATCACAAGGTCAGGAAATCAAGACCATCCTGGCCAACATGGTGAAACCTGGTCTCTACTAAAAATAACAACAATTAGCTGGGCCTGGTGGCGTGTGCCTGTAATCCCAGCTACTCCAGGGGCTGAGGCAGGAGAATCACTTGAACCAGGGGAGTCGGAGGTCGCAGTGAGCTGAGATCCCGCCACTGCACTCCAGCCTGGTGACAAAAGGCAACTCCGTCTCAAAAAATATATATAAATATATATATTTCTAAAAATATATATAAATATATATAAATATAAAAATATATAAATATACACACACATATAAATATATATTATATAACTATATAAATATATTTATATAACTATATATAATATATAGTTATATAACTATATAAAATATATAGTTATATAACTATATAAAATATATAGTTATGTAACTATATAAAATATATAGTTATGTAACTATATAAAATATATAGTTATGTAACTATATAAAATATATAGTTATGTAACTATATAAAATATATAGTTATGTAACTATATAAAATATATAGTTATGTAACTATATAAAATATATAGTTATGTAACTATATAAAATATATAGTTATGTAACTATATAAAATATATAGTTATGTAACTATATAAAATATATAGTTATGTAACTATATAAAATATATAGTTATGTAACTATAAAATATATAGTTATGTAACTATATAAATATATAGTTATGTAACTATATATAAATATAGTTATATAACTATAAATATATAAAAATATATAAATACATTTATATAAATATTTATAAATATATAAATACATTTATATAAATATTTATAAATATATAAATACATTTATATAAATATATAAAAATACATATATTTATAAATATATAAAATACATATATTTATAAATATATAAAAATACATATATAAATATATATAAATACATATATAAAATACATATATAAATATATAAAAATACATATATATAAATACATATATAAATATGTATATAAATACATATATAAATATAAATACATATATAAATATATATATAAATACACATATATATATGCAGTGTGGTTGTATCATTCAGATATTAAAGCACCCTGTCCCCAAATACCCTATTCTCTTCTCCCTTTGTCTTCCCCATAGGTAATCACTATTAGTACTTTCTTGTGTAAATTTGCGAAGTGTCTTTATACAAGTATATGAGACTGTATGTTCTTATCCCCATTCCTTCTTACAGAAACGTTAGCTTACTGAATGCTCTGTTCTGCATTTTTTCTTTTTTCCCTTCATGTATCCCAGAGGTCTTTCCTGAGAGGGATTTTGAGGCTACATCCAGGAGCAGCAAAAAAGATTGTCTCCCTTTATCTGTGATTTTTGCCTTTGTGCCAGAGGGAGCCAGGGCTTGCCACACATTTACCACCCTGGTGTTGAGGGAGGACAGCCCTGGGCTTTTTGCTAGCTTTTCCAAATCAGCAGTGACTAGTTCTGAGGCTTTGTCCAAGTTACTTAATTAACCCTGCAGACCTTCAGGGTCTTTACTGATTGAAGTGAGATTATTGGGGAAGATTAGTGATAATGTAAAGCACCTGACCCATAATAGCCATTCCCTATTATCTTTTAAAAGCAGTTTCATGAAATTTAGAGGTGAAGATTTAAAATTACGTTACAAAAATTATGGTGCTAGGTGTTTTCAGGTAATATCATCAGTGCTTCCTGATAAGTCTTTTTTTCCCCCGAAGTTGTTTCATGAGTAGCTAAGATTCTTTTTGCACATCGAGATAAGAAAACTGAGGCTCAGAGAGACACATAATATGCTCGTGAGACCCAGGATGGTTGGCCTGTGGACTCTTACTCTACTGAAGTCTAGGTCAAGGATAGGTAGGTTGGCAAAGGGTAACTGCACATCCGGTATCTATTCCTGGTTTGTTCCTGATTTAAACACCAGGGTTTTTGGTTTTGTTTTATTAAACTAGCCCCCAAATAAACAGATGCCAAAGTCATTGTGTTGGGAAATTGCTCATTAAGGACCCTGTTCCTTATTTCTTAGACCTAAAGATTTCAGACTGAAATCAGTCTTTGGAAACGAAAAACAAATGTATAATATCGTTGGTCAAACTAATGTTTCTTTCTCAATTCTTTGTGAATCTGAGCAAATAATTAGAACAGCTCATGGTTTTATAAACTTCACTTTTTAAAATGGTGTTAATAGGTTGTGTTCTGTATTGGGATTTGGATGTAATTATAAATTGATAATGGGATGTTCTTTCTTGATTGCTCTTCTCGTAAAAATAGAATAGTCTGTTTAGTAGACTCTTCTTACTTGACCTCAAGTCCCCTTGGAAGGGAGTTATCTATGCTTTTCCTATCTGTTGTGACACCTGGCAGAGTAGTTTGTAAATGTTGGCAAGTGATGTATACAGGTCTTTCTTAAGATTATCCAGGGAATTGCCCTTTTCCGGAATCTTACAGATTTTGTTGTTTGTTGTTTGAACTTTTTTCCTGATGTATAACGTATAGATGGAAAAGTGCACAGACGTAAGTATGCAACTCAGGCTGAGTGCAGTGGCTTATGCCTGTAATTCCAGCATTTTGGGAGGCTGAGGCAGGAGGATCACCTGAATCCAGGAGTTTGAGACCAGCCTGGGCAACATAGTAGGACCCCGTCTCTACAAAAAGAATTTTTTTAATTAGCTGGACATGGTTACATGCTCCTGTAGTCTGGGCTACTCAAGAGCCTCAGGTGGGAGGATCGCTTGTGCCCAGAAGGTTGGGGCTGCAGTGAGCTGTGATCGCACCACTGTACCCCAGCCTGTACACCCAGCCTGGGCAACACAGTGAGACTCTGTCTCAAAAAATTAAAAAATTTTTAAAAAGTGTACAACTCAATGAATCATCACAAATAGAACACACCCAGATGAGGAAACAGAACATTACCAGCGCCCCAGAAATCCTCTTTGTGGTCCTTTCTGGTCACCAGCGCCCCAGAAATCCTCTTTGTGGTCCTTTCTGGTCACCACCCACTATCAACAAGAGAAACCACTATCTTGACATCCAATATCATAAATTAATTTTGCCTGTTTTTGAACTTTATGTAAATGGAGTCATATAGTATCTACTGTTGTTTCTAGCTGCTTTTATGTAACCTTTTGTATATTATTGCATGTACTTTTAAGCCATTCATTCTCATGGCTAAACAGTATAACTGCAATTTGTTTATCCATTCTAGTATTGGTGAACCTTTTAGTTTCCAGTTCTTTTATAAATAGTACTATGGTGAGCATTTTTGTGTGTTTTGGTGAGCACATATTTGCATCTCTGTTGGGTACACCTAAGAGGGTAATTGCTGAGCCAGAGGGTATGCATATGTTCAGCATTAGCAGATACTGCCAAACTGTTTTCCAAAATGGTTATATTGGAGTACCCTCCCACCAGCAGTATGTGAGAATTCCATTTGTTCCATATCCTTGCCACACTTGATGTTTTCTGTCTTTTTAAATTTAACCATTCCAGTGTGTATGTGGAACCTTGTGTTTTTATAGGCCTTTTCCATATAATTTCCTTCAAAATAATGGAAAGTTGATACTTCACATGGACAGACACCTTGTCCACCCTCTTTATAGGAGACTACACAATGTAAAAGGCATAAGACAGGTTTTGGTATTCAGCAGGCTTTGGGTCCCCAAGCCTGGGCTTCCTCATTATGAAATATCATTTTGTTTTTGTTTTTTTTTTTGAAACAGAGTCTCACTCTGTCACCCAGGCTGGAGTGGAATGGCGTGATTCTCGTGCCTCAGCCTCCCGAATAGCTGGGATTACAGGCATGTGCCACCATGCCTGGTTAATTTTTGTATTTTTAGTAGAGACAGGGTTTCACCATATTGGCCAGGCTGGTCTCGAACTCCTGACCTCAAGTGATCTGCCCTCCTCTGTTTCCCAAAGTGCTGTGATTACAGGTGTGAGCCACTGCGTCTGGCCATGAAATGTCTTCCTTAAAAAACTGTTGTTACGTAAGGAATGTAGACTATGTAAAGTGGCCGGCCCAGTGCCTAGCATAGTGTACACAGTCAGCATATTCTAGCATTCTTTGTGCGATTGTTGGTATTTGGTAAGATACACATTTTTACTTCAATCATTTTAATATGGATCCATCTCTTTTTAAGTGTTTTCCTTGATTTATAAAGTATTGTTAGGAATCAAAAAAATCTTTGCATATAAATAGAGGAGATAATTAAAGGAGTATGACAATATCTAAAACATTCTTTTCTGGGTACCTTATTGTCAGGAATAAGGTCGTTGGAATACAGAGTCAGTTAAGAAGACAGCTTCACATAATTTTGAGCTGACCTTAACACTTGAAGGAAAATGTCCAAATTCTGGTAATTTAATATAAAGAGAGGCTCAAAGCTTTTTTTGTTTGTTTGTTTAGCAAAAAGTAGACTAAGATATAGTGGTTTCTGAAACATGTTTTTCCCCCACACCTTCCAATAACAGGAGTTTCCCCCAGTTCCTTCTAAAGGAGACATTGGTAATATCTGTTCCTAGCAAGTTGTTTTTTTTTCTTTTTTTGAGACAGAGTCTCGCTCTATTGCCCAGGCTGGAGTGCAGTGGCGCGATCTTGGGTCACTGCAAGCTCCGCCTCCCGGGTTCGTGCCATTCTCCTGCCTCAGCCTCCCGAATAGCTGGGACTACAGGCGCCCGCAACCACGCCTGGCTAATTTTTTGTATTTTTAGTAGAGACGGGGCTTCACTGTGTTAGCCAGGATGGTCTGGATCTCCTGACCTTGTGATCTGCCCGCCTCGGCCTCCCAAAGTGCTGGGATTACAGGTGTGAGCCACTGTGTCCGCCCCCCTAGCAAGTTTTAATAAAGGAAATGATGCTTCAGTAGCATAGAGTCAATTTGGGAAATTAATTTCCTTAGGATATCATTGGAAGAAAAAGGTATACTTTTTAGAGGAAAGTAGGAATTGAAAGATTGTTACTAACTCTTTAAGTTGTGATGTGAATAAAAATGATGTGCTTTGAAACAAAAATGAGACCCCTGGCTACGAATCCTCACGTCGCAGTTTTTGCATCTGCTCAGCATGAGGAAGAACTTCCCTATTGAGGCTTGCATGACAGCATGCAGGATTTGAGCAGTTTGGGGAATCTATGATGTACCTTAGCCAACTTTTAAAACAACATTTAAAGGTAAATTTAACCTGAGTGTAGTCTAGTGGCTGCTTTGTGGTATTAGACATAGTCTATGAACAATCCCTTAATGTATTGTCTGGAACATGACTCAGCAGGAAATCTCACTAGGGAAGCTAAACTATGGCTTAATAAGTATAGATAATGATGGTAACATTCCACACTATGATATGTAAACAGTGTATGTTGAACATAGTCTCTAATTTTGATAACTCTTAATACCATATTCCATCACTTCTCAGTCATGCATCTGTTTTACATCTCAACATCTCTCAAATCAGGATATGTCTTAAATTCAGCAGTATATCATTAACAGCATTTTAAAATTTCTTATTGATACATAACAGTGTTTTACAATAGGTGGACTATTAGATGAAATGAAATATAGTAGAATATGAACTAACAGTTTGAAAACTGCAGACCATAGGATTCTGAGCTGTATTTTGTGGCTCCCTGGCAGTTTCCTTGGGGATGGACCCAGTTCACCTGTTAGGGGTTTGAGTAGGAGTTCAGGTATAGAAAGTGCTCTGCTGCTCTTTCAAAAAGATTTTTTAAAAACCTCATCTCAACAGGCCCTTGTCTGATCTTGTGCGCTTTTCTGACAGTAGAGGAATGTAGACCCACTCTGCTGCTCTTCCCCATCCTGCACCCAAACACAACCTGTCAGTGGTGTATACCCTTCCAGTTTCTCCCAGGGGCTTACATGCACATCTGTATATCTTATCGATTTATTATCTCAAATAGTATCATTTTATATATTAGTTCCTATAATTTTGCATTATGTTTTTTGTTTTACATATTTTACAACTTCTCCTAGGTTAATACACATAGGTGTCTGTCGTTTTTTAGTAGTTCTAATAGTGTTCCAGCCTATGTGTGGCCCAAGTATTCCTCTCATTTTGTCCATGGTCACACAATCTTAGTAGGGTTAATAAGGTCACACAGTTAATAGCTGGGTTGCATTTAGGACCCTAGTCCTCTCTGGTCCCTGGTTGGTGTTTTTTTCCCAGTAGTACTGGACTTTTGCCTACAACTTTTAAAGCTAACTATTGTAAATTAATCACCGTGTTTCCATTTTGCTTACATAAAGCCAAAACATTCCACTTAGAAATTAAATTCTTTTCCGTCTGCAGTATCATCATATTTTCTTACTACCCTATATTCATTTTGCTAGGAGTGCTAGTTGCATTCCTTTTTTTTCTTTTTCTCCCCCACCTTTGAGATAGGGTCTCTGTCACCCAGGTTGGAATGCGGTGGCGCAATCTCAGCTCACTGCAACTTCCGCTTCCCGGGCTCAAGCGATCCTCTCGCTTCAGCCTCCCAAGTATTATAGCTGGGACTACAGGCGCGTTCTGCCACACCCAGCTAATTTTTGTTTTTGTTTTTTGTAGAGACGGGGTTTCGCCATGTCACACAGGCTGTTCTTGAACTCCTGGACTCAAGTGATCCGCCTGCCTCAGCCTCCCAAAGTGCTGAGATTATAGGCATGAGCCACCACGCCCTGCCTGCATTTCGTTTTTTTCTAACTAGAATGTGCTTTCCTTGGGAAAAGAGTTTTATGCATCCCTGAATACACTTTGTACAATAGTAGGTGCTTAATACAAGTTTGCGGTTCCCTCCTGCCACTTTCGGTCCCCATCCTGTCCTGGAATGGCTGTCTTGGGAACACCATCTACTCTGACGAGACTTTTCTCAGTTTGTGCTCCCAGAGGCTGCTGTTTTTCCACATATCTGTCTCCAGACTCCTGGGTGAGCTGCTTGTTTTCTTCTAAAAGAAGAAACCCTGTTGTCTTCCCTGCTCTTTTGGTCTCTGGCTCCCTGCTCCTGTCATCTTGTCCTGTCGTCCTTGCTATGGCTCCGCCAAGCCCCAGTGCAGAGAACCCCAGAGATTGGTGGCTTTCCCAGCCCTCAGGCAGTCCCTGGCTGTGGAATTCCAGCTAAATATTTGCCGGTTCCTCTGTTCAGGAATGTGCACGTACACATCCTCTTGTGGATAATTGACTTTATGTGCGGGGAAATAGCGGCTTGGTCAAGGGCAACTGAAGGATAGGTACCTTTGAAAACAAGAGCATTAGGCAAAATTAATTTAAATGGAAATTTGAAGGCTGATACCCAGCTACTGTTTAAATGGATAATTTTAAAAATTAGGTTTTTAGCACTGGAAAATATTTCTCAAGGCTGCTCATGTATATTTAGCTACAACAACTGTGTCCTTGCAAAAATGCTTTAGTGCTGTTCTCCTTTTCATTTCCTTGTTTATTCTCCTTGACTAGGTTTCTGGAATTAACAGGCTTAGTGCTGTGTCCTGTAAAAAGACTGTGGAATCTCCAGCTTTTGGATAGCTCTGTTTTAGAAAGGTGGCTGTCTTAGAGAACAGTCCTTAATATAGTGTTAATAGGAAGACTCAGAATGAGTCCAGAAGTATAAAATGCCCTGGCTGGGGGGCTTGGTGGGGGCTTCCATCAAACAAGGAATGTGTATTCATTGTAGAAAAATGAAATGAGACTTTCAGCCTGCACAAAGTGAAATACTTTAGGTCATATTTCTGAGGTGTCCATATCTGTCTGTTGTTGTGGAGCGTAGGATTTGCTCCTGTGTTCGTTGTGGTGGTTTCTTTTTGTTTATAAAGTGATAACAGCTAGTGTTTATTGACCATATCTTGGACACTGTGTTGAAGTCTTCCACTTATTCCTCACAACAGTGCTGTGAGGTAGGGATTCATACCGTTTTTCTCCCCATTTAATCTTCATCCCAATCCTATGTGGTGGATACCATTACCACCCCCACTTTACAGCTAAGGAAACTGAGGCTTAAAGGCAGCAGTATGCTCCAGGTCACATTGTTGTAAGTAGTGGATCCAGGATTTCCAGCTACTACTGCTACTGCTGCTGCTGCTGCTGCTGCTGCTGCTGCTGGTGCTGCTGCTGCTGCTGGTGCTGCTGCTGCTACCACTACTACTACTACTACCACTACTACTACTCTCTACTGTTCTGTGATGAATGTTTTTGGAGAGTTGCCCTGGGCAGCCCTGGCAGGCAGGATAGAGCAGTAGCAAAGAGTACAGAGTGTGGTGCCAGACTGTGGATTCAAGCCACAGCTCCACTGCTTCCTACTGAAGTGAACTTGGGCAAATTGCTTCGCGTCTCTGTGTGCCTTTGTGTCTTCACCTGTAAGATGGATAAATAAATAAAAGTACCTACTTCATAGGGTTGTGGAGTTAATAACATGGAAATTCAAATAGTGTTGGCACATAGTAAGTGCTCATTAATAGCTGTTGTTATTATTGTAACCCAGTGGTTTTTTAAATTAAATCTGTGTTTCAGGTAGGAATGCTTTCAGCTGTGACAGGTGGAAACCTTGAGCTTTAGTAGCTTGAATAGGGGTATATATTTCTCACCTACCAAGATGTCTGCAGGTGTGGAGAGTGTTGATGTTAATCCAGTTGTTCTGCAGTGCCGTCAGGGACCCAACACCTTTCTGTCCTGGTACACTACCTTCTCTAGCACATCCATCTACTTTAGGTTCACAAGATGGCTGCAGGAGCTCTAGACATTATATTTGCATTCAAGGCAGAAAGAAGGGGAGAGAGCTGAAAAGCCATGACAGGCCCCCCGCCTCAACCCTCCAATCAGTAAAAGCAGAAGCTGTCCCCAAGTATACTAGCAGGCTTGTGTTTCCATCTCATTGGCTAGAACTAGGGTGTGCCATTCCTTGATGTAGTAGAGTCTGGAAAAGGGTATATTCAGTGGTGTATAGGGATCAACACATGAGGACCTGTTGTTAAATTTTCAAGGAATTTGCGGTCTAGTTGATATCACCTTGAATAGCTTGAAATCTGCCATGGTGGGAGAATTTAAACCGCAGACACCAGCAATGCTACCCATCGTCCCTTTTCCCAAGAGCTGGCTGTTAAGAAACATTTACCAGCACACTATTGGGTACATTTATTCGGTTGGTGCAAAAGTGATTGCCGTTGAAAGTAATGGCAAAACCTGCAATCACTTTTGCATCAACCTAATAACTCGAAATGCCAGCTTGAAAGGTGGCAGAGTGTAAAGATGTGAGAAGTAGGAATTGGGAGTGATCATTGTGCCAGCCAGCAGCATCTACCCAGATCAGTGAACTGTTTAAGCTCTTTTAATACCAGTGATAGCTGGAGATCAGAGCTGAGGGGACCTCTCAAGATCACCTAGGATAGCCCCTTCATTTGACTAATGGGAATCTGAGGAGGTGCTTTGCTTCAGAAGCCAAAGCCAGGGAGTGAAGTGGCCCTCCTGGAACCCAGGCATCCTTGACACTCCAGTGTTCATTCTCCAGAACCAGGGGCTTCAGACTGCCTTTCTGATAACTTCTCTCCCCTCTCTCCCCCTCTCCTGGTGCATGCCCACTGTACTCTTCCTTTTACCAGCTTCATAGTGCTGGGAAGCTTGGCTGTTATCTTCCCCATTGGTTTCACAGAAAACCTAGTTTAAACTTTGATTTATTTTAGATTTTAGTGTATGGAACATTCAGCTTTTTTTTATAAATGAGATAAGCTTAAAGAATTTGATCTCTGCTATGCTACAGTACAAACTAGTCAGTGGGAACTTAAGAATTTACCTAATTTTGATCTGTATTTCTTTACAGAAGAAATAAGCTTGGCTAAAGATGAATATTCTTTCTTTAAAAAGACTGAAACTTTTTTCATACACAGTCATACATTGCATATGTGATGGTGGCTGGCTTCATAAGATTATACCGTATTTTTATGTGCCTTTTCTATATTTAGTTATATTTAAATATATACATACTTACCATTGTGTTACAGTTGCCTACAGTATCCAGTATAGTAATATGTTGTACAGGTATGTAGCCTAGGAGCAATAGGCTGTGCATACAACGTAGGTGTGGAGTAGGCTAAACCGTCTAGTGTGTGTAAGTATACTTTATGAAGTCCACACAATGACGAAATCTCCTAATGATGCATTTCTCAGAACCTATCCTATTTTTAAGTAATATATGACTGTATTTTTATTGCACTCTCCTCTTCAGATTGTAAGCTCTTTGGGGACAGGCTTCGCAGGCTGGGTTGTTTTTGTTCTTAGGGAGATGGATATATGTACAGCTGTGTATGTGGCAGGCACTTAGCAAATATTTACTGAATGAATGTCCAACTTGCCCTGGTCTCACATCTTCAGATAACAGAAAAGTAATCAGCAGCTGTTGTCTTAGTGTGGATTCTAGTGTGGAAATGTCTGAATCAGGTGTTTGACTCTATAAACTGCTTTCCCTCAACTGCCTGATATGATTGATGAAAAAGAGGCCCACTGATAAAAATAATGGCCTCACTAGTGTGAAGACATGGGAAGGGAGGATGAGGTAGAGAGGGGGCTTGAGATTCAAACAGAATGTTGGAAAGATGTACATTTCCAGAAAAAGTCATTGAGGTATTGATAGGGTTTATGCAGCCCCTCACTCTTTTTTAGTTAATCCAATCTCATGCCTGCTCTCTTCTCATGTGTTCATAGTAAAAGTTGCATGTTATTGAAATCCCTAAAATCATCACTTTGAGGAATTCTTAACTAGGAAACAGACTTTTCACAGCTCTGTTAAAGACAAGAATATGTTTATGATGTGATTTGATTTCTTCACATGACTGAATACTGTCCCTAACTGATTCTGAATGTGTATTTATCCACAGCCAAGCTACATCAGTGATGTGGGACCCCCTGGTCGAAGCTCTCTGGATAACATCGAGATGGCCTATGCGCGGCAAGTGAGTGTGATTTTAAGGGGGATTAAGCCAGGAAAATCCTTTGTGAACCTCTAGGGAGTAAAAGGAAACAAAAACTTGTAAAAGTCAAACCCTGAAAGCAAGTTGTATTTTTTCATTTAGAGAACTAGTTAATATTTTAGCATAGGCCACTGGAGAATTCTATCAAATAGGGTAATAGAATTACTCACATTTGATTTGAGGAAATTGAAATCTGTCCTTTACACTGACCATGGCATCTCAGTATGCATTTTTGGCAATAGTCCCATGTACAGTAAAGCTTCAGGTAACTGCGCTGCTTAGCAAATGGAGTTCCATATTAACTGAATTACCTGGTAGGCTGTTGGTATTAACAAATCCTTTTTTCACTCTTTGTTGAAAGAAATTTTCTAAATGCTTTTTTGTCTTAATAAGCATAGTGTATTCACTACTTAATACCACTGTTGTCCTAGAAAAGCTCATAATATTTTAGGGGTCATCCTTCTGGTTGTAGATGAGGACCGCCCAATAGTATGGATATGGACTGAGATGCTTTGTGGTAAGCACAGGAATTCTGTTGGACTGAAACCACCCTGAGGACCATACATAGCTGGAATTGACTTTTTAAATAAAGCAGTGCCAGCCAACTTTGTGCTTTATTGTAATTTGCTGCTTTCTCCCACAAAGTACAAAGAAGGAAAAATATCCTGTTTCTTGAATTGAGGGCAGTGGGCCTCCATCCCCTTAAGATTATCCTCCACCAGCAGTGGTCCAGGAATATCTGCTCAGCCATTACCACCTCCCAGATTCTTTGAGGGGGGACCCAGGGGTCCCACTTGTGGCCCTCAACATTATCCACCTCATCCTCCTCCAGCCTGGAGTAGGGTGGTTGGAGACAAAAACAGGGCAGCTATGGAGGTGAGCAGGGGACAGTGAGAAACTGTTAGACCCTGTGCTCTTTAACCAAGGGGTCTGTCTTCAGCTGCCAGTTATTTAGTCAGTGGCATTCCACATGAATTGAATTACCTGGTTAGCTGATGGTATTATCAGAAGTCCCTCTTTTACCCTTTGTTGAGAGAAATTTTCTAAATGTCTTTTTGAAAGTCTCTCTCTTTGGGGTGCCATTGCCACGTCAGACTCCAGGCAGCTGAAACCCCCAGCTTCATCACCTTCCCACACATGAGATCCCTTCCTTCCAACCCCTTTATGTTTTGCCACTGGCCTTCATTTATTTCCTCCTGCTCCAATTTTATACCTCTCTCTTTTTACTCCCCCTGTGCATCTGTATTCTTTACCCTTCACCTTCATTATATGGCTGACTCCTCTATTGCCATGGAGAGAAGCCTGATGAAATACAGGCTTCTGAGAAGAGAGACTATGTGTCTTCTACACCTGCAAAGACTAAAGATGTCATTAAACTAACATTTCATAGCACATACAACACCGTAATATTGTGTCTGTTTACACGGCTGTCCTCTCCACTAAAGAGTGAAGCTTTATATCCCATGTTGAACAGTACCTTGCAAAGGAAGGCCTGTAAGAAATGCTCATTGAGTGAATAAGTACTACGTCATGGTTTAAAACCATTTTATTGATTGGTTGGATGATTGATTGAGACGAAGTCTTGCTCTTTCACCCAGGCTGGAGTGCAGTGGTGCGATCTCAGCTCACTGAAGCCTCCACCTCTGCCTCCCAGATTCAAGTGATTCTCCTGCCTCAGCCTCCCAAGTAGCTGGGATTATAGGCATGCACCACCACACCAGGCTAATTTTTGTATTTTTAATACAGACCAGGGTTTCACCATGTTGGCTAGGCTGGTCTTGAACTTCTGACCTCAGGTGATCCACCTGCCTTGGCCTCCCAAAGTGCTGGGATTAAAGGCTTCAGCCACTGCACCCAGCGAAACCGTTTAATCTTCATAACAGCCCTGGAAGATGAATGATACTGATGTTCCCCCATTTAATGTAGAGGAAACTACAGTTCAACAGGGTCATGATTTGTCTAACATCACTACTATGGGAGAGCAAAGACTTCATATACAAAGTAGAATCTTCCACAAGAAGATTTAGAGCTTAACTAGTTAAGATTTAGAACTAGTTAAGCTCTAAATCTTAACTAGTGAAGTCCTGTTTCACTTCCCTACCAGGACTTAACTAGTTCTAAATCTAGAAGAGTGAATTTACGATTTCTACTATCATCATTTTAGCTCCTTGAAAATAAAATCTAAAGTAAGAGTGGCTTTCCCATACCTTAAATATCACATAGTTCATTTTCCTTAAGAAAATTTTACCTGAAGAACAGAGATTCTTTCCAGGAGAAATGGATATTCCACATGTGCCACACCTGCTATTCTAACACTTGTGGAGGGAGGCAGTGCCCAACATTCCCCACTCCATCCATGAACCCTATACCAGGGCCATTCAGTCCTTTTGAAAGAATTGAGTCCTTTGCCTTGGTTATTAGGAAGCAGCAGCCAGAGCCCTTCCATTCTCCTGTCTTCCCCTGGGTGCTTCCTCACTAGGACAGAGGCACAGACCTGCCTGTGGTTCTTCTCCCCCTGGACCCCGCTGCTCCCGTTCCTCAGGTGTTTGGAAGGTGGGGTGGCAGTTAGCTTTGGTGTGTTACCCACAACCCCAACGCAACTGGGGAGCTGGCCAGTGTGGATGGCTCAGCCACTCCGAGGAAGGAAAGGTTGGCCGAAGCTTCTGCCGGCCATTGCCTGCTTCAGGAGGTTTAAAAAGAAGAGAAAATAGATACTTTGCCATTTACTTTGCTTTTTATCATTTCAGATTTATATCTATAATGAGAAAATTGTAAATGGACACCTGCAGCCTAACCTGGTGGACCTTTGTGCTTCCGTCGCAGAGCTCGATGATAAGGTAGCACCTAGAGCTAACTCAAGTAGAAACCGGGGTCCAGTGTTCCGATGGGCCTAGCAACTTGCCGATTTGGTTGAAATGTGCTGCGGAGACACGCCATTCTGTGGAATGAAATGTTAACTGTTCTTCAGTTTTATTTTAAATAACTTTGGGTGGTTTTCTTGATGATGAATTTTTAAAAATGCATCTTCAAAAGGCCCTGCCAGTATCAATTGATAGTCACAAGAGTTCTCTTCAAGCCGTATTTGCTTTGAAGTCCCATCAGGCTTTTACTCCCCACTCACCAGTTTCCCTCCTTACACAATCTAGTAGGCTCCTTAATGAGAGCAGAATTGTTAAGGTGATGGCTTTTTACACCTGTGAGCCCTCGAACTTGACTCGGTGGGGCCTTTGTGAGCATTCTTTATATACCACTGGTTCTGTTCCTCTGACACACACATATACTGCCTTTATTTGTTCTCCTGCCTCACCCTTTATTCCTGGCCAGTTTTCTCCCATAAGGGGCAAAAAAAAAAAAAAAAAAGGGGGATGGATGACTACTTGGTGGGTGGCTAGGAGGAAGGAAGAAGGGAGGGAAGGCTATTATGGAAGCAAGCACCCATACACAGATTTTTTTTGTCTTTTTAAAAATTGCTCAGCCCGTTGTGGTGGCTCACATCTGTAACCCTAGCACGTTTTGAGGCTGAGGTGGGTGGATTGCTTGCACCCAGGAGTTCAAGACCAGCTTGGGCAACATGGCAAGACCTCTTCTCTACAAAAAATAGAAAAATTAACCAGGTGTGGTGGCATGCACCTGTAGTCCCAGCTACTCGAGAGGCTGAGGTGGGAGGATTGCCTGAGTCCGGGGGGGCCCAGGCTGCAGTGAGCCATGATCATGCCAGTGTATTCCAGCCTGGGTGACAAAGAGTGAGGCCCTGTCTCAAAAAAAAAAAAAAAAGTAACTTTTTCTTTTCTTTCTTTCTTTTCTTTTCTTTTTTTTTTTTTGAGTTGAAGTTTCACTGTTGTTGCCCAGGCTGAAGTGCAATAATGAGATCTGGGCTCACTGCAACCTCCACCTCCTGGGTTCAAGCGATTCTCCTACCTCGGCCTCCCGAGTAGCTGGGACTACAGGCACCTGCCACCATGCCTGGTTAATTTTTTTTGTATTTTTGGTAGAGACGGGGTTTCACCATGTTGGCCAGGATGGTCTCAAGCTTAATTTTTTTAAATACTAAAATATAAGACAATGTAAACAGATCTAAAGAAGAAAGTCAGGTTTCACCAATCATTCCACCACTTAGGAAGAGTCACATTTGTCTGGACATTCTAAAATTTTAATTTTTGAGACAGACCATGAAAACAGGCTTTTCTCTTTTGCTTTGGAACAAGTATAAACCTGCTTTTTCTCCAATCAGTGCTATCCTGCAAGGACTCATACATTTAAAGTATTGCCAAGGGTTCAGGGAACACGTTGTTTTTAAGGAGCCATTTACAGGCAGAAGGATTCTGGGGAGAGGGAGTCCCAGCTGTGTGGTGGTAACACAGAGGAAAGAACACCCGCTCCTTTCCTGGGAGGCGTCTTTTGAAGGGAGTGAGTGGGAAGGAAAATGGGAGGCTGTGACGCTCACCAAGTAACGTAAGAGCGGTGGCCCCTGGAGCGTCTCTGGGAGGACAAAAACCTGTATTATTATGTTAAAGTCTTATTTTAAGCCTTTAGAAACTCAGATAACCTTGTAAGGACTGAAATGCAGCTCTTTGAGTTTAAACTTCTAGAACTTTGGATGATTATAAATGGATTCCTTGTCTCTGAAGGGATAACCCACTGAGATTCAGTGTTCTCGTGACTTGTATGTGGTTTTAATTATGTACGTGGTTATGTCAGACCTGGAATAGTAATTGATCTGAAAACCAACTCAGGGCAGGGGCAGGGGTGCTCATCGGTGGATGGAACTCTGAAGTCTGGCCAGCAGAGACGCATCTTCTGCACTGAGCTTAAGCCTAGCCGTCACAGACAGATGACATTAACCTCATCCCCCACCACATTCTGCCCCCTTTGGAGGTCAGAGTGCCACAAAGAACTAGATAATTTCTCTGGCCCTGCAGCATTGTCACATGCAGTTTCATTTATGTGCAGAGCATTTCCGACATGTGGACCATGGTAAAACAAATGACAGACGTGTTGTTGACACCGGCAACGGATGCCCTGAAGAACCGCAGCAGCGTGGAAGTGCGCATGGAGTTTGTCAGGCAGGCCTTGGCGTACCTTGAGCAGAGGTAAGGCAGCAGTAGCACAGTGGGGCTGGCTTTCACATCCTTTGCAGTCAACTGTTTCTCAGATCTTAAGTTGTCCTCAGGCTAGGTGTGCTGTAGGTATAATTTAAGATTTATTATGTTAAATTGAACAAGGTTCAGAGTTGTAATCCTGTTTCAGAAATCCTGTTTCACTTCCCTACCAGGACTGTTTCTGCAGTGGTATAAAAATCACACGTCAAAAAATCATGGTAAATGAGCACTGTTCGAATTCCCTTTTTCTTTCTCCACACTCTCTTAATACGTAAGGCCGTAGTGCCTTAGGTCATAATCTTTTTCTAATGTGGTTCAGCCATTACTCCTTAGGCTCTTTTCTCTCCACATTTTAATTTTACTCCCAGGCATGTTACTACCTTCAAACCCTAGGAAAACTCGTTTCCCCTTATTTTTGTTCTGACTCTACTTGGTTAATTCCCATAAGTCAGGGTCATTCTGAGCTGATAATGCCTGTGATTTATGCCTGGGTTTCTTTGCCACCTCCTCACCAATCAGAGCTGGTCACTGAGGGGTTTGTGGCAGTGCCTTTGTGCCCGAAGTATTGTTCCCTTCGTTAGTAGGACCCATGCCATCATCCCTCCCTGTGGACACTCCTTCCAACTCTGAATTGGCCAGCAGGGGTTGTCATGAGTGTGCAATAGAATCTCTTTATTTTAGAGACAGGGTGCTGGGCCCCTCCCTGCTGGCCTGAGAAGAGAAAGCCAAGTTGAATACACTTGCTAAATTGCAGGCCTTTGCCACTCAGCCTCTGCACCTGCCAGCAGCCTTGCAGTAAGATTGCCTTTTGTCAATAAAACGATACTTCATTAGGAAGTCAGAAGATTTCCTTGTATGTTACTGAGGTAATTCAAACTTGGTACAGCAGAGAATAGGTTTTTATACCAAATACTGTATTAATTACATGAGAGCTACTGAAATGAACACCATCAGACACATTACATTCACTAGCTTCCATTCCCTGGTTAAGAAAAATCTGGAGCTCAAAATGGATTTTTATTCTCCTAGTATAGGAATAAAGGGTTTATAAAATAATTCATCCAAGCGTTAGCTGAATTTTTGTGTTTAAGTTTTGGGTTTATCAATCTTCAGCCATAAAGAACCTACATACATAGTAGCATTTATTTGTTACCAGTCAGCAAAATGAGTCAGAATTTCTTATACTATATAAAAACTTCCCAGGAATTTTTTTTTTTTTGTAAGACAGTCTGGCTCTGTCACCCATGCTGGAGTGCAGTGGCATAATCTGGGCTCGCTGCAACGTCTGCCTCCCAGGCTCAAGCAGTCCTCCCACCTCAGCCTCCTGAGGTGTGTGCTACCATACCCAGCTTTTTTTTTTTTTTTTTTTTTTTGAGATGGAGTTTCGCTCTTGTTGCCCAGGCTGTAATGTAATGGTGTGATCTTGGCTCTGTGCAACCTCTGCCTCCCGGGTTCAGGCGATTCTCCTGCCTCAGCCTCCTGAATAGCATGGTTGCCTATCACCATGCCTGGCTAATTTTTGTATTTTTAGTAGAGATGGAGTTTCACCATGTTGGCCAGGCTGGTCTTGAACTCCTGACCTCAGGTGATCCACTGGGCTCAGCTTCCCAAAGTGCTGGGATTACAGGCGTAAGCCACCGTGCCTGGCCTAGGATTTTTTTTAATTTTTATTTTTTTTCAATGAGTGTAAGTGTATGACTGCTCATGACTACTTTTTTCTTGATCACCCTAATCCTTAACATTGGTCCTTGACTTCACCAATGGTACTGGGCTGCTTTCCTTGGTTTTAAATTGCTGGTAAGCCAGTCCATTTCTTTTAGTCTTTTCGTTTAGTTTTAAAAATTATCTTGTTCCATTAATTTCTTTAATGGTGCTTCTTGGAGCTATTTGGGAATTTCCTGTTCATAATTGTAATCTTAAGTTTATTTTTCACTCTAGTGGCATCACTCTCTCATGGCATCTTTTGTGAGCATTCATTGTCACCTTTGATAAAGGGGGTATTTTAGAATAATTATACTGAGTTTTAAAATATTTTTCTCTGCTGCTGATTCACTGACAGTATGCATATAATAGTTCAAGTGATGTAATGCACCAGATGGCAAAGTAGACCAGGCCCAAATAATTTTTCAATTACAGGGCTGAAATGTTGTGAAAATATAGGATTGGTCTGTCTCTTCCCTGCCACATTCCAAGATTTGAGGCATGATATATATTTCTTAGCCCTCAAGGAATTTAGACTTCTTCAGCTTAGGCCCTTGTCAGCACATGAACTGTCTTAATTCAAATTGGAAGAGACCATAGTGGGCATCTGTTTGTCCTGGCTGCTACAGAACTCCTCAATTTCTTATCCAACCTCTGCTTATAAATACTTCCAGGCCGGGCGCAGTGGCTCACACCTGTAATCCCAACACTTCGGGTGGCCAAGGTGGGTGGATCACCTGAGGTCAGGAGTTCAAGACCAGCCTGGCCAACATCGTGAAACCCCGGTTATACTAAAAATACAAAAATTAGCTGGGTGTGGTGGTGTGCACCTGGCGCAAGTCCCAGCTACTTGGGAGACTGAGACAGGAGAATCACTTGAACCTGGGAGGCAGAGGTTGCAGTGAGCCGAGATCGTGCCACTGCACTCCAGTCTGGGCAACAAAGCAAGACTCCGTCTAAAAAAAAAAAAAAAAAACAACTTCCAATGATGGGGAACTCATTAACATTTGTTAAATTTTGTTTGTTTTTCATTATAAAAATGATACATCCTTATTATAGAAACTTTGGAAGATGCTAAAAATAAGACGTGAAAAAGGAGGGGAGGACCCGTATACCATCTAGAGGCTCCTATTACCTTGTTGTATTTCTTTTTTCCCCCCGTTCTTGACGTGTATTTTTTTTCATAACTGCATAAAATTTCATTGAGTCGGCTGGGTGCAGCGTCTCACGTCTGTAATCCCAGCACTTTGAGAGGCCGAGGCGGGCAGATCACGAGGTCAAGAGATTGAGACCATCCTGGCCAACATGGTGAAACCCCTTCTCTACTAAAAATACAAAAATTAGCCAGGCATGATGGTGCACACCTGTAGTCCCAGCTACTCAGGAGGCTGAGTCAGGAGAATTGCTTGAACCCGGTGGGCAGAGGTTGCAGTGAGCCGAGGTGGCGCCTCTGTACTCCAACCTGGGGATGGAATGAGACTCCGTCTCAAAAAAAAAAAAAAAAAAAAAAAAATTTTGTTGAGTCTGTTTCCTGTTATTAAGATTTAGGTTGTTTTACTCTCTCTGTTGTTTTATTTAACCTGGTGTTGAACACCTGACTTTTTGAGGTAGTCTCTTGTTTTTGACAAGAACATATTATATTTAGAAAGTTATTACATTAACCACATATTTGGGTATCTGTGAATTGGACTATTTAATCTTGGTATGGAAACACTTAAAACCACTGCAGAGGATTTTAAGAAGCATGCTAGCAAATAAATGGAGAGGGAATGGTAGAAAAATCATCATTTTGCGACCACCAGTGTAATAACTGGTGCGGCAAGGACCATCAATGGAAAGTAAAACCGTTGAGTAAAAGATTGTTGGTGAATAGAATACTTGCATGACTTCCATGTATTGCCCCACAGACTACTTATTAAGTACAAAGAGAATAATAAATTGTAACGGAGAAATCTGGTGGACATCTTTCAAGCAAGTGAATCATATCTAGTGTTACCAATAAAGAAGCAAACCTACTACCTACTTCATTGTGGGATTCAGTGGGAAGTGCCAGCATTAGCTATGTAGGGCTACTGGCAAAAAAATTGAACCTGAATCAAATAATGATCCAGCTTACAAGATATTCTACCAGACAGCTGGACTGGACTCTATAAATAAAAGGTTAGTGTCCAGCTGAGCATGGTGGCATGTACCTCTAGCACCAGCTACTCAGGAGATTGAGGGGGGAAGATTGCTTGAGCCCAGGAGTTCGAGGCAGTAGAGTGCTTTAAAGGCACTTGTGGGCCAGCCATGGTGGCTCATGCCTGTAATCCCAGCACTTTGGGAGGCCAAGGCGGGAGGATCACTTGAGGTCAGGAGTTCGAGACCAGCCTGGCCAAAATGGTGAAACCCCATCTCTACTAAAAACACGAAAATTAGCTGGGCGTGGTGGCCCACGCCTGTAATCCCAGCTGCTTGGGAGGCTGAGACAAGAGAAATGCTTGAAAACCCAGGAGGCAGAGGTTGCAGTGAGCCAAGATCATGCCACTGCACTTCAGCCTGGGCGACTAGAGTGAGAATCCATCTCAAAAAAAAATAAGGGCACTTGTTAATAGGCACTGCATCCCAGCCTGGGAACCACAACAAGACCCTGCCTCTTAAAAAAAAAAAAAAAAAAAAGATCATTGTCATGAAAGACAAAAATAGTGGTAGAATTAATGGAATTATCTTAGATTAAGGGAAAGTGGCTTGACAATTATATTTTCTTGATGAGATTCTGGATTTAAAAACTGTAAAGGACACTATTAAGAAATGTGGGTTATATTTTTGATAATAATAAATTAATGTTAAGTTTCTTGGTATCATAATGATACTGAGGTTAGGCAGGAGAAGGTCCTAGTTCTTCAGAGCCATATGGTATTTATGGATAAAGTAGCCCCTGATTTTTATAACATATTTTCAAGGGGTTTGAGGGGAGAAAAATGTTATGTGTATGTGTAGAGAGAAAACATAAAGAAATGTTAAAAATTGGTGAATCTAGGTAAAAGGTTATGTGCATTCATTGAACTATTCTTTTAATTTTTTGTAGGTTTGAAAGTGTTCAAAATAAAAAGTTTAACAAGAACCAACCAGAACATTAGGCTGTGAGCTGGAGCAATTATTATTCTGTATATCCACCCTTAATGTATTTGAAGTCCACAGTTGTGTTCCTCCAGGGATTCTTTTGAGTTTCCTCAGTGATGAGAAATCTACTGTGATCCACAGCCCACTGAGTAATAATGTAGTTTGCTTCATTAAGCATGTACTATTTCCTCTTCTGCATTGAGCTTGAAGTCTAGGCCCTGCCCTTCCAAGCTACAGTGTAATGTCATGGATATGGGCATAGAGATGTGTAATAAATGTTTTCAGTCTTCCCTGTTTTTTCCTTTAAAATTTTTCCAGTTATAAGAATTACACCCTTGTGACTGTCTTTGGAAATTTGCATCAGGCCCAGCTGGGCGGGGTGCCTGGGACTTACCAATTGGTTCGAAGTTTCCTGAACATTAAACTGCCAGCTCCCTTGCCTGGACTACAGGTACTGACAACTTTCTCTGTGTGATCAGTTACACCCCCAGAGCAGTTGCCCTCAGATGGGCATTTTCAGTTAAAATGAGGGTATCTGTGGAGACTACTGTGTGGAGATGGGACCAGAGAGGGGTGAGGACAGAAGGTAAAGACCTCTTAGGAGGCTGATAGTACAGAAGTCCAGGTGATGGTGGACTCAGCTCCGGGTGGAGAAGAGTGCATGGAGAAGATGTCATTGGGTTCTGGACATGTTTTGAAAGCTGAGCCAATAGGACTTGCTGAAGAACATGGATTTGAGTGTGAGAGGCAGAGTCAGGGATGACTTCTGAGATTTTTGGCTAAAACAGCTGGAAGAATGGAGTTGAATGTAGTTTTTAGGATGTGGTCTCTTCTCAGCTCGTGGTCCAGTTGGGGAGATTATCATACAGTAATGCAAAGCCCTAAACTGGAGCCTTATGCAAAGGGTGGCAGGATACAGAGGAGATTAGCTGCATAAAGAAGGTGAGATTCGCACTTGCTCTTAAAGAATAGGAGTTCACCAACCTGAAGTTTTGGAAAAGAGTATTCCAGGAGGAGGTAACACATGCACAAATGCATGGAGGCAGGAGAGAGTATCGGGAGGACTGGGTGCACAGTAGGGCTTGGCAAGCTTGGGGCCCACTAGTGAAGGCCTTAAGTGCCAGGCCCAGCACTTTGGACTTAAACAGCTCAAAGGGGTTTAAGTGGGCAAGTTCAGATCTGGGTTTTAGAAAGAGTCCTGTTGAGGGAAGGGTGGAAGTGCCAAGATAGGAGGCCTGAAGTCTACTTCTGGAGGAGTTGAAGAAAAGCAAAGACAGAAGCGTAAGCGCAGGCCGCTGTGCAGACAAATGGCAAAACCAGACTTGGGATAAATAAGCTGTAGTATTCAGAGAGTGGGAACGGAGCTGTCTCTCAGATCCCCAGTGCCCAGCAGTACCTGACACCAAGATACTGAGTAAAATGTTTATGACGTTTTATAAACTTGAGTGCTATAAGGATAGTCTCTTACTGGTCAGTGACATCTTTAGCCTTTGCTTTGTGGGATTGTAGGAGTGCATGTGTGTATATTATCACAAAAGAACATCACCCAGTTACTATGGGCCCCTGGGATTCCATGGAAAAACCACAGGGTGGCTTTGGATCAAGTTGGGTACAAAGCACTTCAGAGGAAAAGCTCTGGAGCCATATTGCCACTTAACAGCTTACTTGAACAGATGACTTAACCCCTCCATGCCTCAGTTTCCTTGTTTGTAAAACAGGAAAAGGCTGTTAATGGTTCTCACTGCAGGGAGCTGTTCTGAAGATTAAGTGACATATTATAAAGGAGAGGGGCTTAGCTCGGTTTTAGCACATATGAAAGCAGTCAGCCTTTCCTTGTTTATTTTGAGCACTTAACTGTTCCTCTTTTAGGATGGAGAGGTGGAAGGCCATCCTGTGTGGGCGCTAATTTACTACTGCATGCGCTGTGGAGACCTGCTTGCCGCTTCACAGGTAGTTAATCGAGCCCAGCACCAGCTGGGAGAGTTTAAAACCTGGTTCCAGGAGTACATGAACAGCAAGGACAGAAGGTATGGTGAATGAGGTGGCACGCCCAGGGGCAGCCATGCAGAATCAAAGGGGCATCCTTCACTGTCATTATTCTCTTTTCCCTGGACGGGCCCAAAACAAGTTTCTGCTTGGGGGAAAAAGGAAGTTTTGAAAGCAAATAGAACTCTCTTGGGAATAAGGAGTGAAAACATTAAAAGAATGCCCCATTCTGACACTGATGTCTAGGCATGCATGCATCTGTGTTTGGGAATTTTTCTGTTCCTACAAGGGAGGGCCAGGTTTAGGAGCATGATTTGACTTATTCTGTAAATCTAAGGCACATCAAGGATGCTTTATAAAATGGGACTTTTTAAAAGTTACACTTGTTAACACTTAATGCTTTTTTGGTCAACCAATATGAAAATATGTTGTCACGTACTTCGTAGCTTAAAGGCTAGAATTAGAAGTTAGTAAAATTGAAATATAATCATTGAATTGATTCATTAAGTCTTTAAGTTCTCTTGCATTAAGGAACTGCTAAGCATTAATTTTCCTTGGATTTTGCTAATGTAATTGGACTTAAGCTCATACTCAAACTGAGGTTATATATATGTACATGTATGTAGAAGAAATGATGGCGGTTACTGTAGCTGTACTTGTGAAAAACTAGGATACTTTTCTTGGCAGCATTACTAATGTCATATCAAGAGATTGCCTCAAACCAGAAGCCCCTGTCTTGCTCATGTTAGAATTTAAAGTAGGGTTAATGTCTTAAGGTTCCCCCAGAAGGAGATTTGAGTGCAAGTTGTTTATTTAGGAGGTGATCTCACATGAATAAGGGAGTGTGGAGGCCAGGGAGGGGCTAAGACAGTTAAGGGAAGGATTCACTCCTGTCCATCACTGCTTGAGTGCTGCTGGGTTGTGCAATGGAGTTCTAATTCCCTGGCATTTCTCACCTGCCCATGAAGGCCTCAGCAAATAGAAAACCGGCAGGCCAATAGATACAGGTGCAGGTAGTTGCAAGTCAGGTTAAAGCGATGGTACCGAGGGGAGGGGATGGGGCAGAGACAGTGTCTCTTACCCCGGATGAAGGAAGGCTTCCCTGCTTTTATGTGTTTGGGACCTGGGACGCTTTCAGATGCCCTTGAGGATTTTTATTGAGTATGTATCTATCTGTCTGTTCCCTTATGTCTGTAGATTGTCCCCAGCTACGGAAAACAAGCTCCGGCTGCATTACCGTAGGGCCCTCAGGAACAATACAGATCCCTACAAGCGGGCCGTGTACTGTATCATTGGCAGATGTGACGTCACCGACAACCAGAGTGAAGTGGCGGACAAAACTGAGGATTACCTGTGGCTGAAGGTAGGCACTGTTTCCCCTGCCCACATAGGGCTTTACCCCTTTTCTGTGCTCAAGTCCCCGCAAAGATTTTACCTGCTTAATGTATGATGCCAATACAGTGATCAGGACCAGTGGGTTCCTCGTCTCCTGTCCCCATTTTTTGTTGTGTAATTCCCAGCTCATAACCATAGCCTTAAACACAGCTTCTAGCTGACATCATTGAGCATGGCTGCTGAACAGCTACAACTCTGTGCATGTGGCTCAGGGTGTCATTTGTACCAATGCATGTGTTTCTCTTGGGGATTTAGTTGAACCAAGTGTGTTTTGACGACGATGGCACCAGCTCCCCACAAGACAGGCTCACTCTCTCACAGTTCCAGAAGCAGTTGTTGGAAGACTATGGTAAGATTCTGGACATAACCACCTTTCCCTTCTCTTGTCCACTTAAGGTGACTACTTCAGTTTTCCTCTGGGAAAATTTTTCATCTCTGAACTTTTGTCTTTCTTCCAAAACTCCTATAGATTGTCAAGGCAAAACACAACAAAACTACCATTCCAAATTCAAATAAAGGGCATGTGGCCTTAAGAAATACATAAAACTTATATGGTCATACACAATAATCTGTTTTCTCTAATTCTTTGAACTGTTCTAGTAGACATATGCTCAGGGAGAGAAAAAGAAGACTTAGCTGTTGCTTCCTAGTCGATCGTACCAGTCACTAGATCTGAGCACAAAGGAGAGAGAAACAGCCTTTCTTCTTTTTTCCCGTATTTTTTAAAAACTGAGAAGAAAAGAAGATTCCAAATAGTGGTTACCAGTTGTTGCATTCAGATTTCTGTGACTGTGAGTAAACTGAAACTCCTTTGAAATCTTCATTTCTCTCCTTGAGTGACTTAACAGGGTAAAGGAGATAAACACTCTCTGTGGTCCATTTTAAGGTCCTTAGCTCTGTTTCTCTCCCACCTAATGCAAGCAGTTGGAGTTTTACAGCACAGTCACAGTTTCCAGTAATGTTATGAGGTCTAGAGAAGGTGGAGGAGCCAGGTCACATTTCACATGGCAGTTTACTGTATTCAGGGCCCCCTTGATCAATTCAGACTCAATCTGGTGCTTTCTTCCTGTCCAGCAAGTCCTGTGGGCTCACAGGGCTGCTGCCTGGGGGTTGGGCCACCAGTGAGCCCCTTCTTTCTAAGTTGGTTTTATCTCCTCTCCTCTCCTCTCTCCCAGGCGAGTCCCACTTTACGGTGAACCAGCAACCCTTCCTCTACTTCCAAGTCCTGTTCCTGACAGCGCAGTTTGAAGCAGCAGTTGCCTTTCTTTTCCGCATGGAGCGGCTGCGCTGCCATGCTGTCCATGTAGCACTGGTGCTGTTTGAGCTGAAGCTGCTTTTAAAGTCCTCTGGACAGAGTGCTCAGCTCCGTGAGTATTTGGGATTGGATTGACAGTAATGTAACCACAGCACGTCCCCCTTGGGGCGACGGTGGCCACAAAACCACAACCAATAAGGATTTGAGCAAAGGGTACCAGTCATTTTAGAGCATGTGGACAGTTGAGCTTTTTAGATGATTAGTGTTAAGGGTTCCTGCTTCCCCCCCACCCCCCAGCATTAGTATTCCCTTGAAAGTTAAGTATATAAAGTGATGTTCAAAGTACTAGCTTTGTGGCCAGTCTGATTGCCTGGAAAATGCTGAAGAAGCAGCCCCTAGAGTTATGGGTCTGATTCCCATTAGGGCTGGCTTTAATGACATTGGAAACCCCAGCCAGGCATGTGCATACCTGCCTGGGATGAGAGAGTCAGGGGAGAGAGAGGAAGTAAATGTGGATGAATGGCTGCAGGTTCCTTATTGTTGCAGCAAAGTCATCCCAGAGCACATGCCATAATCGTCAGTTGGATTATGTTTTCACTCAAAGACCAGCATATTAGTAATTTATGGCAAAGTGCTGTTTTCTCCACTCTGGGCCTGGGGATGAATTGAGGATAGGATGGTAAAAGGGACTGGCCAAAGCTTATATTAGCAAACTTTGACTGGGCTGCAGGAGTAGATGCTGCTGGGTCTGTGGATTCAGCTTCCATAGTTTCTGGGTTGCATGGGTCAGAGGGGCAGTGTGGTTGTGACCCATTCTGACCCCCACAATGCAGTCAGCCACGAGCCTGGTGACCCTCCTTGCTTGCGGCGGCTGAACTTCGTGCGGCTCCTCATGCTGTACACCCGGAAGTTTGAGTCCACGGACCCAAGGGAGGCCCTCCAGTACTTCTATTTCCTCAGGTAACATTTGCTTTTGACCATTTACTTCAGCTAGTTTCAATTTCTGCCATTCTGAGAATGACTATTAGAGACCTCATGTCCAGACTGGAAACTGAGTTGTTTATTTCCCTTACAGGGATGAGAAAGATAGTCAAGGAGAAAACATGTTTCTGCGCTGTGTGAGTGAGCTTGTGATTGAAAGCCGAGAGGTGAGTGGGTTTCCTTTTCTCTCCTCCCCATGGTTTTCAGTGTGCATGTCCCATGCTCATTCCGTATTGCGTGTTTACTTCAATATGGTTGTGGTGGATAAGGCCTAGGGAGTTTTTGGAGTTTCTTTGGTTTCTAACAATGAAAATATTTATTTCAGTCACACTGATTTTTAGTTTGCCTAAGACTTATCCCATTCATCCCATTTGATTCCCCTCTTTTTTCTCTGAAGACTTATGGAATATGTTTATATCTTTGTCCAATAATTTGAGTAAACTTTTTTCCTTCCACAGTTCGATATGATTCTTGGGAAACTAGAGAATGACGGAAGTAGAAAGGTGAGTTAAATGCATCCTTAGAGAAATGTTCGTTAGCCATTGGGGATTTATAAATATCAAAAAATACACTTAGATTTTAAGATTCAAGGTACTAAAGATGCAAATCTGAACAGAGTTGCTTAATTTAAAAAATGGAATGAAAATTATGGGCCCAAATGATGACCTTGGTTTTACACACACTTATATCTCCTTAAAATATGTTAATTTGTGATTACATAGCTTTTTTATTATGTTCAGAATATTCATTTGTTCATGCCTGTCATTTTTTGAGCTGAGAATGCTATTATACATTTCTGCCATTCTTGGCTCAGAAAACATGCAAGGAAAAGAAATTGATTACTGCACCCATTCTCCCAAGATGGGAAAGTTAGACATGCACTTGACCTCCTTCAAAATGCAGTTTCCAAGGGCTTTGAACTCCACAGTGACCCTGGAAATACTTCTGGAAGCTTGAGGGATTTCAGGACTCACTATGCCCATTGGTTGTCATGGCAGGAGGGTCAGAGATCCTGTTGTCAGAGACCAGTCATGACCCTGAATCTCCCTGTGGCCCTTGGAAAGTCACTTGTCCCTCAGGGGCTGAGTTTTCTCGTTTGTAAAAATGAGTGATTTGGACCCAGCAATCTGTAGATGAGCTCACACTGCTCACACCATCTACCTCAGAAGAAAGGCAAGTGACAGTGCTGATGACAGTGGCCTTGCTTATTGGGCAGTGACAATCAACAGGCATTGTGCTGAGTGCTTTGCATAGTTTCTTCTTTAACAGGCTGCACTGGGGCCAGGAGGCTCCTACTGTATGTGAGTTGACAGAGCTAGAAACATAGATAAGACCTTATCCTCTGCTACCTCCCAAGTGGCAGGGCAAGTCACCTCAACCTGGTCCAGCCACCTTGACCTGGTCTAGCCCTGAGAGTCCAGCGCTAGTGGAGAAGCAGAATGGCCAGGCAGAGATGTTATGCACTTGCCTTCATTCTCCCAGGGTGCCTAAGGCCTCTCTCATGCTCTCCTGACCATTTAGTTGCTGTTGAGTGGTGATGGTGATTTTTTTTTAAGAAATGTCCTGTTACCAGCCGGGCGCGGTGGCTCACGCCTGTAATCCCAGCACTTTGGGAGGCCGAGGCGGGTGGATCATGAGGTCAGGAGATCGAGACCATCCTGGCTAACACGGTGAAACCCTGTCTCTATTAAAAATACAAAAAAATTAGCCAGGCGTGGTGGTGGGTACCTGTAGTCCCAGGTGCTCGGGAGGCTGAGGCAGGAGAATGGTGTGAACCTGGGAGGCAGAGCTTGCAGTGAGCCGAGATTGCGCCACTGCACTCCAGCCTGGGAGACAGAGCAAGACTCTGTCTCAAAAAAAAAAAAAAAGAAATGTCCTGTTACCACTTGCTGTGTGTTTTTTCAGCACTGAGTTCCTTTTGCCATCTGTCTTAGAAAGCAAATCCAAAATTTTTCAGATATTTTTTCTAAGCCTCCTGATTTTTCTCTCTAGTTCCTACTTATCAGCAAATTTAAAATCATTGATTTCACTGACTCTCTGGGTCATTTTGGAAAATTAGAAAGCACAGATGTCTTATTGCTGACTCCTCTGTGCTTCTAGTAAGTCTGCCCTTTCATGTGTAGTTTCCTTGGTCTCTTTTATAGTTTTAATAGGACTTTATATCTTTAAGAAAGCCAGAGTCTGGCTGATGAAATATATGCGTTGCCCAGGGCAAGCAATTCCACTTGAAGTATTTTTTGGATCCTAATTGCTTCTCTGTGTTTAAAATAATAGCTCTGTGCACCCGTCTCTCTCTTCCTCCCCCTCCATAATTTGTCTTGTCAGCCTGGAGTCATAGATAAGTTTACTAGTGACACAAAGCCTATTATCAACAAAGTTGCTTCTGTGGCAGAAAATAAAGGACTGTTTGAAGAGGCAGCAAAGCTGTATGACCTTGCCAAGGTAAAGTGTGCCCACTTCCTTCTTTTGCACTTCACAGGTCTGCTGGCCTTTTGGCATTAAATGTGCAGCCACTTGGACAGTGTCATTGTTGTAGCACCCTCCCTGCAGAGGCATTTGCTCTAGTGCTTAGACAGTTAATGGTCCAGTCAGGACAGAATTCCCATTTTACAGCATTATTTCTGCCCATAAGATTTTTCTGACCAAACAACATATTGAAAGGATGTCCTGCAGGCATTGAACTGTTGTCTCACTTGGCAGCAGAATTAGCATCCATCACATTTCGATGGTGAAGCCACTGTTGAAAATTACATTATGCTGACCCTGGCAACCACAGACACACTGGGGAACAGTGGTGTTAGAAAATAAGACCACATCAGTGTGCAGGAAGGAGTGAAAGAAAATAAGACCTTAGCTGGGCGTTTTGAGAGGACTAGAATACATGTTTCTACCGAAGAACAAATGATGACTAAGAACATATGATAACTGCTAAGGATTCTATGACCTAAACAAGATTACATTCTCTCCTTTATCAACTGAGAAAAGTAGACAAAAAAACAGCTATAGGCCAAGTGCAGGGGCTCACGCCTGTAATCCCAGCACTTTGGGAGGCCAAGGCAGGCGCATCACTTGAGGCCAGGAGTTCGAGACTAGCCTGGCCAACATGGCAAAACCCCGTCTCTACTAAAAATATAAAAATTAGTCAGGCATAGTGGTGCATGCCTGTAATCCCAGCTGCTCAGGAGGCTGAGGCACGAGAATTGCTTGAACTTGGGAGGCGGTAAAAAATGTCACCCCAGAAAGTTCTCTTTGGTGGGTAGGGGGCATTATATAGTTGTTCCTTTTATTGATTACTTTATTGATTGCTTCCTTAATTTTAAAAACTTGAGCAGAATGCTGACAAGGTACTGGAGCTGATGAACAAACTGCTGAGCCCTGTCGTCCCCCAGATCAGTGCCCCGCAATCCAACAAGGAGAGGCTGAAGAACATGGCACTCTCCATTGCCGAACGGTAAGCCAGGAGCTGGCTCCATGGGACCCTGAGGGTGCCACTGCCAGTGCCAGGCCACCTATGCCCACCCAAATGCATGTTCAGCTTTACTAGGTAACAGCAGACAGCTTTCCAAAGTGGTTCTACTAACTCACCATGCCACCAGCACTGTGTGAGTTCCTTTGTCCCCGCATCAGAACTAGTACTTGGTACTATCAAACTTAACATTTTTGCCAAAGAAATGGGTATGAAAGGGCATCTCAGTATTTTAATCATGCACATAAAGCTTAATTTTAAGCATTATGCTCGCCTAAATACTGTTGTATACTTTCATCAGCCCTCTCAAAGGCATTCAAGACCAAAGCTAGTGATGGTTGGATGGGGGAGATTCTTAGAGGTGTCGTGGCCAGTGTTTCAGACTACCTGGATCCCCAGTGAGTTAACTGAATTATCAGACTTCTAACTAGTTTAAGTCCCAGGCTGAAGCTAACAACATTACTTTTTGCGCTCTCTGTAGATATTCCTAGTAAAATGACCCAGAGAAAACTGGGTTTGGGGTGCCTTCCCGGGGTAACAAAAAAGAACATTCTTTGGTAAATGAGATATCTCCACCTAGCAAACAATCCCCAGTGAGGGCTGCTCGGCTTTTTGCCCATCACGACCTCCCACCTTTCATGAAGATTGGATGCTGAGATGATGATCAAGGCTGGAGAACCATGCTTCATGTGGTGGAGTACCTGTAGGTGGATTCATACCAAATCCACTATCAGTGCTTGGCTGTTTCAAAATAAACACCATTTTACACTCTTTAATTAACTTCACCCAGAGAGCTCAGAAGGTTTTGATGCTTTTTATACATTTTTTTTGTATGTTAAGACAGGGTCTCCCTGTATCACCCAGGCTGGAGTGGAGTGCAGTAGTGCAGTCATAGCTCACTGTAACCTTGAACTCCTGGGCTCAAGCAATCCTCCCACCTCAGCCTCCTGAGTAACTAGGACTACAGGCATGTACCACCACACTCAGTTAATATTTTAATATTTTGTGGAGATGGGGTCTCGCTGTGTGTCCAGGCTGGTCACTGACTCCTGGCCTCAAGCAATCCTTCCGCCCCAGCCTCCCATGTAGCTGAGATTACAGGCATGAGCGACCACACCCCACTGTTTTTTTAAATGCTATTCCACTGTTACGGATTACACAGAAATTCCTGATACACTCTTACTACCCCCACCCCGTTTTTGTCTTTCAGGTATAGGGCTCAAGGAATAAGCGCAAATAAATTTGTGGACTCCACGTTCTATCTTCTTTTGGACTTGATCACCTTTTTTGACGAGTATCATAGTGGTCATATTGATAGAGCTTTTGATGTAAGTTTCAGGAAAGGTGTTTGAAGTGCAGGTTAATGTACACCCTCGAAAATTCAAAACACTTCATGGAATTTACTTAAAACAAAGGAGCTGTTGCCAGTATGTTTGTTGTATAAAGAAAGACAAGTACAATCCTGGGACTTAAAAGGAGTTTCCTGTGTGGCTTTTTTTTTTTTTTTTTTTTTTTTTTTGCCTATTCCTTTCCCCTTTAATCTGAAAACAGAGAAGTTTCTCAAAGTAATTTGCAATCTCAGAATTTTAAAAATTGTGTCAGGAAATGATGATAAGAATTAAGTTAGCTAGTTAGAATCAAAGCCTTTGTGTGTACAAGGAGGAATGGCGTTTTCTATGAAGAAGCCCTTTGGAGTATGTGAGGTGCTGACTTTACATGTAGAGAGATGAAATGACTGTGATGGTTGTGTTACATGGGGCCGGTGGTTGTTTTAAACAGATCATTGAGCGCTTGAAGCTGGTGCCCCTGAATCAGGAAAGTGTGGAAGAGAGAGTGGCTGCCTTCAGAAATTTCAGTGATGAAGTAAGTTCCTTCTTCCTGAGTTGTGGAATTCCTTTTTCCCCACTTCCACCAAAAGCTTTTTCTTTTCCTGTACCTAACAGCTTTAAGAATTCTAGTTACAGTAACTATCCAGACTGAGTTTTCCAGAGTGGTTCCCTTTCAGATACCTTGGCCTGGCTTTTCTGTGAGTGCATACATCCCCATCAGATTATTGTCTGAATTCCTAATTGAGAAAATACAGTCACTTCAGTGATTGACATGTTCTTGGGAGAAACAGGTTTCTGGTTGATCTGTGAAGTCTGGTTTAATTCTTCTATTATCCGCTTGTGCTAGAGGGTATTTTAGTGCTTAACTCTGATCATCTTTAAGTAGTTCCATTGGGTACGTGAAACACATCATGATTCACTGCCACCTTTGCCCTCCCTTATCTGTTTTGGGATTTTTTTGTTTTTGAAACGGAGGAGTCTCACTCTGTCACCCAGGCTGGAGTGCAGTGGTGTGATCTTGGCTCACTGCAAGCTCTACCTCCCGGGTTCACACCATTCTCCTGCCTCAGCCTCACGAGTAGCTGGGACTACAGGTGCCCGCCAACACGCCCAGCTAATTTTTTGTATATTTAGTAGAGATGGGGTTTCACCGTGTTAGCCAGGATGGTCTCGATCTTCTGACCTCGTGATCTGCCCGCCTCGGCCTCCCAAAATGCTGGGATTACAGGCGTGAGCCACCGTGCCCAGCCAATCCATTTTGTCTAAAGACGCAAGTGCAGTGACCGCGGAGTAAGCTATCACCCCATAAGCCCCAGAGCCACTGTCTGTTGGGTTTCTAGCATATTGCCAGCATCTAGCCTAGGGTGCTCAGCTGGGCTGCATACTGGCATCTCTAGAAAAGTTTCTAAAAACCCTCATGCCTACACCCCAGAGATTCTGTTTTCCCTGATTGCTGCAGCCCAGACCTCCCCCAGTCATTCCAGTGTGTGGCCCAGGTAAATTCTTCTCTAGAACTATAAACACTCAACTCAGCTGTCGACACTATAGACTCTAGAACCAGCTGCCTGGCTCTGGGATGTCACTAGTGGTCTTTCAGTTTACAATTCTTCCTCATTGAGCAGATGCCTTTTATAAAATGTCTCCAGCCAGGTGCGGTGGCTCACACCTATAATCCCAACATTTTGGGAGGCTGAGGCGGACTGATCACCTGAGGTCAGGAGTTCGAGACCAGCCTGGCCAACATGGTAAAATCCCATCTCTACTAAAAAATACAAAAATTAGCCGGGCGTGGTGACGCATACCTGTAGTCCCAGCTATTCCAGAGGCTGAGGCACGAGAATCGCTTGAACCCGGGAAGCAAAGGTTGCAGTGAGCCGAGATTGCGCCACTTCACTCCAGCCTGGGCGATAGAGGGAGACTTTGTCTCAAAAAAAAAAAAAAAAAGTTTCTATTTTAGAGAAAGAAGTAAGGCCAGTTCTGCACATGAAGAGGGATGTTGACTGCTGTGGTACACACAGTTCAGAAGGTCTTGCCCCTTGCTGACCTTCCCTTTATACCTGCTGTGGCTTCTACCCTTAGCCACTTGCTCCTTTGTTATTTCTGGCCTTTCCTTGAATGCATCCTTCATTGCATCAGGGATTAAAGTGGTACACGAGGGCCTGGCCTTATAGACACTCCCAAGGACTCTGGTAGGGTCATGCAGATCTAGTGGAAACAGCCCGGTGAGTTTGAGAGAGTGAGGAGTGGTAGGGACTGTGGAGAAGTAGCGTGTGCACCTGTACCTCCTGACATTCAAGTTCAAATTATTTAATGGCAGCCACTCTGCTGGCCAGTCTAAGCCTAATGCTAACCAGATGTCAGCATGCTTTTGGCTCACTGCCCCTGACTAAGGGAAAAACAGCATAAAGGAGCAGGAACAGTAACCACCTGACCTGAGCAGCATTGCTTGGGTTTTTTTCTCACACTTGATGTTTCAGTGCCATCAGCTCCTTTTGGGTGACTGTGTGGCTCTCCACCTGGCAATGGTGAGGAGTGGTGCAACCAGGCCTGCCTGGAGCAGCCCACCCTCCCTCCATCTGTGGTTGGCCCCAAAGGCTTGGTTCTTTTTCTTTACTCTGTTTTTCTCTCTATGTAGATCAGGCACAACCTCTCAGAAGTGCTTCTTGCCACCATGAACATCTTGTTCACACAGTTTAAGAGGCTCAAGGGGACAAGTCCATCCTCGTCATCCAGGCCCCAGCGAGTCATCGAGGACCGCGACTCTGTAAGATCCCAGCATTCGCGAGAAACATTGCTAAGCACCACCTTTCTGGTTTGGAATCCGTTGCGCTCTTATGAGACCACATGACCCAAAACTGCTCTTTCTCCTCAGTACCTGGCAGCTGGATAAATCTCGTGTTAGGAGGCTCCCAGAGGAAATCAAATATTAAAGGGATTGCTGCTCTTCTCAAGCTTAAAAAAATAAAAAGATGTACTAGGTCTGCAAATCTTACCTTTTAACAAATCAAACAGAATGCTAATTTCTAGTTGACTCCATAAGAACTTCCTGCACATTTTAAAAGATAAGTTTATTTTGTTAGTCCTAGCTCATTAGTGAACACTTTTATTAAAACCATACTTTATTTTTGATCAACACATTAATGTGAACCCTTGTTTCTCCTGTCACCTGTGTTCACAGTGACCCTAGAGAGGTAACTAGGACAGCATCTTATCCCCTCTCACAGCTGAGGAAACTGAGCTGTGGAGTTGGGAAGCAACTGCCCTCAGGTGGCAGGTAGGTGAAGGGGCCATGTCTGGAGGCTGGGTCTCTCTGACACCTGTGCCCTTTCTGCTGCCTGTGGGACCTCCAGCAGTGCATGGGTCAAGTGGAGTCCAGGTAGCTAGAACCCTGGGGCTCACAGCATATGTTGTCTGATTACAAAAAAAAAGAGCAAAGGTATTTTTTGACCCAGTTAAACCATAAGGGGACAGTCCAATGGTGTTTGCTTTTTTTTTTTTTTTGAGGCAGGGCCTGGCTCTGTTGCCCAGGCTGGAATGCAATGACACGATCTCAGCTCACTGCAACCTCTACCTCTTGGGCTCAAGCCACCCTCCCACCTCACCCTCCCAAGTAGCTGGGACTACAGGTACGCACCACCACACCCAGCGGAGTTTTGTACTTTATATAGAGATGGAATTTTACCATGTTGCCCAGACTGGTCTCGAACTCCTGAGCTCAAGAGATCCCCCAACCTCGGCCTCCCAAAGTGCTAGGATTACAGATGTGAGCCACCGTTCCCGGCCCCACAATAGTGTTTTTTAAAATTACCTTTCCTTTAACCTTTCCACTTAATTTTTGATGAGACTCTCAGCATCTCAGTGTCTAACATCAGACCTGGTTTTGGCAGCCAAGAAGCCTTGATCTGTCTTCTGCCTCCAAGATGTCTGTGAGCTCTTTCCACTGTGACCCCACAGGCATGGTTGTTGACAAAACTTGTGCTTAGTGAAAGATGGCGGAAATTTCCACCTTTAGGAATGTGGGTAACAGTGCTCAAGAGTGGTCCACTGAAGCGGTCAGCCCATCCAGGTGTGCACCAGAGCATTTGCTGGTCTTCTGCCTACCCCGGACAGATAGGAGTCTAAATGTCAGATGTGCCAGCGGTGGGTTCATGGTGCCCACCATTTGGCAGGAATCTTTTTTGATGATAGAAACCCAGGGCAGTGATGTTTGTGAATGTGAGTATTGAGATGGTGGATACTTCTTGGTGCTCTGTGTGCTGCTTACAGTTCAGTGGGGCTTGCCCACTGAGAAGAGCTGGTCCCCTGGCAGGCCATGTCTCATGTCTGAAGATCATTCTCCTGCCTTCCTTTTGCCCACCACTCTCCTTTTTCTTTCTTTTTCTGAAAGGTAGGGAGGGATAGGATTAAGTAAAAGGTTATCTATAAAAGCTGCGTGCCCAAGAAGTCTGCAAGCCCACTGACGTCCTTGGTTTCATGGTTTAAAGTGAGATGCTGCCTAGTAAAGGGGTGAATCCTTTTACTTGAACATCCCTAGAGCTCATTTAACGAGAGCCCTTTTATTCACTTCTAAAGAAAATACAGTGGATATTCACATCACAAAGTCAGATTTCTTTTTGTTTGGACATCAATAAGGACATACACTCGCTAGTTTGTTTTACACATCAGGTAAAAAGCATTTGCTTTTCCGTTTTCTTCTGGAATGGTCCTTAAGTAAGCCTAGTAGATGACTCCTCAGTGTTTCTTTAAATTCTTGTTACTAGTCCAGAAAGGTGTTGGTGGTAGATTTCTCCCTTTCTAGTCCAGATTTGGTTTAAATTTGTAGGGCCACCTTTTTCCATCCTGAACAATCCAGGAATTCCATAAATACTGTTGCCTGGGGAAAGAAGGGCTAAGCATGTATGTCGGGAAGGGAGAAACAGGAGGAATGAAAGGAAGGAAGAGGAAAGATGCATGGGAGGAAGAGAGCTGGATTGGGACTGCACAGTCACAGCCCTTGCCTCCGGTGTCACAAGGGCTTCATGGGGCTCTGGAGAGTCAGATCCCTGTGAAAGCAGATGGACAGAAACCAGCCAGAGAGAGAGGCTCAGAAGATTGGAGCAGGCAGTTCTGAAGCTCAGGGCTGTGTCAAAAGCTAGCCAAATGTGTTGGGGCGAGGCGGCTTGCCTGGCAAACCCATCTGCTTTTTGCTTAATAGATGGGTTTGGATGCCTGTGGAACAGAGGCCTCGGGGGACGAGCTTTGTTAACTTTGTGTTATGTTGAAGGAATGTGACAGAGGAGGGTATGACTGTCATCCACCCATCAGGGATCTGTCCCTGACACGCTGGGGTAGAGGATGGAAGAACATGGAATAGAGGATGGAAGAATATGGAATAGTGCCCTGACTCGAAAGTTAACCGATTTCCTTCCCTTCCTTCCCTTCTCTCTCAGCAACTCCGAAGTCAAGCCCGCACTCTGATTACCTTTGCTGGAATGATACCATACCGAACGTCTGGGGACACCAATGCGAGGCTGGTGCAGATGGAGGTCCTCATGAATTAAGTGCCATGCTTTGTGGGAGTCTGGGTCGGCACACTGTCAGTACATCAGGCACATGGGCCCACTAGGCTGGGGTTTCTGGTTTTGTTTCTGTTGTGTTTTGTTTTGGTTTCTGTATTATGTATTTTTGTCAACGCCAATAAATTTCTTTGATTTGTATTTCTTTTCAACATTCTTTTATTTTCTTTTTTTTTTTCTTTGAAATTTTGTTTACATTTTTATTTGTGTAATGGGAAATACCGTCACTAGCTCTTGGGCCAGGGAATGAGAGGCTATGTAGATATTCATTATTTGGTTAAATTGACCTTAATTAATTAAAAATCTACCCAAAATGAGCCAGGAAACAAAGCCTTTGGGAGTTACTTTTATTTAGATATAATATTCCATATAGCAGAGTCACGATTCATTTTCACATTTTTATTTGAATGTGAAAGTCAACCTCAGCCTTAGAAGATGTAAGATTTGTGTGTGAAATATCAAGCACTCCATGTCCTCCTCTAGAGAGTGTGACTTAAGTCCAGATGGTCCAAGACCATCCCCCAAATCATCAGCTCTGATTGCAGGATTCATCAGTTTGCCGTTCTGTTGCAATCCCAGTGGAGATAAAAGCATAGACCTAGAAAAAGCCTTAAGAAGGAAGGTTGCAAGTGCCCCCAGCTTGCACTTGAGGAAGGGGTAAACCTTGCCACTGCACTCCTCTGTAGCTGCTCCACTGTGAGTTGACTGCTCGGCCTTGTACACACCCCTCCTAGAAAGACGTTTAAGCCCCTATTTCCCTTCTCTGGTGGTCAGTTCCTCTGCTCAGACGACCCCCTTCCCCACTCATTAAGGTAATTGGCCAGGCAGGCTCATGGGTCACGTGCTGAGTCTGCAATGTACAGAATCCAGACCACCACATGGCATCAGCACCATGGGTGTTTGCTCCCTGAGCAGTAGTTGTCACCCATCATTTGCTCTGTTTCCCCCACCATCAGTCCCAAAGCCCTAGACTAAACCAGAGAGCAAATTAGGTCGTGTTTGTTCCTGAATGGGCCAACTGGAGCCTTGAGACAGTGGGCAGTGGTCTGCTCTGCTGGTTTGATGGACGGCTCCCTGAGGTAGACTCTTTCCCAGCAGAATGTTAAGATCCCCAAAGGGTCCCCAAAGGTGCCTTTGCTTGTAGGGAGAAGTTTCTGTCTTGTCACAGGGTGTGGTCATCCCCACTGTCTCCCAGTTGTTAAAATAATTGTTACCTTTTCTTTTGGGAAGAAATAATCTGTAGATAATGGAACCAACTGCTGCTTATCGGTAGGATTCCATGTTCCAGGAAGGATGCGGCCTGAGGGTCAGTGGAGCTGTGTTCTGCCTTCCTCCTCTAGTCCCATCTTGTCACCCTGGAGGACTGTCTTCAATTGAGCTTTACTAGAAAGTCTTGAAACATGAGCCCTGCAGAGGCCTTGATTTAGCAAGTTGTGCCCTGCTTATATGTGCTGATTTAAGCTAATCAAATGATTTAATAGTGCTTTTTAAAAAAGAGTACTCCTGGCCGGGTGGGGTGGCTCACACCTGTAATCCTAGCACTTTGGGAGGCCAAGGCAGGTGATCACCTGAGATCAGGAGTTCAAGACCAGCCTGGCCAACATTGTGACACCCCGTCTATACTAAAAATACAAAAATTAGCCGGGCATGGTGGCAGGCACCTGTAATCCCAGCTACACAGGAAGCTGAGACAGAATTGCTTGAACCCGGGAGGCGAAGGTTGCAGTGATCTGAGATCATGCCACTGCACTCCAGCCTGGGTGAAAGAGCGATACTCCGTCTCAAAAAAATAAAGAGTACTCTGGCCGAGTGCAGTGGCTCACGCCTGTAACCCCAGCACTTTGGGAGGCCAAGGCAGGCAGTTCGCTTGAGGTAAGGGGTTTGAGACCAGTCTGGCCAACATGGGGAAACCCCGTTTCTACTAAAAATACAAAAATCAGCTGGGCATGGTGGCAGGCGCCTGTAATCCCAGCTACTCGGGAGGCTGAGGCAGGAGAATCACTTGAACCCAAGAGGCGGAGGTTGCAGTGAGCCGAGCTTATGCCACTGCACTCCAGCCTAGGCGATGGAGTGAGGCTCTGATTCAAAAATAAAAATAAGAGTACTCTGTGGACTTTTCATAAAGTGCAACTTAGTGCTTTGTTTTTCTAATACTAGATTTTACTTGCAGATAGAAATATAACAATGCCACAAATGAGAAGGCTCAAGTTGTTTAAATACATGTTTGCTCCTGGCTTACCTCTTCTTCACTATCCCATGAGAATCGTGGATTTGCCTTTCCTTGCATCCTGCAGTTCTACTTGTCTCAGAGAGAACTGCACACCAGCCCTGCATCCAGGGGATGAGGTTCTTTGACCTGTAGATGGGTCCTAAAATGAGAAGGGAGAGAAGCAGCCAGACCTTGAGCTGCTCTGCTAGGGGAGCTGTGAGTTGGGAGAAAAGTGGTCACTGGTTGGCAGTTAAGGACTTGCTGAGAGAGACATTTGTAGGAGAAAGAAGATAAGTAGGTTCATACCAGAAGGGCCAGGACTCGGATGGAGCAAATCCCAGTTCTTGTCCTACAAGCTGATTGTGCGATTGAGCACAGGCCTCTGGAATTGTGCAGAGATGAGAAACAGGCTGAATTTGCAAGGCCACAACATCAGGTTGTCATGTACCCATCATTACAGCTTATGCCCAGAAGTCCTGACCCTGTGACAGGTTATTATCTTAAAAACTCATCTTCAGCCCACTTTTTCAGAGAACTAACTCTTTCCTTAGATGTTGGGCCAGGATTTCACTATTTACCCAGAGAAACTAAGAGAAAGTGGCACTAGGCGTCTTGTCTTCCAGATGTGAGATTTCGATCTTTCTAATGAAATTGGGGGCACTTTGAGACTGTCAGGGTTTGTTCCTGTCTCAGAATGGCTCATAATAAACTCACTGAAACACTCAAAGGAAAGTACTGACTTGATCTGGATCCTTTTCAGAGGCCTGGAGATTTAATTTCACAGATTCTCTTCTTTTGGCTCAACAACAACAGCAACAAAAAACTCTTTGACTCCCCAACTTCAGAGGGAAAACTGAAGCGAAACTGGTGAGCTCTGCCACGGCAGATGCCTTCCTTTTTCACTCACGAGCTGGGCGGGCTCATCAAAGAGCAGGAAGTGCCCATTTTACACTGGGGCCAGGATGCAGACCCAGCTCCTGTCCTCCGCGAACTTACAGTCTAATTAGAGCCTCTTAAGGACAATTTGGCAGCCACTGTTAACTCTTGATGCATCATTTAAATCCTAGAACAGGCAGCTTTAAAGCAAAGAACTACAGACTTTTCCGCAGTGTCCAGCATTTGCTGACCAAAAAAAACCTGAGGGTGATTTTTCTCTCTTTGAATTTTTACCCTTGCCTGCACCTAGCCAGAACCCTTAATACTAAATTTGCAGTTATATGCAGCTCTGCCAACGCCTTCCTGCTTTAGACTGGATCTCTACTATCCTTTTTCTCTACTAGGCACCAGAACCTTTGTCTAGTTCATTAGGTGGTTCACATCACTTGCCAAATTTCCAGCATGCCACTCAGGAAGTGACTTGAGCATGCTGAATGCTGAGTCAGAAAATGAACCCCTGGGCTGGCGGGTTGACCCAGGCCTGACAAAGTCTTGGCAGTCCCCACACTGACTGCGAACTCTCCCTTAGCCTCAGTCAGCTGGGAAAGGAATTGAGCCCTGTGTCAGCAAATTGGGAGAAAGTGTTACATATAAAATTCTTGATGGAAATGTGTGTTTTATATCAGAATTGAGCTTTTGTTCCTGCATCTCAGAAATACCAGGAAGAAGTCAGCATCTCATTAAACAGGAGTTGTCTAAACTGTGGAAGAAAATATCCCCCATTCTTTATCCTACGCTGAATCCACAAGTCTTCCCATCTTCCACCATCTTCTGACAGTTCCATAATATATTGGTATCCCTCACAGGGCAGGGACAGGAAGGAAATAAATCTTTCTGCCACTTGTTTCCAACCGAAAAGGAAAAAAGTTAAAAATTACTAAAGTGTTCTGAAAAGAGATTTCAAGTGGTCTGTGCTGCTTTTTTGCCTTGTTACGCACATAACTTGTGACTGGCTAGATAGGCCACGTGTATTTATCAGCCAAGATTCCATTGCAGCAGATGATTTCAAAACCTCTTTGTGTGCTGGGCCGTGCTAGGTAGCTGGAATATCTGAGGTAAATTAAGCACTGATTTGTTCCCAGAGTTGTGCATAATTCTTTAAAAGTAGGCTCGTTTTTTTCGTTTTTTTGTCCAGGATCACCTAAGTGAAGTACTCGTGGTTCTAAGTTGCTAACCCAGGGAAAGAGGATATTTTCCTGTCCTAACCTTGGTTTTTGAAATATGCTTCTCCTGTGTGCCCTCTCTGGGGTATCTGGCCCACAGTAGATTGCTCAGCAGATATTTGAATGAGCAGATGCTTTGCTTTGTCCTCCTGTGCCAGGCTCCTCCCCACATCCTCTGGATCAGCTCCACGTGCCTAGATTCAGACTCCGTGATTCACCGTGGGGGCCCTTAATAGGCATTCAGTCTGAAAGAAGGTGGAGGAGAATAATGTCTCCCAGGATCAAATGAGACTCAGGGCTGTTCCTTCAAAGACAGAAACTTGCAGAGCTGCACAGCAGCAGGGAAACATTGAGAAGGGGGTGGAAATTTGATGTACTGTGAATAATGAAGGCCGGATCTTTAAAAAGAAAAAGGGACGGGGTGCTGGCAGAAACCCAGCTCTGCGCTAGCACAATCTGTACACCTGGCTGCCTTTGCCCTTGAGCTTCTATTTCTTGGGGATGGGGAGGGCAAAAAAGTTTGCCCCAGACACTGGCTTCTGTTTGAACAGGAAGTGGGGAGTCAGTGATCCCAGAGGGGACTTCAGCATCAGGACATATGCTTTGGTGGCCTCAGCAGACCTGGCCTAGGCAGGCTTTCAGGTGGCACCCAGGGGCTTTATGGCCTGCAGGTAAGGCCCCTTCATCCGGGTCAGACTTAGCAAATAAAAATATAGGACACTCAATTAAGTTTGCATTTTGGATAAACAGTGAAGAAGTTCCTAGTGTAAGTATGTCCCAGTTCTATGTGGCTGCCCTACCTGGGCTTGCCTCTGCTGGTACTAGCTGCCCAGAGACCTTCAGGCCTGCCACGGGCTGCCGGGAGCTCTCTAGTGGAATTGGATTACCCTGATTTTGTGCATTGTTTGTGCTTTTGTGGGCATCGGAAATGACTGAGATACGCAGTTTTGAAGAGCTAGGCAGGCAGCTGAGCGGGATAATGTGGGCCCCAGTTGACCTCAGTGGCTGTCATCTACTGTGTTTTTCAACCAGGAATTTCAAATACTGTGTATTTTAGAAAGAAAGGAAAGAGCCAAAGTACAGCCTTTTCTCACTTGATCAGTAACTTGTGTTAGAAACTCAGTGGGGGAGAATTCTTTGCGTTTTTCAGTTGACTGATTATTTTCCTTTTTTTCTTTTTTGCTTTTCTCGAGTCACTCTGTGTGGTGCTTGTGGGAGAAGGGAGAGGGTGGGAGAGCGTTGGTGGATGTGTTCTGCATGTTCCTTTCTGTACAGTAACTTCTGCATTTACTCTGTTTAGGATGGTTCCTTCACCACTATCCCTGTCTGTAGCCAGTAAATTTCTGGAATATTCTCCCAGAGTGCCATGTGCCCCCTTTGTTCAGTCCTTCAGTGGAGCAGAAGCCTCTCTCAGGCCTTTCCTGGGAATATCTTTAGCTGAGGCACAGCCTGGGGGCTCCTCAGAAGGTGACAGAAGTGCCTCTACCTGGCCTCGGGGCTTAATGAGCCAGGCCCCTTCTCCACTCCCTGCAAAGAAGGCTCCTAAGGCCTATCCAGTCCCTGGGTCTGCGAAGTCCCCAGAGGTCTCTGTAAGTACAGGACTCCCATCCCAGCTCTGAATTTGTGCTTTCTCCCCCTGAACTTCAGAATTCTTGGCCGGAAAGGTCAGATTCTGACTGTGGTGGGACAGTAAGTCAGAAGCATTCTGGTGATAAACCCAGCATGTGGCATGCATTCTGGGGGCTAGGAACAGCTAAGATCTGTAACCCTTTATTTTAGACCTTCAGTGGAAAGCATTTTAAATGGGGGTTGAGAGCCACGTATTGGCCTTGGGGAAGGGGAGCCGGAATTTGGGGGCCATGTTTTGGTGGGGTGGCAGAAGAGGCTTGGGCCTGACCTTGGGACAGATGTCTCCTGCTCTCTTAGACAGTAGCTGCCTGTGCTTTTGACCAGGGCAGGTGTTTTAGGATCTGGGTCACGGGATTCTACTCAAGGATGTGCAGATGGCTAAGGAGGTAGGGTGTTCATATTCTCTCCACCTGGAGACCTGCCCTAACAGGAGCTCTGAAGTGACGTGGGTCAGCTGCCCAGTGGCCCAGTGTGCTATCCCTGAAGGGGCTCCACAAAAGAGTTTCAGCCCCTCCCCTTTGCCTGGGGCCCTCAGCTTGTGCTGGCATCTGGGAGGCCATTTCCTGATGAGTCACCTGGGAATCTGGGCCTCAGACCCCATCAGCCTGTTTAATGGCCTCCTGTGGGATGGCACAGCACCTCCTGGAGCTGGGGCTGGCAGCCTTTGGCTGTGGAGGGAGACTGTCAGGGGCTGGGAGCAGATGGAGAGAGGGCCTCTGGGGGTAAGGGTGGCCCTGTTTATTTGGGTTTCTTTTTTTTTTTTTTTTTTTTGAGACAGAGTTCTTGTTGCCCAGGCTGGAATGCAATGGTGCAATCTCAGCTCACCACAACCTCCGCCTCCCCGGTTCAAGCGATTCTCCTGCCTCAGCCTCCCAAGTAGCTGGGATTACAGGCATGCACCACCATGTCCAGCTAATTTTGTATTTTTAGTAGAGACAGGGTTTCTCCATGTTGGTCACGCTGGTCTCGAACTCCCAACCTCAGGTGATCCGCCCACCTCGGCCTCCCAAAGTGCTGGGATTACAGGCTTGAGCCACCACGCCCGGCCTCAGGTTTCTTGAGAGCTGTAGGCTTTTCAGTGGGGTGAAGATTCTTTCTGGGTCCTCAGTTAAAACCATTAAAATGCCACCCAGATGGCAAGGGAAGAAGACAAATTTAAGGCCATTGGTCCCCCCAACATGAGTGGCACCTCAGCTGTTCCTGGAAATGGCCAGGTTTGCATAGAAGCCCTGAGAAGCAAACAGCCACAGAGAAATATGAGGACTGATGGTGGGAAGTGAGGCCCCAGAGGCTGGGGAAGCTGCCTGCTGGGAGTGCTATTGGGGAGAGACATTTTCGTTGGAGAGGTTGGCTGCAAATTCTTTTTCCTCAGTTTTCCCAAATGTCTCCTTCCCATAGCGCCAGTCTAGAGGCATCACCCCCACCACACCACTGACCCTACCACACTCGGGGTGGGTCTCTGATCAGCTTGATGGAGCAGCTGGCTTGAATTTTTAGGAAAATTCGAACCAAACCAAATAGAGCACTTTTTTTCTTCAAAAACAGACGTTTAAGATGTGGCCCTCTGGTGGCTTGCAGCTGCCAGTAGCATCAGAAAGCACAAGAATGTCAGACTTCTTTGAAAACTAAATTCTGCAAGTAAGGGTCTTCCCAACAGCGGGAGGCGGAGGATGGGAAGAGGGAAAGGTAAGGAACATGGAATGACTGTGCCCTGGCTGGAGGGAGCAAGTCCTGGCCAGGCAGCCACCCTGCACCACAAGGCTTCAGAGCTTGGGAGCTGTGAGTCCTTCCATTGCTCTGAACCAGTTTGCTCTTGTAGGAAGCAGGCACGCCAGTTTCTATTCCATCAGGCCACTGGGAAGAGGAAGTTAAAACCTGTTGCCTGTCGCACAGGGGGCTCTCCATAAATAAACGTTCATTGTGGCCACCCAGGTCCCTGCCTTGTGGAGACAGTCTCCAAGGCTGTAGGCACGTCCTCCACCACTGGGCTTCTGCCCTTCACAACAGGGCCTGCACATGGGTGCAGGTCAAATCAATGACTCCCACCTCAGGGATGCCTTTTTTTTTTTTTTTTTTTTTTTGATAAGAGACAAAATTAGGTCAACATTGATGAGCCAAAAATTTGCTAATGGGGAAAGACATTGACATGTCAAGTTCAACTTCTGGTTCCTGTTTGTTTAGGAACTGCCAAGTGGAGAATGCAGTTCAACAAATGTTTAAGGGTCTGCCCTGTGCCAGGCATTGTTCTAGGCACAAGGTCACAATGGTGACCTGAATCAAGATCTCTGCCGTCAAGGAGCTTCCTTCTTACTGGGGTGAGAGACAATAAGGGGCCTCTTCCTATAAGGGTCTCTCTTTCCAGGCTGACTCAAGAGCTTCACTCATCCATTTAGCACCCACCATGGCCCTTGAGGCAGGCTCCCACTCTGTCACCTAGGTTGGAGTATAGTGGCACGATCTCAGCTCACTGCAACCTCTGCCTTGGGGGCTCAAGCGATCCTCCCACCTCAATCCTCTGAGTAGCTGGGACTACCGGCACGCGCCACCACATCCAGCTAATTTTTATGTATTCTTTGTAGAGACGAGGTTTTGCCATGTTACCCAGGCTGGTCTTGAACTCCCGGACTCAAGTGATCTGCCAGCCTCGGCATCCCAGAGTACTGGGATTCTAGGCGTGAGCCACCGTGCCCGGCCCACTGTGGGGTGATTTCTGAGACTAAGGTGCAATCCCTGCTTTCTGAGGTTCACTGTGTGGTTGGGGAAAAGAGAGAAGCAGGTTATGTACATGTGCACACAGACACCATAATCAAATAGGAAGCCTTAAGAAATGCCACAAGGAGCCTGGCATGGTGGCTTACACCTGTAATCCCAACATTTTGGTGGCTGGGGCAGGAGGATCACTTGAGCCCAGGAGTTTGAGACCAGCTTGGGCAACATGGTGAAACCCTGTCTCTATTAAATATATATATACAAAAATTAGCCAGGTGTAGTGGCATAAGCCTGTAGTCCCAGCTACTTAGGAGGCTGAAGCAGGAGATAGCTTGAACCCGGGAGGCAGAGTTCAAGGCTGCAGTGAGCCGAGATTGAGCCACTGCACTTCAGCAGCCCCTGTGACAGAGCAAGACCCTGTGTCAAAAAAAAAAAAAAAAAAAAAAAAAGCCACAAGGAAGGGCCATATAAAGGGGAAAGATTCTGGCCGGGATGCAGGAGCTGTCTGCAAGTGACCAGGATTCAGACCTACAGGGATGGGAGAACACTGTGTGGGTGTGGCCATCCTGCTAGCCCAGGATGCAGGGACCCCCAGGTCCCTTCGGCCTGGCTGCAGCTGGCCTGCTTCATATGCCCCAGCGGTGTCGTGCAGCTGTTAATCTCTCCTATGACCCCGAAGCAGGAGAAACAGCAGGACTCAGGTGAGTTGAGGGGCCTGCCAGAGGTCCCAGGCCTCATGTTTATCCCTTCCCTGGCCAAGCAGAAGCTTGACTAGGGCATCTCCCTTGTTCAAGAGGTAAGTGTGTGGCGGGTATGGAGGGCATCTGGGGTGTATGTGGCCCATGAGGCAGAGAGATGAGTCAGGGGTGGTCTGACTTGGGGGCACACACTTTCTGTGCAAACCAATAATTATAAGGTTACCTGTTGTCCTTGGGCAATGAATCCAGCACAAAAGGGCTGGTAGCTAGTTTATGTATTCCTGTGTCTAACCAGGAGAGAAAAAGCTCTTTAAAAGCCTTTTACAACATGAAAGATAACTTTAAAAAAAAAAACCTTGAGATCAGCAATCCCTTTATCAAGAAGAGCCAGATTCTGTGCTGCACACAGCCTTAGTTAACGTCTTCTTTCCTCTAGCTCACAGTGCCAGCCCTGCAATTCACAGCCCTGGCTTCATCTTAGAGTCATCCAAGGAGTTCTTGCCGCTACTGATTTCCTAGCCCCTGCCCCCTGAGCTTCCCACTTAATTGGCCTGGGGAGGGGCCGAGGCACTGATTCTTGTTTTTTAGAAGTTTCCCAAGTGATTTTCATGCCCTGCTAGGGTCAGGAACCATTGCTGTTACTGAAGCAGGGAGTGATGAAGTAGGCCTGTGGATCTTTCTAAATGTGGAAATCCCCCAAACCCCTTCCCCAACACAGATTTTCATACAATGTCTGAGATGTACTAAATAGGAAGATACAAATTCTATCTGGTTAGGGAAGAACATGTACCACCCCAAGTCCCATTGGGTCAGCTTGCCAACTCTATACCCATCAAGGTCAAAGCCAGCCTAGCCGTCCAACATGGTTTTTAATGTTGGGAAGTTAACCATTAAAAATGGCATCAGAGGCCGGGCGCGGTGGCTCACGCCTGTAATCCCAGCACTTAGGGAGGCCTAGGCAGGTGGATCACTTGAGGTCAGGAGATCGAGACCAGCTCGGCCAACATGGTGAAACCTCGTCTCTACCAAAATACAAAAAAAAGCTGGACGTGGTGCGCGCGCCTGTAATCTCAGCTACTCGGGAGGCTGAGACAGGAGAATGGCTTTGGAGGTTGCAGTGAGCCAAGATTGCGCCACTGCACTCCAGCCTAGGCAACAGAGTGAGACTCCCTCTCAAAAAACACACACACACACACACACATTAAAGAGCATCGTTGTGTGTGAGGGGCTCAGGGGGCACATTTTTAAGGAGATCACAAGTGAATGAGCACTTGACAGCTCTGGCTGGAGCCCGGGGACCCTGATCAAAGATGCTCTTTCCCAGTGTCCGGCTGCCCCTGGCCTTCCTGCATTCACCACTGGCAGGCACGTGCCCTGAATGGGCTTGTCCCGAGCCTCTTCAGTGCACAAACTCCTTCGGGGTAAGGAGCCAACTTCTGTTCTCCAGACCACCCCTCAAACTTCCTGCTGTGGGGATCCATACCCTGCAGGACCTGCACCGAGCCAGAGCATGAAGGTCCACCATGGCCCCAGCCTGGAGTGCAGACTCCCATTGGAGGGAAGCCCCTGTGTCTTCTTGCATCTGAACCCTGGGGTGCTGGGTGACCACTGGCAGAAGATCCTTTACAGCTCTGCTGGGGGATGGTAAGGAAGTAAGCCGCTTATTTCAGGTATCTGGCGGAGAGTCAACCAGATGTTGGAGAGCCTCTGGACACTGAGCTTCTAGGACGCTGAACGTTCTCTGCTTTTACATGCATGCAATGCCTGTCAAGGCCTGGGCTCTGATGACTCTAAAAGCCAACTCTGCGTTTCTGCTTTTGGACCTGAGCTCCTCCTCTTCCCACTCCTCCCTCTGCCTCAACTTTTAAAAATTAAAAACAAACCAACAAACAAAAACATGTAGCAGCTGCCCTTACCAAAGAGCACTGCCTTAAACAAGTAGAGGATGAGTACATTTTCTCCCACCTTTCTTTTCTGGTAGCTTAAGGGCTAGAACCAAAAAAAACCAGAAAGTTTACATTTGCAGAGCATTATTAATGTCCTCCAAAATGCTGCTTTCACAGATCCCCTCTTAATATCATCGGAAAACCCACGGCTGGGTAGAATTATCTCCATTTGACAAACAGTGACCTAAAAGCACCAGGTCAGAAAGCAGGCTGTACAGATCTCAGCCAGGCCTCTCGGCTCACATCCTTCCTCACTCCCTGGACTGGGCCTGGCTTGAGGGAGTGGGTCGGGGAGCTTAGCTTTCAAAAGCAGCTCTGAGATTCTAGGCCTCCTGGTTCTGGTCACAGGAGCAAGGCCCCTAGACTCCAAAAATATCCATTAAAGAGTGTTCTGATTGGAAGTCTACCTGTGGAATTCAAAATGGAACAGAATGATCATGTTTCCCCTATTGCTTTCAAGAAAAAAAGAAAAGGTTTCCAATGAAATTTGAAAATAAAAGGCTGGCCAGGCACAGTGGCTCACGCCTGTAATCCCAGCACTTTGGGAGGCCAAGGCAGGTGGATAACTTGAGCTCAGGAGTTCGAAACCAGCCTGGGCAACAAGACCCTGTCTCTACAAAAAAAATGTTTAAAAAATTAGTTGGGTGTAGTGTAGTCCCAGCCTGTAGTCCCAGCTACTTGGGAGGCTGAGATGGAAGGATCACTTGAGCCTGGGAGGTGAGGCTGTGGTGAGCTGTAATCACGCCACTGCACTCCAGCCTGGGTGACAGAGTGAGACCCTGTCTCAGAAAAAAGAAAGGTCAAAGATAGTGAAGACAATGGGTTCGAGTCCTTGGTTTCTTGGAGAGCACATTGGCAGAGTCATCAGGGTGGAGGAACATATGCTTGTGTCTGTTATTACAGGACTGAATTTTTATTAGAATTACTGCTCCAGTTCGTGTTGATGCAGCAGGGCTGAGCACCAGCTAAACCTGCATGGACAGATAAAGAGTTGATGGGGATTTATTTATTTATTTATTTATTTATTTATTTTTAACGAGAAGAGGAAGAAAGGAAGAAAGTAAATCTCACTCGTTCATCAGGTAGTGACTACTGATCATGGTTGTGCTTTCTGCCTGGAGCTGCCACGAAGCTCCAGGCTAACATTGGACTTTGTCCTTCTTAAATAATTGCTTATCTTTTTGCTTTCTGTGTCATCTACCTCACTCCACCCTGGTACAAGCCAGAGGAAATCATCCTCTCTCTGAACCCGTGTAGCATTTTATCCAGGGATTTATGTCTTCCCGCCTCAGCTTGTGGCTATTTGTTGGCTTTACCTCCTCTGATGAACTGTATGCTCCTGAGGACGATGACCATGCCTTATCCTTCTGTGTGTCCTTCAAAATAGCCAGATTGTGTTTAATGCATTATTAATATCTACAAGTGTGGAATGAATGTTGGCTAAATAGGGTTTTTTTTTTTTTTTTTTTTTAAGTCTGTCCATGAAGAAAAAGGAACTAGGAGTACTCCTTTCTTTCTTTTTTTTTTTTTTTTTTTTTGAGACAAGATCTCAGACTGGAGCCAGGCAAACACAGTTCACTGCAGCCTCAACCTCCTGGGCTCAAGTGGTCTTCCCACTTCAGCCTCCCAAGTAGCTGGAACCACAGGTGTGCACCACCATGCCTGGCTAATTTTTAAAATTTTTTTGTAGAGACAGGATCTCTCTATGTTGCCTAGGCTAGTCTTGAACTCCTGGGCTCAAGCAATCCTCCCACCTCAGCCTCCCAAAGCTCTGGGATTACAGGCGTGAGGCACCACACCTGGCTGGGAGTTCTTCCTTTAACAATGAAAATGTCTTAACTCATCATATATGTTTCCTTTTTTGCTTTAGCTATCGATAGCTTCAATTACCTTAGTGTCTAACTGCTATAACATTGTCCAGGTAGAGGACCAGGACTGCAATAGACACACCTGTGTGCTCCTCAAGGCTCAATTTCTTTCTTTTTTTTGAGACAAAGTCTCACTCTGTCACCCAGGCTGGAGTGCAGTGATGCAATCTCGGCTCACTGCAACCTCCACCTCCTGGGTTCAAGCGATTCTCCTGCCTCAGCCTCCCAAGTAGCTGGCATTACAGGTACCTGCCACTGCGCCTGGCTAATTTTGGTATTTTTAGTAGAGACGAGGTTTCACCATCTTGGCCAGGCTGGTCTTGATCTTCTGACCTCGTGATCCACCCGCCTCAGCCTCCCAAAGTGCTGGGATTACAGGCGTGAGCCCCTGCACCCGTCCTCAAGGCTCAATTTCTTGGTCCTGGTTGCTGGAGAGGTTGCAGTCCAGCCTCTGGCTTCCCAGGCCTTCCCAGTGCTCAGTACCTCCATTGTTTCTCTGCACCCCCTGCATTGTACAGGTTTTTTTTTTATGTCTGTTCCCCTCTTCCCCATGAACATCAAGTCTGTGAGCCCCTTGTGGGCAGGGACCCAGATTCCACCATATGCACCCCTGAGCCCTGGTGCCATACTGGCCTGGGGGAGCCATTGGTTGGGGAAGGTGTTGTATGGGTTCATCACTGTCTCAAAACCGGAGGAGCCACAGCCCAGAGGAGGAAGCCGGCGGAGTTCTGGTATCGTTGCTGCAGCTGGTGTTGTGAATCAGGCCGACGAGCAGCGCATCCTCTTACCCGGCTATTTCACGACACCAGGGTTGCATCATACCCATCCTCTCCAGGCGAGCCTCGTGGGACCGGGCCGGACGCAAGGACCTGGGGATGGGGTTGGGGTGGGAGTCTGTGTGTGAAAGCTTGTCCTCTGTAGCTCACTGGATCTCAGCCCAGACTGCTCCTCAGAATCACCTGGCAGCTTTCAAAAAACTCTGATGTCTGCCCCTCACCTCCTCTTGCCGAGGTCCACAGAATCTCCAAGGTGGGGCCCTGGAATCAGCATTGTTAGAGGTTCCAGTGTGATGCCGAAGTCTGTGAGTAGTCAAGGGTGGGCCCTGGAACTCATAGCCAGGGTCATTGTCTGTTCCAGCCTGATTGTTGCCATAGCCTTCACCTGGCCCTCCCTGGCCCCATTTCTTTCTGCCTTGCACCGTTCACCACACCACTGCTGCCCTGGGCCAGCTTTTCAGAAACAGATGGGGCCTGAGACCCCAGGACAAAGGCCAGGCTTCTTACCCTGGCCTTCAAGGCCTTCCCATCAGGGTTCTCTACTTGGAAACAATACAATAATTTCCCCCATAGAGCTCTCCCGTGTCCCTCCTTCCTTTGAACCCTGCCCCACACAAATCCACATGCTGGTTCTGTTGGCTCTGCCTTCAGAATCTGTCTCAGCTCCCAAACCTTCTTACCATCCTGCCATCCCACAGCTATTCCCCAAGTCTGGCCATCACTGTCCTGTACCTTCAATGGCCCCTGACTAGTTGTTTTTTTTTTTTTTTTTTTTTGAGACGGTGTCTTACTCTGTCACCCAGGCTGGAGTGCGATGGGGAAATCTCGGTTCACTGCAACCTCCGCCTCCCGGGTTCAAGCAATCGTCCCACCTCAGCCTCCCGAGTAGCTGGGATTACAAGCACCCGCAATCATGCCCAGCTAATATTTGTATTTTTGTAGAGACGGGGTTTCATTGTGTTGGTCAAGCTGGTCTTGAACTCCTGACTTCAGGTGATCTGCTTGCCTCAGCCTCCCAAAGTGCTGGGATTATAGGTGTGAGCCACCATGCCCACTGACTAGTCTTACCTAGCCCTTCTCCCTCAGCCCATTCTCCAGACAACAGCCAAAATAAGCTTGTAAAAATAAACCTGACCATTGTAGAATAGAATAGGACACTTCTAACCCTGGCCTATAAGGCTGGATGTTCCCTTTTACATGTCTTGAATGCCAACTCCTTGGTCCCTCTGCTCCAGCCACACAGGCCTCCTTGCCAGTCTCGAAGCCCACACCACAGTCCTGCCAGAGGGCCTTTGCACATGCTTTGCCCTCATCTGGAACCCCTGTGCTCATACCTGCTCACATGTGGGTGGCTCCTTCTCATTGTTGGAGCTTGGCTCGAATTTCTCAAAGAGGCCTAATGTACCCTTCCTAAGAAAAAAAAAGCTTTGTTTTCTTAACAGCACTTATCACTAAATGTATTATAATACTTGCTTGTTTATTTACCGTCTCTTCCATTAGAATGTGAGCTCTAGGAGGGCAGGGTCTCTGTCTTGTTCCCTGTGGTGCCTCCCTTGCCTAGCACAGGGCATGGTATGCAGTGGGCACTCAATAAACGCAGTGGAATGAAGAAACAATTGGATCCCTTTTAGCCTCATCTCCCAGTATTTCTTCCCTCCTTTCCCCACCCCACAGCACTATGTGGGCCTCAGTCCCACTGCCTCTCCCCCTGCAATGACCACACCCCTCCTGAGCTCCTTTCCCTCCTCTCCCCTGTCATCTCCCCTCCATCCTTACCCACACACCTCCCTTCCCCTCTCCCCTCTCCTTCCTCTGGACAGCCTTCCTCCTCTGCTGGCCAGTTGCATGATCTCCTTGCTGGTCTGTCTGCCAGGTTAGGCTGTGAGGTCCAGTGCTTGGTACACAGGAGGAGCACAATAAATGCTGAGTTGCCTCTGTAGCCGCAAAGACAGGAGGCCCTGAGATTCTGAGGTTGCAGCAGGGCCTTCTGTCCTCACCATTTCAGGACCTGCATCTGGGGTTTCTGCTTCTCTGGGGTTTCCGCATCTGTGGTTTCCTGACGGCTGAAAGTTTCAGTTTCTTCACTGCTCCTGTTCTGTCTGAGAGCCAGGAGATCCGAGGGGCCCACTGCACTCAGCCAGGGGCGAGGGATGCCTGGTAGAAGTGTCATTTCTATTTTGCTGCTGCAAAGCTGATGTTCACCCAGGTCAATTTCACGCTCAAAGTCATACAGAAACGGCGAGAACTGAGACTCTGCGGCCAAATCAAGGGCTTTGCTCCAGGTACACAGAACCTCAGATCAGAAAGGCCTGGCCCATGGGTTCTCCTGGAAGCCAGAGTCCTGAAAGGTAGGGACTGTGTGTGACCTAGCACTGTGTCCCCACCAACCATCAAAAAGAGTGCCTCTGTAAACATTTCTGAAATTGATTAAATTCCATCCAAATGCAGGCTTCCCCTTCCTGGGGGTCTGTGCTTTGGGACAAGGTGTCTGCAGTCTCTTGGCATGTCCTATGATGAGTCCTTCGAGGGGACCTGCTAAAACCCTCTCTTACCCCATAGAGAGGCAGAGGGGCAGAAGAGGTTTCTTGAAGCAGCAAATGTACCCCTCCAGAGCAGAAAGGGACTTTGGAGCTGTCTAGGCCAGGGTTTTCTGGAGGGAGGAGCAAGTGACTTGCCCAAGGTCACCCTTGGCAAGCACAGTCAGGGCCCCTCACTCTGCCCAGGACCACAGCACTGCTGGAAACCAGCCCAGGCCCCCTCAGGCTCCTTCCTCTGTGAGATCTTAATCAAGAATTTTCCACAGCTGCCCAGGGACAGGGTGTGTAGGAATGGTGTGAGCAGATAAAGGGCAGCTGTGATTTTCGCCAGTCAAATGGCAGTTTAAAAGGCAGACGAGTGATAAGATCTACCCCGAGGGCCCAGTGGGAGGTAATGAGCAGAGAGAGGCCTCCACAAATCCTCTCCCCTAACAAAGCCAGGGTGGGGCCCTCAAGCCTTCAGCCCCACTGGCAGATGCCTCTCTGAGGAGGGGCTGGGAATCCAGGGAAGTGGGTAGGGAGGCCTGTGGGTCATTAAGAGGCGCCCTGAGAAGATTTAAAAATTAACACATATGGTAAATGTATAAGCTTTGCAAAAAAAAAAAAGTGCACAGTGATCGTAACATTTGGGGTTTGTCATTGAGGTCCTGTTATCCTCAGCTCACCTCTAGATGCGAAACTAGAGGCCGAATGCTGAGCTGGGAGGGCCTGTGGAGTGGCCACTTTCATCAGCCCCGCTTGGGGTCATTCTGTCAGCCAAGGATTTCCATGGAATCACCCTTTGCCCTCTTTGCTTCTGCGTCCCCTTCATAATTCAACAAGCGTTTGTCGAATACCCACTCTCTACTGTTTTGTTGCTTGGGATCATCCCTGAACAAAGCAGGGCCAGATCCCTGCGCTTGTGAGTCTAACAAGGTGGATGAAATTTCTGTCTCCTCCCTAGAAAAGTGCACTGACGTATGAAAACTTATCCATGATTTTGTGGGACTCCTAGACACTCATCTTGGAGGTGGATTCCCCAACAGTGTTTGCTGCCCTAACACAGGCTGAGCATTTCATCTACCCCTTCTGCCTGGCCCTACAGCTGGGTGGGTACACCTGTCCCCAGCACCTCTGGAAGAGGAGTAAGAGGTTAGCAAGAGGGACAGAGTGAGCCAGCCAGGCCTTCCTGTGAGTTCTCAATCATCCAGTGCTGACTGGCTGTTGGGGGTCATGGAGCCCTAAGGATTTCGAGCACCATGGAGCCAGTCCTCTGGGGGACCTGTGTGAACTCTGTGAGCCCAAGCCCGAGAGGCAGGGCTAGGGAGGGAGAGGAAGTATGTCCCTCCATGTCCCTCCCAAGGATGACCAGAGCTACAGCATAAGCCAAGCTCAGATGTCTACAGCTGGCAATAGCCTTTCTATCCCCTGCCTCCAGGAAGAGCAACTTATTCTCTAAGAATCAGGTCAGGGGTCCCCTCCTCCAGAAGCCTTCCCTGGTTGTCCCTACCCTGACCCTCCTCCAGGGACACCTCTCCCATTGCTACCCTCACTACACAGCTGGGCTGATCTGTTTCCATGCTGATTTCCTGAACGAACTCAGCAGCATCATGAGCACAGGCGCAGTGCCCACCATGTGTGTCCTTGGCTCCTATCGCACCCACCTATGGCATGGTGGGTGGTCAATAAAAGTTTGTTGGGTGAATGGCTGCAAGATGGAAACCTCAGCAGAGGTGACAAAGAGATCAGTGATTTTCTGGTCAGCCGCTAGATCACCCCACTCCTGAGTAGCAGACTCCAAGATAGGGGAGTGTGTGCAGGGCATTCAACAGGGAGCCTCTTGTGGTCAGTACTTGTGGGTAGAAGGGAAGGAAGCAGGGCTGGGCAGAGGGAGAAGTGAGCTTCGGTGTATACCCAAAGCCTCAGCTGGGGCAGGGTGTCAGCTCTTTATAGCCACATCCGTCAGTCATTGAATGCTGGCCTCTTGGAGGAAAGGTGACAACAGGTGAGGCCAGCACCATAGGGGCTGACACTGAGAGCCCTCACAACAGCTGGGAAAATACGCCCTCCATTTCTAGTGACACATCAAGTGTGCGCCCACTAACTCATCTCTCCAGACCCTAACTCACCTCTTTCATCCCCTGACAGCTCAAATTTCCACCACTGCCTCCCTGCAATGGCTTAGGCACCTCTGGTAACAAGAGTGCTGCTCCCATGCCACCTGCATGCAAGGTGTGGCCTCAGAGTGCTGGCAAAATCGGGTCCTGATCTGCTCCAGCACTGGTAGGGTGACTGCTCCTATGGGAGCTGGGGTGCCCTGTCTGGGATGGCTTCAGGAGCCAGGAAAGGCGCTGGCTCCCCAAGCTTTATAACCCAATGGCCCTGCAGGCAGGGCCCAGGGAAACATGGCCCACACTTTGGGTGATGCCTAGGGGCCCTGGAGGCCACCGCCTGGTCCCAGGCCCCAGGGCTTGTCAGTCTATTGGTGGATATGGATTACAATTCTGACCTGCTGAGCTCTGGTTTGGAGTTACTTGTAGATGTCTCTGGAGGTACACATAGACATTGGGAGACAGGTTGGAGCTAGAGAGACTAATGTGTGTGTGTGTGTGAGAGTGTGTGTGTGTGTGTGTGTATATATACACATCTTTTTAAATATTATACCAGCTAAGCGCAGTGGCTCACGCCTGCAATCCCAACACTTTGGGAGGTGGGAGGCTGAGGTAGGAGACTCACTTGAGTCCAGGAGTTTGAGACCAGCCTGGGCATCCAGGGTCAGGTGGTTGGGGTGACTTGAGACCCCATCTCTACAAAAAGTAAAAACAAATTAGCCAAACATGATGGTGTATGCCTGTGGCCCCAGCTACTTGGGAGGCTGAGGTGGGAGGATTCTTGAAGTCTGGTGGTTGAGGCTTCAGTGAGCTGCGATTGTGCCACTGCACTCCAGCCTGGGTGACAGAGCCAGAACCTGTCTCAAAAAAAAAAAAAAAATTATATAATTCATCTATTCAAAACTACTAAATAATTTTTTTTTTTTTTCGAGACAGAGTCTTGCTCTGTCGCCCAGGCTGGAGTACGATGGTGCGATCTGGACTCACTGCAACCTCTGCCTCCTGGGTTCAAGCAATTCTCCTGCCTCAGCCTCCCAAGTAGCTGGGACTACAGGTGCCCACCACCATGCCCAGCTAATTTTTGTATTTTTAATAGAGACAGGGTTTCACCATGTTGGCCAGGCTGGTGATCCATCCACCTCAGCCTCCCAATATTAAATAAATTTTTTAAATCCAAATACTAATATGAGAGGTTTTTGAACTCTCATAGAGTAGGACCCAGAGTGTGTCCTCAGGCTAAGGGAGGACACCACCCCTCATATTGTCTTATGCCCAGTTTCTGCTTCCAAAGAAAGAAAAAGTAAAAATTAAAAGGCAGAAATGAAATCCACAAGCAGACAGCCCGGCGCCACACCCTGGGCCTGGTAGTTAAAGATCGAGCCCTGACCTAATCGGTTATGTAATCTATAGATTACAGACATTTTATAGAAATGCACTTTGAAAATCCCTGTCCTGTTTTGTTCCAATCTAATGATCGGTGCATGCAGCCCCCAGTCACGTACCCCCTGCTTGCTCAATCAATCACGACCCTCTCACATGCACCCCCTTAGAGTTGTGAGCCCTGAAAAGGGACAGGAATTGCTCACTCTGGGAGCTCGGCTCTTGAGACAGGAGTCTTGCCGATGCCCCCCGGCCGAATAAACCCCTTCCTTCTTTAAGTCGGTGTTTGAGGAGTTTTGACTGCAGCTCGTCCTGCTACAAAGCCACCAGGCTATCTCTAGGATCCCTTATGGGGCCCCTCAGGGTCCTCTCTGACAACTCCTTCTTGGGTCCTGGCTGAAGATCTCTGCTGCCCCCAGACTCAGAAGAGCCACTCCAGGACTCAGGGAGTGGCTGGCTTTGGGCCAGCCCAGCCCTCCAGATCCAAGGCGGGTCCCCTATCTCCACAATCAAATGGTGTTCTGCCTCCGGCCCTGTCCGGGGACCCTGCTCACCAGCCACGGGCGGTTTAGGCCAACCTCCCTGCCTCCTCCCCAGTGCAGACGCAGCCTATAAAACCACCCTGTGTGTCCTTGCGGATCCTGGCCCCTCCCTGGACACCCAGGCGACAATGGCAGAACTGCCCACAACAGAGACGCCTGGGGACGCCACTTTGTGCAGCGGGCGCTTCACCATCAGCACACTGCTGAGCAGTGATGAGCCCTCTCCACCAGCTGCCTATGACAGCAGCCACCCCAGCCACCTGACCCACAGCAGCACCTTCTGCATGCGCACCTTTGGCTACAACACGATCGATGTGGTGCCCACATATGAGCACTATGCCAACAGCACCCAGCCTGGTGAGCCCCGGAAGGTCCGGCCCACACTGGCTGACCTGCACTCCTTCCTCAAGGTAAGTGCTGTCTCAGAAGACTGGCCACTTCCCTGCTGTGTGACCTCGACCCAGCTACCTAACCTCTCTGAGCCTCAGTTCTGTCATCTGTGCCATGGGGATGGAGGAGCGTCTTCTTCCTGGGTTGAGAGGCCCCAGTGAAATAGTGGAGCTGCAGAAATCTGGGCACATGTTGGAATGTATATTAGCCAATCACTAGCAACCCAAAGCTAGAGTGGGAGGCCTAGAGAGGTAATGAGCTTCCAGTGAGTAGAAGCATGCAAGCAGGTTGCACACCCCTGAAAGAGACAGGGCAAGAAGGGCCTGGGAAGGTTCACCTCAGAGAGAGGGCTCGCCGGGTTTGCTGCCCGGGAGGCTGGACTGTGAAGAGTGGAGGGCTGGAAGGTGGATTGTCATGACCCCTGTCTGGCCTCACTTTTCCCATATGACAATTGGGCTGAATTGTTCTTTTTTCTTTTCTTTTCTTTTCTTTTCTTTTTTTTTTTTGAGACGGAGTCTGGCTCTGTCGCCCAGGCTGGAGTGCAGTGGTGTGATCTCGGCTCACTGCAACCTCTGCCTCCTGGGTTCAAGTGATTCTCCTGCCTCAGCCTCCCGAGTAGCTGGGATTACAGGAGCGCACCACCACACCCAGCTAATTTTTGTATTTTTAGTAGGGATGGGGTTTTGCCATATTGGCCAGGCTGGTCTTGAACTCCTGACCTCAAAGGATCCACCCACCTTGGCCTCCCAACGTGCTGGAATTACAGGCATGAGCCACCACGCCCAGCCCAGAATTGTTCTTGATTCTGAGGCTAAGACTTACTAAATTCGCAGGCCTTTTCTCCACCCCAGAGCAAACCAAGACATGGCCCTTGGCTCCATACTGAGATGAAGTGCCAGGAAGAAAGCCCCAGAGGAGGGCGTCAGTCACTTGGGGCACAAACTAGGAGACCTCCCAGTGCCCCAGAGGTAGAGGCCTGGTTTCAAGACCCAGCCCTCCAGGGACCAACTATGTGGCCTTGGACAAGCTTTCACCTCTCCAGGGTGATAATAATCCTGTCGCCCATTACAAGGCTAGGCAACTGCCTAATCACTTCTAAGGCCACTGCTCTCCTAGGGGGAGGAGGTGTTATGAGCAGGAGCGCCCAGGACTCCCAGTCTCCCATGGCATCTGATCTTGGATCACTGCAACCTCCACCTCCTGGCTTCAAGAGATCCTCCTATGTCAGCCTCCTGAGTAGCTGGGACCACAGGTGCACACCACCATGCCCAGCTAATTTTTGTATTTCTTAGTAGAGACAGGGTTTTACCTTGTTGCCCAGGCTGGTCTTGAACTCCTAAGCTCAAGCAATCCACCCACCTTGGCCTCCCAAAGTGCTTTTACTACAGGCGTGAGCCACTGCTCCTGGCCTAGGGAGCATTTTAAAAGCCCCTCAAGCAGCTCAACACCCAGTGGGCTGAGGGGTCGGGGGGTGCTCGGTATGGGGCGCAGTGGTGCAGGTCAGTGGGCTGGATGCAGAGACGCCGTCCCTAGCACCCCTACCTGCCTGACTTGTGGTCTCTGGGCTGCCAGCAGGAAGGCAGACACCTGCATGCCCTGGCCTTTGACAGCCGGCCCAGCCACGAGATGACTGATGGGCTGGTGGAGGGCGAGGCAGGCACCAGCAGCGAGAAGAACCCCGAGGAGCCAGTGCGCTTCGGCTGGGTCAAGGGGGTGATGGTGAGTGGGGTGTGGGTGGTGCGTGATGTCCAGAAATGGGGGTGGGGTGGCAGAGCTCCATCCAGGCTCAGCTCTGACTCTCAGGCCCTGGTGGGGCTTCAGTTTCCCCATCTGTACAATGAATTCAATGAGTTAATAGATCAATAGACAATAGATTAAAGCCTGCCGGGGAGTAATTAGAAGAAACTGTGTTTCCCTAAAAAGCCACCAGGGGGCTGCACTAAACACACAAATCCGTAAATGTGTTTTTCTCCTCCATGAAGGGAAGGAAAAGGTTTGCTATAGTGAGGAGCAGGATTAAGTTTCCAGACAGTAGACAATCAAGGACACTTGGCTTTGGAGACATTATGGGACTTTACAGAGGGGATCTTATGGGATGTAGAAGGCTTTAGCCCTGCTCCGGGAGGCAGGAGGCTGGGGTTCTGATCTTAACGCTGCCAACTGGCTGTGCCTCCGTTTCTCCATCTGAACCACGAGCCCTCCCCGACCCCCAGATGCTCTTATTCAGAGCTGGGATCTCCCTCCTGGGCTGTGTTGCCAGAGCCGGGAACGGCCCTGCAACTCAGTGGGGCCAGCGACCACACCAGCCCCTCCCACCTGGAAGCTTCAGCCTCCATCTCGGCCTCTGGCTTTGCTTTAAATTTGGAAGCTGAAGTCACAGCCACCTGAGCTCTGATATCTGCTCTTACATGGGGCGCTGGCTCACCTGGCATTTGCTGAGCTCCCTGTAAATGCCAGGCTCTGGATCAACTGCTGACCACTGGGGCCATGGTCGGGGCTGGCAGACACAGGATCCTGGGCTTGGGATGGATACAGTGAGGGCTAACAGTGCTGGTAGCCTAGCGTCAGGACTCAACGGGAGGGTGGGAAAATAGGTGGGAGGGATAGGTGGGTCTCTGGGTGCCTCTCACCCTCTTGCCCCATAGAACCAGACTCGGAACCTACTGAAGTGGGTGAAGAAGGGACCCAGGTGTCCCTAGGGCCTAGGTGCTCGATACCCTGCCATAGCAAGGGACAGGGACTTGTCGTTTGGCCTTGGGGTGTCCACCCAGGTGGCCTCTGACCCCCCTGTCCTCCCAGATTCGTTGCATGCTCAACATTTGGGGCGTGATCCTCTACCTGCGGCTGCCCTGGATTACGGCCCAGGCAGGCATCGGTGAGTGCCCCTCTGGGGAAGAGGAGGGAGGGCTTGCCTGAATCCCATTCTTCCCAGCTTGCCTGAATCCTGTTCTTCCCAGACCCCAAGGTTGCAGGATTAAACTTGAGGTGCAGAGACCAAACGGCCAGGCCTTCTCCTCCCTGGTTCAGTCTCAGGCCCCTGCAGTGACAGGGGTCAGGGTGGTGTGGCAGAGGCACGCTGGACATGGGGTCAGCAGGCCTAAGGGCTATTTGCCCTCAGTAAGCCACTTAACCTCTCAGAGCCCATTTCTACCTCAAAGCGTGCAGGTTAGAAAGCTGCACTCTGGCCGGGCACGGTGGCTCACGCTTTGGGAGGCTGTAATCCCAGCACTTTGGGAGGCCGAGGCAGGTGGATCACGAGGTCAGGAGTTCAAGACCAGCCTGGCCAACATGGTGAAACCCTGTCTCTACTAAAAATATTAAAAAATTGGCCAGGCGTGGTTGGCAGGTGCCTGTAATCCCAGCTACTCGGGAGGCTGAGTCAGAGAATTGCTTGAACCTGGGAGGCAGAGGCTGCAGTGAGCCGAGATCACGCCACTGCATTCCAGCCTGGGCAACAGAGTGTGAAACTCCATCTCAAAAAAAATAAAAAATAAAAAAGAAAGCTGCATTCTGGACAGAACAGGACTCAGATGCTAGCTCTGTAGCCTGCTATGTGACTTTGGGCAAGTTTCTTAACCTCTCTGAGCCTTGGATTCCTCATTAGGAAAATGAGGGTGATAACAGAACCTACCTCATGGAACCGTTGTGGCTTTTACAGGATGCAAGTAAAAACACAGCGCAGATTTGGCTCCCAGAGGTGATCACGGAGTGGTAACTGCTACTTTATTTTTTATTATTAAACGAGGGTAGCTTCCCCTCCATACCTAACAATCCAATAAATGCTGGCTCAAGGGCTCACTGGCTATTCAGAGTATGACAGGAGGTAGACAGAGACCCATTTTTTTTTTGAGACGAAGTCTCACTCTGTCACCCAGGCTGGAGTGCAGTCGCGTGGTCTCGGCTCACTGCAACCTCCGCCTCCTGGGTTCAAGCGATTCTCCTGCCTCAGCCTCCTAAGTAGCTGGGATTACAGGCATGTGCCAGCATGCCTGGCTAATTTTTGTATTTTTAGTAGAGACGGGGTTTCACCATGTTGGCCAGGCTGGTCTTGAACTCCTGACCTTATGATCTGCCCGCCTCGGCCTCCCAAAGTGACAGAGACCCATTTTTCAGATGAGAAAACTGAAGCTCAGAGAAGGGAGATGAACGTAGGTCGCATGGTGAATGAGTAGGCAAACTGGGGCTCCTCCCTTGGGAAATGCCCTGCCTAAGCTTTGGGTGCCCCCTGCAGTCCTGACCTGGATCATCATCCTGCTGTCGGTCACGGTGACCTCCATCACAGGCCTCTCCATCTCAGCCATCTCCACCAATGGCAAGGTCAAGTCAGGTGGGCCATCCCCCTTTCCACCAAGGCCCTCCTCTCGTGGGCTCCTAATCCTGGGAACAGGACTCCCAACTTCCCCAACCCAATGGTACACCCAGCCGCTCCTGTGGTTCCGGGAGAGGGCTCTAGGCAGGCTGTCTACACCACGAGATGGCCTCAGCTATCTCCTGCCCCGTGGGTCCTGTGGCCACCCTCTCCTGGCCTCTGCCTGCCCTGAGTCCACCCCAGCCAACCGACTCATCTGGTTTCATGGTTCCCGGCTCTGCCCTGATAGGTGGCACCTACTTCCTCATCTCCCGGAGTCTGGGCCCAGAGCTTGGGGGCTCCATCGGCCTCATTTTCGCTTTCGCCAATGCCGTGGGTGTGGCCATGCACACGGTGGGCTTTGCAGAGACCGTGCGGGACCTGCTCCAGGTGAGGCCGGGGGGCTGGACCCTGGGTAGAGGGATCCGGGCAGCCCATTGCACTCTCCTCCGCCCCATCTGGGCTGGGGCCTCCTGCTGCTCTGCCTGACTTCACCCATCAGGAACCACAGCCTGATCACTGTGGGTGAGAGTGACAATCTCATCAAATAAAGGCCATTGCTTTCCCACAAGTCCCCTTTGGGGGTGTGTGTGGCCTTTAGAGCCACACTGTCCAGGCCCGTGCAGCAGCTGCTTTGGGGACTCGATGGCAGGGGTGGTGCTTGAGTTAACATCGTCCTAGCAGAGTGCACCGCACAGGAGGTGCCTCCTAGGTGGGCAGAGTCTGGGGGATGGGGAATTCAGAGGGTGGCTTGCAGCCTGGCCCATTTTCCCTCCCCAGGAGTATGGGGCACCCATCGTGGACCCCATTAACGACATCCGCATCATTGCCGTGGTCTCGGTCACTGTGCTGCTGGCCATCTCCCTGGCTGGCATGGAGTGGGAGTCCAAGGTGAGGAGGCCATGGAGGAGGGGGACATGGAGGTGGTCACGTGGAGAAGCGGGGGTTGCCAGGCCTGGGCCCTCCCTGGTCCTCTGCCTTTTCTTTTTCTTTTCTTTTTTTTTTTTTGAGACAGAATCTCGCTCGATGTCCATGCTGGAGTGCAGTGGTACCATCTCGGCTCACTGCAACCTCCATCTCCCAGGTTCAAGAGATTCTCCTGCCTCAGCCTCCCGAGTAGCTGGGATTACAGGCACCTGCCACCACACCTGGCTAATTTTTATATTGTTTGTAGAGACGGGGTTTCACCATGTTGGTCAGGCTGGTCTCAAACTCTTGACCTCAAGTGATCTGCCCGCCTTGGCCTCCCAAAGTGCTGGGATTACAGGTGTGAGCCACTGTGCCCTGCTGCTTTGTATCTCTTGTGTGACAACCTAGGTCCACATGGCCCAGGGTGGGCATGGTGGCTCAGGGGGCCGGGCACCCAGACTCCTTCCATCTTGTGCTCCCTCCATCCCTGCGCCGTGGCCTTTGTCCACCTGGTCCACCATACCCACATCCCCTCCAGTCAGAGGGAAAGCAAAGAAGGGGGAAATGAAAGGGAGGGAATTCCCTTTTCTCTTTCTTTTTATGGCACCATCTGGAAGTTTCACTATCGCTGTCACACATGGCTGCGAGGGAGCCTGGGGAGGTGTGGCCTTCAACTGAATCATGGATCCTGCTGGCAGACTCAGCCGGACAGGCCCTACAGGCAGGGCAGGACCTGGCCCCTGCAGCCTGTCCTCTCCCCGCATTTTCTGACCTGCAGCTGTCAGAGGGTGTCCTCCTTGCTCTTCCTTGGATGCCCTGAGCTGAATTCCCTGGACAGTTCTCTGGCTTGTTCATTCTCCCACTTAAGGTGTCTGCTAAACACCTTCTCTCTGGTGACACCTTCCCAGGTCATCCTGCTAAATGAGCTCCACCCAGTCCCCATCACACTCCCTCTTCTTTATTTATTTATTTATTTATTTATTTTTGAGATGGAGTCTCGTTCTGTCACCTAGGCTGGGGTGCAGAGGCGTGATCTCGGCTCACTGCAACCTCCGCCTCCTCGTCTCAAGCAATTCTCCTGCCTCAGCCTCCCAAGTAGCTAGGATTACAGACACCCACCACCATGCCTGGCTAATTTTTGTATTTTTAGTATAGACGGGGTTTCACCATGTTGGCCAGGCTGATCTCGAACTCCTGACCTCAGGTGATCCGCCCACCTCGGTCTCCCAAAATGCTGAGATTACAGGTTTGAGCCACTGTTTCCGGCCTGTATTTTTAGTAGAGACAGAGTTTCCCCATGTTGGCCAGGCTGGTCTCAAACTCCTGACCTCAGGTGATCCGCCCACCTCGGCCTCCCAAACCTCTTCTTACTTTAAATTCATCCTCCTTATTTATCAGCCAAGACAAGAGGCTTTGGCGGTCTTGTTCACTGCTATATTCCCAACTCCTTGAACAGATCCTGCTGCATAATGGGTGTTGAATGAATGAGTGAGTGAATAATGGAGAAACGGGCCCTGGGCAAATCATTTTCTGGCGGGGCTTCCCAGAGAGGTAGAACAAAACTATCTGACCTCTGGGGTCCTTCGCCCCCTCCAGGCCCAGGTGCTGTTCTTCCTTGTCATCATGGTCTCCTTTGCCAACTATTTAGTGGGGACGCTGATCCCCCCATCTGAGGACAAGGCCTCCAAAGGCTTCTTCAGCTACCGGGGTATGTGCTGATCAAGGCCCTGACCATGGCTCTGGGGACAGGGACTCTCTACCCAGGAATCTGGCCCATTGTGTGGACACTGGGAGGATGGGATTACCCAATCCCATGGTCAGGGGCTGCCTGCCCAGTGGGTCCCAGCAAGGGGGGTCAAGCCCTCCAGGTGAGCCTTACTCATCAGGCCTTGCTTTTCCAGCGGACATTTTTGTCCAGAACTTGGTGCCTGACTGGCGGGGTCCAGATGGCACCTTCTTCGGAATGTTCTCCATCTTCTTCCCCTCGGCCACAGGCATCCTGGCAGGGGCCAACATATCTGGTGACCTCAAGGTGAGCAGAATACTTGCCCCTCCTGTGTCCTGGCACTGCACAGGGGCTATGAGCAGAATCCTGCCCCCTGCTCTAGTGGCATCTGCCGCTGACCTGGGAGGCAGGGCTTCTAAAATCCAGTCCAGTCCAACTCAGCTCAGTTCAACCCAATCCAACCGATTCCATTCCGTTCTGAGGTTGTTTATGAAGACCAGCTGCGTTCTAGGCTTGAGGGACACCACAGAATGGCTAGGTTCCTCCCTAGTTCCCAGAACTCTCAGCCTTAGGGGAAGACTGGCCCAGCTGTGACCTTAAGAGCCCAGCCTTGCTCATGCACATCTTTGCTGGGCTGACATCCTCCCAGGGCTCCCCACTGCCTTGCTGCAGGCAGGCTTCTTGGCTTGGCATTCAAGGCTCCAGCCTGCCTGTCTAGCCTCATCCCTGACCAGTGCCACCCTTCCCATGAGCCTGCTGCAGCCCTGAGGCTCTACTGCTTTGCCCGTGTTACCTCGTCCCTCCTCCACGCCTTTGCCTGTGCTGCGCTCTCTACCTGCAACTCCGTACGCTTGCTTTTTTACCCTGAAAGTCTGTTCTGTTTCTCTTTCTTTCTTTTTTTTTTTTTTTTTTTTTTTTTTTTTGAGATGGAGTTTTGCTCTTGTTGCCCAGGCTGGAGTGCAATGGCATGATCTTGGCTCACTGCAACCTCCGCCTCCCGGGTTCAAGCGATTCTCCTGCCTCAGCCTCCTGAGTAGCTGGGATTACAGGTGCCTGCCACCGCACCCGGTTAATATTTGTATTTTTTAGTAGAGATGGAGTTTTGCTATGTTGGCCAGGCTGGTCTCAAACTCCTGACCTCAGGTGATCCATTCGCCTGGGCCTCCCAAAGTGCTGGGATTATAGGGGTGAGCCACCATGCCTAGCCTCTTTTATTTATTTTATTTTATTTTTTTTTTTTTGAGATGAAGTCTCGGTCTGTCGCCCAGGCTGGAAGGCTGGAGTGCAGTGGCACGATCTCAGCTCACTGCAACCTCCGCCTCCCGGGTTCAAGTGATTCTCATGCCTCAGCCTCCAGAGTAGTTGAGACTACAGGCACCTGCCACCACGCCTAACTAATTTTTGTATTTTTAGTAGAGACAGGGTTTCGCCATGTTGGCCAGGCTGGTCTCGATCTCCTGACCTCAAGTGATCCACCCGATTTGTCTTCCCAAAGTGCTGGGATTACAGGAGTGAGCCACTTCTCCTGGCCTGTTTCTCTTTCAAATACCGCCTTCAACTATCATCTCTCCCAGCCCTTCCATCAGAGTCATGGTTCCCCAGCATAATGATGTTGGGCCAAACGCGTATCTGTTGCCCCGGCATCTGGAGAACGGAGACTTGCCTCTGTCTCCCTATTCCCTCCCAGCTCAGAGCCTGGCACATACTAGGTGCTCTGTACATGTTTGTTGACTGAATCATGGTGAAATGCAGTGTTTGAGCAGTAGCACAAAGTGCTGCACCAGCAGGGAGAAGGAGAGACTGATGTTGGCAGGGGTTCCAGCAGAATTTCTGGGTGCAGGAGGCGCCAGAGCTGGGCTTTGAAAGGTGACAAGCTGGCAGAACCTTTGCTCAAGGGAGGTGGCAGGCAAGAGGGGGTGATGAATGGGGAGCTAGCCCCACACTGGAAATCACAGCTAACCCCTACCCCAAACCTCCAGTCTCATTTGGAAGGCGCTCCTTGATGCATTTTCTTAAGCAAATTAAGAGCTGTGCATTGAGCCAGGCACAGTGGCTCATGCCTGTAATCCTAGCACTTTGGAAGGCCAGAGCAGGTGGATCACTTGAGGTCGGGAGTTCGAGACCAGCCTGGCTAACATGATGAAACTGTTTTAGTCTCCACTAAAAACATAAAAATTAGCCGGGTGTGGTGGTGGGTTCCTGTAATCCCAGCTACTCGGGAGGCTAAGGCAGGAGAATTGCTAGAACCCGGAAGGCGGAGGTTGCAGTGAGCCAAGATGGCGCCACTACACTCCAGCCTGGGTGACAGAGCGGAACTCCATCTCAAACCTCACCCCCCCGCAAAAAAAAGGAATGCACATGGAGTCGACTGTGAAGCCAGCGTGGCTTTAAGCAGCTATGCACCAGGTGGTGTTGGGCAGGGCCTGGAAATTGGAGAACAGCCGTTGGTTTGGCTCCTCTCCTTTTTCTGGGGAATGGCCAGCAGAGGCCTGGTCTGCCTGCCCTGAGGTCCCGCAGAGGTTGGGCCTGTGCTCAGACAGCCTGGATTCCATGCAGTCTCATTAGATCGTTGCCTGGGAATTTATCTCGATGCCTCATCAAGCTTTTTAGGTTACCAACCAGCAGGCGTCAGCTGTCTTGAAGCTGGATGAGGCCCGCGCGCCTGCACTCTGTCCTAAATGCCCTCAAGCTTTAAGGGGCTCTTGGATGGCCTCCACCCATCCTGTGGGACAGCATCCTCAGCAGCAGAGCCACTGTTTGTGGAGCCCTCACTGTGACATTTTGGGCAAGTCCCTTTAAAACTCCCTGGGCCTCAGCTTCCCCAATTCTAAAATGGGACGAGTACAGCCCCCATCTTGCAGGGCGGTGGGGAGGATTCCATGTGCTAATTCATGTAAAGTGCTTAGAATAGTGCCTGGCTCAGAGCAGGAGCTAAGGGCTTCTTGTTATCATTGTCATTTTTACCATGATATAGACAAGCAAGCCAAGGTCAGAGAGGTTCGGGGGCCTGCCCAGGACTACACAGGTGGCAGAGGAGCCGGAATGCCAGTTTCTAAAACAGAGAGGCCTCAACTACATCACAATTTCATCATCTAACAAATACGTTTTGTGCTGCCTCAGGGCATGCCCCTGTGCACAATCCTGCCCCCACCCCAACAGCTCACATTTATGGGCACTTGTCACCTGCCAAGTTATTTTCTGATTTCACAGATGGGGAAACTGAGGCTCAGGGATGTTAAGGGGCTTCTCCCAGTGCACACAGCAGGGAAGAGGTGGGCTGAGATGTGGACCTGGATGTGCCTAACGTTGTTAAATCCCCGGGCAACAATCTCAGAGTTAGGCACATCCAGGTCCACATCTCAGCCCACCTCTACCCAGCTCACCTCTTCTCTGCTTGCCTCTTCCCAGCACATCCAGAGGCTGAGATCTCAGCTCTAGATGCAGGAGGCAGGATGGGGGCTGATGGCTGGTGTATTTGTGTTTTCACCACAAATTGGGTGGCTTAAAAACAGACCTATATTCCCTCCCCGTTCAGGAGGCTAAAAGTCCGGGATCCAGGTGTCAGCAGGACCAAGCTCCCCCTGAAAACCCAGGGGAGAATCCTGCCTTGCCTCTTCCTAATTTCTGGTGGCTGCTGACAGTGGCTTTTTCTTGGCTGGCAACTGCATCACTCCAATCTCTGTCTCTGTCTCACGTGGCCTTCTTTCATCTGTGGGTCCTTTCCTTGTAAGGACACCAGTCATTGCATTTGGGGCCCACCCTAATCCGGTATGACCTCATCTTTACTAACTGCACCTGCAAAGACCCTGTTTCCAAATAAGGCCACATTCTGAGGTTCTGGGTGGATGTGAATTTTGGGGGACGCTATTCAATCCACTAGAGGCAGGGTGGGAGGCTGGTGTGTTCTGTTGGCTTTGGGGCTGGGGACCCCATGTGCATGGCCCAGTTGAGTCAAACAGGTTTGCCGGGCAGGGCTGGCAGGTCCATGCCTGCAGGGGCCCTGCAGAGCCCTGGGGTGGAGACTCCACCCAAAGCCCTGGGAGACCGAGGCAGGGAGAAGAAATTCAACAGCTCCACGTCTGGGCCACAGAGGGCACTTGGCCAAGGCTTGGAGGTCCCAGCAGACCTGGGCTCTAGAGACTCCAGCTCTACACCTCTGTTCCCATTTTCCCCAGGCCTGCCACATCCTCCCTCCCACCTCCTCCTGGTAGCCCCCCAACACACTTGACTTGCTCCTAATCTGCGGTGCCATCTGCTAACTGGATGGTGAGCAGAACAGCCCAGGGAAGGCTGGGGGGGTTTATAAATTGACTTCCCATGGCAGGCCTGGCCTTTGCCTTCAGGTTGGGGTCTGTGTCTGGAAAGTGAGCAGGTCTTGAACTTACTGTAAAAATCCCAGCCTGTGTTGCTGCACCCAGGATCAGTCCTTGGAGCCCGAGGCTGTTGACTTTGGTGTGGTCAGGCCCAGAGCTGTGTCCTCCTCGCAGCTCTCTGCCCTCAGTTTCCCCACCAGCTGAGCAGGGGTGCCCAGGCCACTTCTCAGGAAATTACATTTGAGAAAGTGCCTAGAAGAGTGGAACACATGCTGTGTTCGTGAAGGCTTGTGATCACTGTTAAGAAAATACGAGCGGCCGGGCGCGGGGGCTCACGCCTGTAATCCCAGCACTTTGGGAGGCTGAGGTGGGTGGATCACTTGAGGTCAGGAGTTCAAGACCAGCCTGGCTATCATGGTGAAACCCCGTCTCTACTAAAAATACAAAAATTAGGGCGCCTATAGTGGTGGTACATGCCTGTAGTCCCAGCTACTTGGGAGGCTAAGGCAGGAGAATTGCTTGAACCCAGAAGGTGGAGGTTGCAGTGAGCCGAGATCATGCCACTGCACTCCAACCTGGGTGACAGAGCAAGACTCTGTCTCAAAAAAAAAATAAAATAAAAATAAAAAATAATTTTAAAAAAGCAAGAAAATATGAGCAGATATTTATTTCTTAGAACGGAAGGAGAAAATTTGGGGTGTATCCTATTTATGGTTGAGGAACCAGACAAATCAATTGGTGCATAATGATTGAACACGCTGTGAGGGCTGGCGGGGAGGGGAGTCCTGGTCTAGGATGTCAATGTGGATTAATTTATTTCACCAACATCCCTGACAGATGAGGGGCCGGGGTGTGAGAGCACAGCCCCCTGCCCAGCTGGCCGCCTGGAAGTGAACCCGGGCAGGCCGACTCCAGAGCCCACCACCCTGCCCCCACCCTTACCACCCTCACAGCAAACCCTGGCCAAGTGGCCTCTGTGGCGCAGGCGTGGAGCTGTTGAATTTCTTCTCTCTGCCTCCATTTCCCAGGGCCTTGGGTGGAGTCTCCGACCCGTGATCTTGGTTGTATTCATCCCTCTCTGGGGGTCCTCAGTCATGAGGCTCCTTCCTCTCTGTGCTGGAACAGGGGCTCTGAGGGGCCAAGGTCAGAGGTTGCTGCCCCCAGCCTCAGCCTTAGACAAGGAGGACAGGCCTGGAAGGAGGCCCAGGGGCTGCCTAATGTCCTCCGTCCCTCCCTCCCTCTCTCCCTCCCTCCCTCCCTCCCTCTCTCCCTCCCTCCTTCAGGACCCTGCTATAGCCATCCCCAAGGGGACCCTCATGGCCATTTTCTGGACGACCATTTCCTACCTGGCCATCTCAGCCACCATTGGTAAGTGGCCGGCCCAGCCAGTCAGGAGGGGGAGGGACCTGGCCTCCACCCTGCAGTGTCCCAAAACCCTGACCACTGGAGGGGATCAGAGGGTGGGGTTCGACTCTCTAACAACAGGGAGAGCTGGGCTGGGAGGGTGTGGCGACCTTAGGATGTGAAGCCTTGAACCTATCTCTGGGGTATCTTGGCAATGATCAGAGCATCTTCATGGCAGTGGGCGTGGTGGGGTCAGACCAGGCTCCTTGGGTCCCTTGAAGGCCCAGATTCATGAGTGTGAAGATCCTACAGGACAAATCTAGGAGTGATGATGATGATGATGATGATGATAATGATACCAGTAACTGACTTCCCATGTGCCCCGCCCTTTGCATGCCAGTCCTATCATTGTCATTTTCCCTATTTCACCAAGGAGAAAATGGGGGCTCAGAGACGTTAAGTGACCTGCCCAGGGTCACACAGCCACTGAATGGTGGAGCCAGGCTTTGAGCCCAGGTCTGGGCTGTTAACACCTGCCTTGAACTGAGATCCTCACAGATGTACTTCCTCCCAGTGGCCCCGTTTGAGGCAAGCTGTTCACAAATGGCCAAGGGACTTGGTCCAGCTCACAGCCACTCGAGGCTTGAGATCCAGGTCTCCGATCTAAGGAGGACATTGTGATCTTGGTCACTCAAGCTCTCTGCGCCTCTGTAAAATGGCAACGACAACAAAAATAATAGTAATGCCTGCTCGTAGGTTATTGTAAAGTACTTATCATGGCTCCGGGCACACCTTCATTGTCATCATTATCATTGCATAATGAAGGGACAGCTGCCCATCATCTGCAGCACCTCGCCCTCTGCAGAGGTGGGGCTGGAAGAGGACAGAGTAAGGAGGGAAGGCAGACCTCCCCATGCTCTCCTTCCTCCTCTCAGGCTCCTGCGTGGTGCGTGATGCCTCTGGGGTCCTGAATGACACAGTGACCCCTGGCTGGGGTGCCTGCGAGGGGCTGGCCTGCAGCTATGGCTGGAACTTCACCGAGTGCACCCAGCAGCACAGCTGCCACTACGGCCTCATCAACTATTACCAGGTACTGCCAGGAGAGCTGACCCACCAGACACAGTGGGGGCTGGGTGGAGGCTGCAGGGCCCCTTGCAGGCCTGGAAGTTTGTTGGGGGGACATAGTTTTGGGGGTTGAGGCCTAGGCTTAGGAGAGAGGGGTTCAGAGCCCAGGTCTGTCCAGTCCCGACTTGTGGGTGGACACTGGGATCTCCAGGGGTGGGTTGTGGACTCAGGTGGAGGCTCAGGACCCAGCCCCTGCCCGCAGTAGGGAATGAAGTGCCACAGATGGGGGCTCCTGGCTCAGCCCCCACCGTGGAGTCCCTGAGCCCCAAATCCCCACAGACCATGAGCATGGTGTCAGGCTTCGCGCCCCTGATCACGGCTGGCATCTTCGGGGCCACCCTCTCCTCTGCCCTGGCCTGCCTTGTCTCTGCTGCCAAAGTCTTCCAGGTGAGGCCGCAGAAAGGGGTCGAGATGACAGGGGGTGGGGAGCCTGGGCTAGAGGCACAATAGGGCGGGTCCCTGGGTGACTGCTACAAACACCTGAAGGTGTCATTAGACTGGGGTCTCTAGCCAGAAGGGAAAAGGAGCTATCAGCAAACTCTTGAAGGAAGCAGCCCCCTCCGACTTGACAAACACCTGCAGTCCCCACCCCAAACTCCCACCTGTGCCACCAGCATCCTGTCCGCAACTCCACCATTCAAGCTCTACCCGAAGCCATCCATCCCCCAGTCATGCTCTTTTACTGTCTTTATGGTAGGGCGGGGAGGGTGGAGGGGGTGAGCATCCCTGTTTAATAGAAACAGACACCAGGACCCAGGTTGGGGAGGTCACGGAGGGCACCGAGCCGGGGCTGGAGCTCAGGTGGCCCCAGGGGAGGGGAAGTGGCAGGTCCCAGCCTAAGGGTGAGTGCGGCATCTGGTGCTGCAGTGCCTTTGCGAGGACCAGCTGTACCCACTGATCGGCTTCTTCGGCAAAGGCTATGGCAAGAACAAGGAGCCCGTGCGTGGCTACCTGCTGGCCTACGCCATCGCTGTGGCCTTCATCATCATCGGTAAGGCTCTGCCAGGGCTCACAGGGCCTGGCCTCCTGTTCCCCTGGCCGGCCATGAGGGTCTTGGGGGCCGGGCTCTTCTCCTGTCTCCTCATCTCCCCGCCGGGCCTGACAGTTAGTGGGCACTAAGAGGCTAAGTCTTGAGGGGTGAGACCCCACCTGGGAGGAGACATCGGGGGGCCATGTGATCCTTCCCCTTCCCACCTCCAGGCAGGGTGGCTCCCAAACCATGTCAGGCAGCAGAGCCTTCTGCTTTGTTAGAAGAGAACTTACCTGTTCCCCCGGTCTGCGTTCACATGTCCTGGCAGCTAGCATCCCCCTCCCCAGGCCTAAATGAACCCCAGAACACCTTTGGAGCATGGGACAAGCTGACTGGTCTCTCCTTGGGATGGGATACCAATGGCTGGTCAGTATCCTCATAGGTATATAAACTAGACAAACCTAGTTCCAAGGGCCTAGGGCTTCTAGACTCCTTGGGCTTCAAGGTGGTAGATGTCTTAAGAGAAAAGAGCCCAGGTAATCGGTTCATTAGATCAACTTCCTATCCAGGCTTTGCCATGTGCCAGCTGTGTGACCTTAGACAAGGTACTTCACCTCTCTGAGCCTCATTTTTCTCATCTGCAGAATGGGAGCAATAGTGCCTAACAGGTGTGTCTCAGATGGGCAGGAAGAGACCACCTGTGCAGGAAGACCTACATGCATTCATATATGCACACACACTCATATGTGCACACATACTCACATGTGCACATGCCCAATACTTGCCTAATTTACTTAGCCATGGAGGCAGAACTCGCGAGGAGAGAGGTGGCCACACCAAGCACGGGCAGTGGCCATGCTGCAACATGATGTCCCCTGGCCCCTGCTCCCTATGCAGGAGTGGGATGGGGGTAGACTACTGGCCAGCCTCCCTGGGCTCATGGGCACCCTCCTGCCAACAGTGAATCCATGCCGTTCAGGCTGGTATCACAGTCCATGAGATTTGCCCTGATAGCCTAGTCACTATTACCCAAGGTAAGCTTTTCAGACACCAGGCACTACTGGGTCCTGGACCACATGAAGAGGTGGCAGGGATGGAAAAGTCTGGTCAGACTTGATGTTCCCCGGCCCCGTCTCTGCTTCCTGCTCACCGGGGCCCAGAAACACATTTCCCTGCAATGTACCCTGATGCAGATTCGATGTCCTTTCATCTGGGGGGGGGTCTGACTTGACTTCAGACTGAGGACCATGATCTCAGATGCTCCGGGCAGGGTTCTTAGGTGATTACATGAAATCATGGACAGAGGACCTGGCACATTGGTGCACGTCGTGTTTTGGGATCCCCAGAAGCAGGCCCCGAGACAAGGATTAATATGTAAAAGTTTATCTGGGGTGCTGGGGGCAGTAGCAGGGGAGGGGAACAGGGAGACAGGGAAGAGGAAGCAGTTCTTGGGTGGGTTACCACTGGGGTACCAGTGGGGTGGAGCTGTGTTACGGTCTTAGGTGTCCTGGGCCACATTGCAAAATGTATTTCTGGCCAGGCACAATGGCTCATGCCTGTAATCCCAGCACTTTAGGAGGCCGAGGCAGGTGGATCATTTGAGGTCAGGAGTTCGAGACCAGCCTGGCCAACATGGTGAAACCCTGTTTCTACTAAAAATACAAAAATTAGCTGGGCGTGGTGGTGCATGCCTGTAATCCAAGCTACTAGGGAGGCTGAGGCAGGAGAATCGCTTGAGCCCAGGAAGCAGAGGTTGCAGTGAGCCGAGATCACGCCACTGCACTCCAGCCTGGGTGACAGAGCGAGAGTCCGTCTCAAAAAAAAAAAAAAAGAAAAGTATTTCTTGCTGTCATTTGTGGTCAAAACAGTGTGACAGCCACTACCCTTGGTCATCCCATAGCCTGATGGGGTCTACTCTCACACTGACCCCCACTGTCTTAAAAGCTGGGCGCTTACAGTTTACAAGACACCATCCCTTTGAGCTTCACAAAAGGATGGACCCATCTCACAGATGAGGTGGACCCATTTCACAGATGAGAAGGTTGAGACTGACTGAGCCTTGGTGGCCTGTCTGGGGTCCCCCACCCTGGGAAGGAGGGTGCCAAGCCAGTCCTTGGCAGAGTTGCCCAACAGGCTGTCCTCTCTCTCCCTGGGTCCCCGAAGCTGAGCTCAACACCATAGCCCCCATCATTTCCAACTTCTTCCTCTGCTCCTATGCCCTCATCAACTTCAGCTGCTTCCACGCCTCCATCACCAACTCGCCTGGTAAGCAAACCCTTCACCCACCTCAGGAGGAGGCACCCAGGGGGCAGGAGGAACTGGGGCATGGGGTGGGAGTGGGAGGCATGGGTGGAGGTTGGCAGCCCAAGGTCACCTCTCAATTTAAAACCATTGAAAGGGAACATTAATATAATAATAGCAGCTCTCGGCTGGGCTCGGTGGCTCATGCCTGTAATCCTAGCATTTTTGGGAGGCGGAGGTGGGCGGATCACTTGAGGTCAGGAGTTTGTGACCAGCCTGGCCAACATGGTGAAACCCTGTCTCTACAAAAACACAAAAATTAGCCAGATGTGGTAGCGGTCACCTGTAATCCAAGCTATTCGGGAGGCTGAGGCAGGAGAATCACTTGAACTGGGAAAGGGGAGGTTACAGTGAGCAGAGATCGCGCCATTGCACTCCAGCCTGGGTGACAGAGCAAGACTCTGTCTCAAATAATAGTAATAATAATAATGATAATAATAATAGCGGCTCTCCTTTCTCGCGCACTGACAGTGTGCACTTTACATGGATTCATACATTGCTTACCATCTGTAGGGGTTTTCCAGTCTTTTCCTTCCCCAGTTTTACAGGAATCAGGAGCCTGGTTCTTCAGAGAAAGAGAATTGCCCAAAGTCACAGCTAGGGCTGTCACAGACAGTGCTGCAGGTTGCACACTGCATAACTCTAGGAGGCACCATTCATATCATAGATTTCATATATTTGCATGTTTATGATGGAAAACTTCTGGCAGATGGCAATAAAGAGGCTTGAGGAAGACTTTTTCTTTCTTTTTTTTTTTTTTTTTTTGAGACGGAGTCTGGCTCTGTTGTCCAGGCTGGAGAGCAGTTGCACGATCTCGGCTCACTGCAAGCTCCACCTCCCGGGTTCATGCCATTCTCCCACCTCAGCCTCCCCAGTAGCTGGGATTACAGGCGCCCACCACCACGCCCAGCTAATTTTTTGTATTTTTAGTAGAGACGGGGTTTCAGCATGTTAGCCAGGATGGTCTCGATCTCCTGACCTCATGATCCGCCCGCCTCAGCCTCCCAAAGTGCTGGGATTACAGTTGTGCCTGGCTGAGGAAGACTTTTTCTAACCAGCTCCAAATTGCCATTGTCTTTTACTAGGCCACCTTTTACATAGATCCCAATGTGTATGATGGCCCTGGAGTTGCACCATGAGGCAGCTGTCACTAGTGGCAGCCCTGGCCTGACCTGCTGGTGGGGAGCCAGGCAGAATCATGTCCTTCCCCCTCCATCTCACCCCCTTGGCACCATGGGAGCTGGTGCTGTTGCTGACATGGGATGTCCTGTGGCTGTATTTGGCCAGAGCTGGATGCTCCTGGTGAAATGCCAGCCAAAGCAGGCGTGTGATTTGCCCCAGAGCCTGTAGACCCAGCCCAGGAGGCAGGGTGGGTGGTGCTCATGGCTGGTGGGTACAGGCTGGGACCCCGGCTCTGGGCACTGCTGGCATTACTGCCAGGCCCTGCCCAGCAGCTCTGGCCTAGAAAGAGGCTCGACTGCCAGGCATGCCCACTGACTGGTGCCCTTGGCCCAGGGTGGAGACCTTCATTCCAATACTACAACAAGTGGGCGGCGCTGTTTGGGGCTATCATCTCCGTGGTCATCATGTTCCTCCTCACCTGGTGGGCGGCCCTCATCGCCATTGGCGTGGTGCTCTTCCTCCTGCTCTATGTCATCTACAAGAAGCCAGGTGCGCATCTCAGCTGCGGGGCCTCGGCCCTCCTCCCCCAGGGTAGCCATGCAGGCGGCCCTGCCCTCCGCCCCAGTTGGAGGGCCCTGAGTCCGGCTCTGTGCTGTCCAGGGCCCCTCTCTGCCCCTCCCCTTTATCCCTCCCAATGTGGCAAGAAACCCCAGGGGATGTCCCCACTCAGGGCCTATGTCTCGACCTCTAAGCCACCCCTGGGCACCCAGGACCCTGGAATCCCCTGTCCGAAGGACCCTGAGTGAGCTTCCAGGGCCTGCTTCAGCCTCTTCCCTAGGGCTGTCCCCCAAGAGGGGCCAGCAGGCTGCTGTGCACACCTAGGCCTCAGAGGTGGCTGAGGGCTGGTTGTGTGGATGGCAGGCAGACAAAGCTTGGACTCCGGGCAAGGTCTCTACTTGGCTGCAGGCAGGGACCCTGGGGTGGCAGCGACCTGAGGGCAGGAAACAGGACTCTAAGAAAGCCTGGGATTCTAAGTGTCAACCTGGGCTTCTAGGCCATTGCAAAGGTTTGGCAAGGCAGGAGGATATCGTGTGGAGCTTGAGGTGTAACTTTTTTGTGGGGGGACTGGGGTGCAGTGTCTCATTCTGTCACCCAGGCTGGAGTGCAGCAGCACAACCTCGGCTCACTGCAACCTCCACCTCCCGGGTTCAAGCAATTCTCCTGCCTCAGCCTCCCGAGTAGCTGGGATTACAGGTGCATGCTACCATACCTGGCTAACTTTTGTATTTTTAGTAGAGACAGGGTTTCACCATGTCGGCCAGGCTGGTCTTGAACTCCTGACCTCAGGTGATTCGCCTGCCTCGGCCTCCCAAAGTGCTAGGATTACAGGTGTGAGCCACCGTGCCTGGCCTTGATGTGTAACTTTTCAACGTGCAGCCACACAGTCCGCAGGCCTCCACCTTGCAGGCTGCCCATCCCAGGTGGCCCTGCTCCCACGGGTGCCCGGTGCCTAGAGAAGGCCGACATTACCTCTGTCCCTCCACGTGTCTGGTTTCCTCTAGTGATTCCTAACTCTGCTCTCACCCCCGTTGCTCCCTTGCTCTCCCAGAGGTAAATTGGGGCTCCTCGGTACAGGCTGGCTCCTACAACCTGGCCCTCAGCTACTCGGTGGGCCTCAATGAGGTGGAAGACCACATCAAGAACTACCGGTGAGCAGAGCTGCTGGGACCCACCTGGGACCCCAGGGCCAGTGATGGCTCCACCCTGGGAGTTTCCAAGCCTAGACCTGTCACCTGACCCAGGCAGACCCAGGGTATGTGCAGCCTCCACTCAGAGAGGGAACAGACATGGAGGAGCCACCCAGCCACCACAAGACAGGGGTGGACATATCCTGATGGGGACCAAGCAAGTCAAGGGGCCTCTCCATGCCTTGGTTTCCACAGTGGAAACGTGCTTTGGTGTTGAGGTGATTGTTGCTGCAGCTCCCATCACAGTATCGCCGGAGCCAATGGTGACGAACCTCCCCTGGGTACCCTTCAAAGCTCATTCCCCTCTTTGTAGAGGAGGTTTATGCACCTGCCATCCTCTTCCCACCAGATCCTAATAATTATTGGCAATATCTATTTATGTCATGCTTACTATGAGCCAGGTGCTTGCAAAGTGCCTTACACAGCCTTACAAGAACCGGCTGAGGTCCAGGAAATTACTAACCCAGTCCCAAGAACACTGAGGCACAGAGAGGTTAAGTAACTGGCCCCAGGTCACACAGCTGGCAAGTGGCCGATTAAGTCTGGCTCCAGTTGACTCAGGTCATGGCCCTTGACCACTGCCCTCTGCTACCTCTCGACGCAGAGGCTGAGTCACCTTCCCGGGTAACTGATGAGTTTGTAAGTGACAGGTTTCCTCACTCCCAGGCTTTGTTCTTTCCCCCACCATGCTGGGCTAGGCAGGGCAGGGGACATGCATGGGGGGTAGCATTTTGTGGCCTGAGCAGGAAGGACCAGGGAGACTAGTGTGGAGGTCACCAAAAGAGCAGGAAGAGCCCCAAAAGTCACCCTGGATTTATAGGTGGGAAGCCGAGGCCCCAAGCATGTAGGGTCATGCTGGTGGCCACACCACCATTCAGGGAGCCTGGGAGGTGCCTTTCGCACCCAGACCCCCGTGGGCTCTCTCCTGATGGCTCCTGCCCTTTTCCCTTCCCTCCTCAGCCCCCAGTGCCTGGTGCTCACGGGGCCCCCCAACTTCCGCCCGGCCCTGGTGGACTTTGTGGGCACCTTCACCCGGAACCTCAGCCTGATGATCTGTGGCCACGTGCTCATCGTGAGTGGCCCCTGGAGGGGCACAGGGGACCAGGCATGGTGGCTCATGCCTGTAAACCCAGCACTCTGGGGAGCCAAGACAGGTGGATCACCCGAGGTCAGGAGTTTGAGACCAGCCTGGCCAACACAGCTCCTGGGGGAGTCGCCTGGGTGTGATGTCCACCCACAGAGTGGGGGCCGAGGGGATGCGGAGCAAGGGGCACCCAGCCAGGCACCCCCCATGGACCCCATTCTCTCCCCTTCCTGGCCCCTCTTGCTGGCTTCTCCCCCAGCTGCCCTGCCTCTTTTCTGCCCCCTCCCTCTCCCTTCCTCCCCACTTTCTCCCCCACTCCTTGTGTTTTCCCTTATCTGGGCAAAAGAAAAGGGCACCGTGGGTGCTGCCAAGCCCCTGGGGCAGCCTCCAGGGCAGGAGAGGGGTTGAATCTCAGGCTGGAGGGTGAAGGCAGCTGGTGATGTCCCCTGCCCCTCCCACCCACAGGGACCCCACAAGCAGAGGATGCCTGAGCTCCAGCTCATCGCCAACGGGCACACCAAGTGGCTGAACAAGAGGAAGATCAAGGCCTTCTACTCGGATGTCATTGCCGAGGACCTCCGCAGAGGCGTCCAGATCCTCATGCAGGTGCCATGGACTGGGGGCTCCCCTACAGGACTTACGGCTTGGTGGCACAACCTGGAAGGCAGAAAGTCTTGGCGGCCCCTTTGCTTAAGCCCCTTTTGCTGCAGAAGGAGCCCCAACTTTTTTTTTTTGAGACTTGTTTTACTTGTCACCCAGGCTGGAGTGCAATGGTGTGATGTCAGCTCACTGCAATAACCTCCGCCTCCCGGGTTCAAGTGATTCTCCTGCCTCAGCCTCCTGAGTAACTGGGATTACAGGCACCCACCACCACACCCGGCTAGTTTTTTTGTGTTTTTAGTAGAGACGGGGTTTCACCATGTTGGCCAGGCTGGTCTCTAACTCCTGACCTCAGGTGATCCACCTATCTCAGCCCCCCAGAGTGCTCGGTTTACAGGCATGAGCCACCATGCCTGGCCAGAGCCCCAACTTTCTTATGTCTCCAGATGTGCTGGTTCTGGGCACTTTCTCGGAATGCCCAGGACCTGGGAAACTGACTTGGAAGCCTGTGGGGGCTTGTGTCACCTTGGCCAATTCTAACTCTTGGGGGCACTGGGAGGGATGTAGGGTGTTGGTGACCAAGCGAGAACTAGAATCGAGGATTCTGGAATTCAGATATTTCCTCCCATCAGTCATCTTTCTCCCAATAAAGTTTTGTTTTGTGCAAAACAAAAATTTTTAAGATTATATATATATATATATATATATATATTTTTTTTTTTTTTTTTTTTGAGAATCAGCACATCTGGAGACATCAGAAAGTTGGGGCTCTGGCCAGGTGGATCACCAACTCTGCCCCTCTGATGGGTTCCCCATCTCACCCCTATCCCCTGGCAGGCCGCAGGTCTCGGGAGAATGAAGCCCAACATTCTGGTGGTTGGGTTCAAGAAGAACTGGCAGTCGGCTCACCCGGCCACAGTGGAAGACTACATTGGCATCCTCCAGTGAGTCGGGGGAGAGGAAGGGGCTTGGGGTCTGTTAATTTGGGCCCATTGGGCCTTGAGAAGTGGAAAAGAAGTAGTGGGTGCTTAAAAAGTTGAGTCCTGCTGGGCAAAGTGGCTGGCATCTGTAGTCCCAGCTACTTGGGAGGCTGAGGCAGGAAGCTCACTTGAGCCCAGGAGTTGAAGGCTGCAGTGAGCAAAGATTGCACTGCTGCACTCCAGCCTAGGCGAAAGAGCAAGACCCCATCTTTGAAAAAGAAGTTGAGTCCATTTTCTCAAAGCTAAAGAAGAAACACGCTGAGGCTGAAGATGCCCGTCTCTGACCTGTGAGTCATGGACACCAAAGCCAGCTGGGGCCAGGCAGGTAGCACCATGAGTGAAGTGGGCCAGGCCAGGGGTGATAGGGAGCAGTGGAGACTGTGGCAACCCAGAGAGAGTGGCTCCTACTTGGCTCGTGTCCATGCAGAATGGGCTCTAGTGCCCGTGCAGAAATGTGGGCCCAATGTTGCCAGATCTTTTAATTTTTTTTTTTTTTTTTTTTTTTTTTTGAGACGGAGTCTCACACTGTTGCCCAGGCTGGAGTGCAGTGGCGCTATCTCGGCTCACTGCAAGCTCCGCCTCCCGGGTTCACGCCATTCTCCTGCCTCAGCCTCTTGAGTAGCTGGGACTACAGGCGCCCGCCACCACGCCCGGCTAATTTTTTGTATTTTTAGTAGAGACGGGGTTTCACCGTGTTAGCCAGGATGGTCTCGATCTCCTGACCTCGTGATCCGCCCACCTCGGCCTCCCAAAGTGCTGGGATTACAGGCGTCAGCCACCGTGCCCGGCCACCAGATCTTTTAATTTTTCAGAGTAACTGCAAATGTGAGTTTTTAGGTGAGAACCTCATGCCTCCCTGTGGGCTCCAGAAGGTGCACAGGGAACCAGCTCAAGAGCTCTGAGGCGGTGCCCCTGAACAGGGAAGTGAAACCAGGACCTGAGGACGGAACTCCCTGGGGACTTCAGGGCTGACTCCAAACTCTTCATCAGTGCTTGCTGTGTGATGTCCAGAGATGCCTCCCTCAGTGGCTTTTCTGTGTTGATGTTGTTGTGTGAGGTATCACTGAACAACATGAGGCTGAGGGTTGGGGCCCTGAGACCTGCTTCCAGGTATGCTGTTAACCAGCTGTAGGACTCGGAGCAATCCTCTCAGCAGGTGCTAACAGAATTACAGCAGCAACTGATAGAATACCTGATCTCCAGCCTCCCTCCAGCTCCAACATTCCAAACCTTCAAAAAGCAGGGCCTGAAAGTTCCTTGTCCTGGAGATATGTGATCTAAGGAGCCCAGGGAGGGCAGTGCGCAGCCCATTGGCCCAAACCCCAGTGGTGGGCGGGCTCTTGGGCACTGTGTCAATCAGGCAGTACATACACCTTTGGAACAAGAGTCTTCCAGACATCTTTAATTATTTTATTTTATTTATTTTTGAGACAGAGTCTTGTTCTGTCGCCCCGGCTGGAGTGCAATGGTGCGATCTTGGCTCACCACAACCTCTGCCTCCCAGGTTCAAGCAATTCTCCCTCAGTCTCCCAAGTAGCTGTGATTACAGGTGCCCACCACCACGCCCGGCTAATTTTTGTACGTTTTAGTAGAAATGGGGTTTTGCCATGTTGGCCAGGCTGGTCTCGAACTCCTGACCTCAGGTGATCCGCCTGCCTTGACCTCCCAAAGTGCTGGGATTACAGGCGTAAACCACTGCGCCCGGCCTCCAGACATCTTTATAGACAGCCTATTGCAGGAGTAAAGCTCCTCTCATGAGCATGTCTGTCCTTTGGTCCACAGTCTCAGCCATGTGATTCTAATCCCAGCTGCTCACTCCCTTAGCTGTGTGACCATGGGCAAGTTACTCTCCAAAACTCAGTTTTTGCATCCATAGAATGGAGGGAATAATTACCATCCCCACCTCCATGGGCAGAGTTGAGTTGTGGGGGATTATCCAAATGTATCAGGAGGACAGGGCTGACTTGGTTCCCCTGAGTACCGGATCTGCAGGATCCACAGTGCCACAGACTGTAGAGCTGGAGGAGTCCTGGGGTACTCTCCAATTCTGCCTGTACAGGATACAGATGGGGAAACTGAGGCCCAGAGAACAGAAAGGGCGTGGTAGGAAGCAGAGCCAACTCTAGATATCTGGTCTCCTGGGTGCCAGGTCACCTCCCCAGTGGGAGCTGGGGGAGAAGCTGGACCTCACCTCCTCTCTTTCCAGTGATGCCTTTGATTTCAACTATGGCGTGTGTGTCATGAGGATGCGGGAGGGACTCAACGTGTCCAAGATGATGCAGGCGCACAGTGAGTACATGCCCCACCCACTCCCAGAAAGTTCTAGAACACATTTTTTGTTTTTAAATGGCAGAGGGAAAAATGAGTAAGAAATAAAAGGTTACAGACTCATAGAAAGTCGCCTCTTAATGGTCCCTTAGAGCCCATCAGTTTTCCCAGAAAGAGAAAGCAACGCATTCAAGGTCATGCTTCCCAGGTGGGGCAGAGCCAGGACTGGAACTCAGGGTTCCCCAAATCACAATTGGGTCGGGGCAAAAGGATCTAATATAGGCCGGACATGGTGGCTCACGCCTGTAATCCCAGCGCTTTGGGAGGCCAAGGCAGGTGGATCACCTGAGGTCAGGAGTTCAAGACCAGCCTGGCCAACATGGTGAAACCCTGTTGCTACTAAAAATACAAAAATTAGCTGGGTGTAAGGGTGGTGCACACCTATAATCCCAGCTACTTGGGAGGCTGAGGCAGGAGAATCACTTGAACCCAGGAGGTGGATGTTGCAGTGAGCCAAGATCGCGCCATTGCACTCCATCCTGGGTGACAAGAGCAAGACTCCATCTCAAAAAAAAAAAAAAAGATGTAATAGAAAACCAGGAAAGAGGGGAGAGGAAAATGCCTGCAGGAAGATGCCAGAATATGAAAATACATAATGACCATGGGAACCGGGCATTTTGGTCCACTGAGTAGGGATGTGTTTTGCATTTTAAAGTCATATATGACTGCAGACTCTGAATTAGAAATATTTAGAGAGGCTGGGTGTGGTGGCTCGTTTCTGTAATCCCAGCACTTTGGGAGGCTGAGGCAGGTGGATCGCTTGAGTCTAGGAGTTCAACACCAGCCTGGGTAACATAGCAAGACCCCATCTCTACTAAAACAAAAAATTAACCAGGTGTGGTGGCACGTGTCTGGAGTCTCAGCTACTTGGGAAGCTGAGATGGGAGGATCGCTTGAGGCCAGGAGTTTGAGGCTGCAGTGAGCCGTGATTGCACCACTGCACTCCAGCCTGGCTGACAGAGCAAGACCCTGTCTCAAAAAAAAAAAAAAAAAAAAAAGGAAATATCTAGAGGTGTGAAAGCAATAACGTGTATGGCAACAAATGAGAGGCAGTGCTGGAGAGACTGGGAGCTTGGAGTCCGCGTCTCTTGCAGCCAGGAGCTGGGTCCGTTCATTTGTGCCATTGCTGAGGGCATGTCTGGCACACGGATGCCACCAATATTTACAGAGCAGTAACTCCACTCCTGACCAACGCTGCTCTTGGTGCTGGGGTTACAGGCACACCAAAAGCCAAAAAGCCTCTGCTCTTGAGAAGCTGACGCTCCAGAGGGAAAAGCAGACACTTGCCAGTGGACCCATAAGTTATTTCAGATTGTGAGAGTGTCTGGAGAAAACGGGTGCAGGGCGTAGTGGCCAGGGAAGGCCTCCCTCAGGAGGGGGCCTTTTGCTGAGGAGGCCAGGGCTAGGGGAAGTATGTTCCAGCTCAGGGCGCACCCACCGCCACGGCCCAAGGTGGGGATGAACGTGGCCTGTTTGAGGGGCAAGAGGAGGCCATGCGCGACTGGAATGTGAGGAGCCGGGCAGGAGGCAGGTCAGAGGGAGGCCAAGGCCAGGTGCAGTGGGGCTGTGGAGGCCAGGTGGGGCATCGGGACTTTCTTCCTAGCATTAAGGGAGCCCTGTCAAGGAGGAACCCACGGTGCCCTCAGACAAGGAGAGCCTGTGAACAAAGCTGCCTCTTCTTTTGCAGTTAACCCCGTGTTTGACCCAGCGGAGGACGGGAAGGAAGCCAGCGCCAGAGGTGCCAGGCCATCAGTCTCTGGCGCTTGTCAGTGTTCCCACTCAGAGCTCAGGGCACTCTAGCCCTGTGGGGTGGCTAGGGGTGGGCCACTTGGGAACTTGGTCGAGGACAGGTGGTTTTTTCTTGTGACGGTGGTGCCTGAGTAACTGGAGTTGGGAACTGGAGGGGCTTGGCCGTGTCAAAGATTGCCAGCAGCCAGGCGCAGTGGCTCATGCCTGTAATCCCAGCACTGTGGGAGGCTGAGGCAGGAGTTCCAGGCTGCAGTGAGCTGTGACCGCACCACTACATTGCCAGCCTGGGTGACAGAGTGAGACCCTGTCTCAAAAAAAGAAAAAATATTGCCAGGAGGTGGAGAATTCAGGGTCACGGCATCATGGGGACCCACCTAGCAGGCTCTGGGGCCCTTGTCCCACCCCTGCCAAGGCCCCTCTAGCCATGCAGGGTGGGGTGGGATTTTCCTTCGTCCTCTCCCACCATCACTCCGGGAGACAGGGGGCCTGAAGTGCAGGCGGGAGGGCTGCTGTGGGCATTTGTGAAGGGTGCAGGAGGTGTTTAAGGGAATGGAGAGTGCACTTCCCTACCTACCCAGAGGGCTCTGGGACTGCCCCCACCCCCAGTACTCACCAGAATCCCGGGAGAGAGAAGCTGAAAGCAGGGCAGGGGCACATCACAGCACTGAGCGTCCTGGGCCCCGGTTCCTGTTCCACCTGCCAGAGAACCCGTGTTCAACATCAGAAGGGGCGTTGGCGGGGCCCTGGGCCAGGCCTGCCTGGATGCGCGGCTGCTGGCTCTGCTCTGACCCGCCCCCACCTCCTGCAGTGGACCCCAAGGCCCTGGTGAAGGAGGAGCAGGCCACCACCATCTTCCAGTCGGAGCAGGGCAAGAAGACCATAGACATCTACTGGCTCTTTGACGATGGAGGTCAGTGACCCCCTTGGATCAGCCCTCCTGCCCGGCGGGGGCGGGGTGGTGGTGGTCTTCCTTCCTTCTCCTTCCTGGCCTGCTCTCAAAGGGGACAGGGGCTCCTGGGCCCAGCAGTGAGCTCAGGGGAGCCCAGAGGGACCCCTCTGTCTGGCCTCTAGTTTTTTGGTTATAAAATGGGAAGCTTTGAGAGAAGAGCTGAAGTCGCCATGAGATGGAAACTTCTGACTGGATGGCCCTTAGGGGCACAGGCAGGTGATATAAATGGGGAGATGGGCGGTGCCCAGGAAAGCTGGAGGAATATTTTTCACTTCACAATGAAATATAACCTCTCCCATTAAAAAACAAAAAAAGTGACTTTAAGCTTTATTGCTCCTACCTTTGATAGAGTCACAGATAGAAAGAAAATGTCTTCGCTCCAATGGAACGAGTCCTATTAATAACTGCCAAAATAGGCTGAGCACTTACTACCTGGCTGACAGGGAATTCCCTACCTAATCCAGTCCCCAGGTAGGAGCTGTCATGATTAACTCCGCTTTATAAATAAGGAAAATGAGGCACAGAGGATTACAAGGTGATATGTGACAGCTGGCCCTTGGTCTTGTGTGGAGAGACAACAGAGAGGGATGAGGGCTCCCACACGCTGGTCAAATATTCACTCTTCAAGAACTGCCAATGACCTCGATTTTTATGTGAAACTCCTCAATTATTAAATGACTTTTGTTTTTTATTATTCTTTTTGAGACGGAGTCTTACTTTGTCGCCCAGGCTGAAGTGCAGTGGCATGATGTCGGCTCACTGCAACCTCCGCCTCCTGGGTTCAAGCGATTCTCCTGCCTCAGCCTCCTGAGTAGCTGGGACTACAGGCGGCTGCCACCACACCCAGCTAATTTTTGTATTTTTATTTTTATTTTTATTTTATTTATTTATTTATTTATTTATTTATTTATTTATTTATTTATTTATTGAGATGGAGTCTCACTCTGTTGCCCAGGCTGGAGTGCAATGGTGTGATCTCGGCTCACTGCAACCTCTGCCTCCTGAGCTCAAGTGATTCTCCTGCCTCAGCCTCCTGAGTAGCTGGGATTATAGGTGTGCACCATCAGGCCCAGCTAATTTTTTGTGTTATTAGTAGAGATAGGGTTTTACCATGTTGGCCAGGTTGGTCTTGAACTCCTGACCTCAGGTGATCCACCTGCCTCGGCCTCCCATAGTGCTGGGATTATAGGCATGAGCCATGGCGCCCGGCCGCCAGCTTGTTTATTTAAATATGCTGCACAAGCACAAATAAACCCTACCCCACAGAGCACCGTGTGCGACTTGAATTCAGTCAGCCATGTTCATTATACAGATGGGTCGACTGGGGTCCAGCGAGGAGAGGAAGGGGTTTGCTAATGGCAGAGCGGGGCAGGAACTCACATAGTGCTCTGTCCTGAGTGTATTCTTGTCATGACTCACGGGGACTCTCCTTGCCAGGCCTCACCCTCCTCATTCCCTATCTCCTTGGCCGCAAGAGGAGGTGGAGCAAATGCAAGATCCGTGTGTTCGTAGGCGGCCAGATTAACAGGATGGACCAGGAGAGAAAGGCGTAAGTGTGGAGGGCTGGCCTGGGGGTGACTGCAGGGACCAGTGTCATCTTAGCTCCACCCAAGGCTGTCCCCTACCCTAGATCCTCTACCACCACCCCCAGGTGGGCACTGAGATTGTCCCAAAGCCCAGGGCCAGCTCTCTCCAGGCCATGGCAGTGGGCAGGAGCAGGAGCAGGTTTCTCTCCATTCCAGAAGTTGTTCTGGTTTCCTGCCCCCTTCAATAAATGCAGATGCCCTAGGCTTTGCTACGACAGGGAGGGGAGTTAGGTTGTAAAGTCACAAATCTCTGGGTTTGGATAACAAGAAGCATAAAAATAAGAAAGAAAAGGAATCCATTTTTTAAATTTAAAGTTAAGAAAAGACAAGAAAAATAGAAAAAAAAAAAGATAAAAAGAAAAACAAAAAACAAATCTCCTCCAGGAGGAACCTGTATGAAATGAAGGATGGGCTGGGCCAAGGCAGCTGGATCCAGGAGTCCAGGAGTTCGAGACCAACCTGGGTGACATGGCAAAATCCTGTCTCTATGTTTTAAATTTTTATATATTTTAATTTTTTTTTTTTTTTTTGAGATGGATTCTCACTCTGTCACCCAGGCTAGAGTGCAGTGACGCAATCTCGGCTCATTGCAACCTCCGCCCCCTGGGTTCAAGCAATTCTCCTGCCTCAGCCTCCCTAGTAACCAGGATTAGAGGCGTGCGCTACCATGCCCAGATAGTTTTTTTGTATTTTTAGTAGAGATGGGGTTTCGCCATGTTGGCTAGGCTGGTCTCGAACTCCTGACCTCAAGTGATCCACCCACCTCAGCCTCCCAAAGTGCTGGGATTACAGGTGTGAGCCACTGCCCCCAGCCAATATTTTAAATTTTTATATAAATATTTTATATATATTTAAAAATTTATATATAATTTTTTGAAAAAAGGAAATGAAGGCTGGAGAACACGCCTCCTCCTGAGAAATGAAGTAGGGGCTAGAATCCTTTAGGGCATCAGTCCCCAACCTTTTTGGCACCAGGGACTGGTTTCGTGGAAGACAATTTTTCCACAGGCTTGGGGGAGAGTGGTGGTTTTGGGATGGTTCAAGCTCATTACATTTATTGTGCACTTTATTTCTATTATGATTACATGGTAACATATAATTTAAAAATGATACAACTCACCATAATGTAGAATCAGTGGGAGCCCCGAGCTTGTTTTCCTGCAACTAGATGGTTCCATTTGGGAGTGATGGGAGACAGTGACAGATCATCAGGAGGGTTCATGGCCCTCTAAGATCCTGCAAGAGGGTTTGTGGCCCTCTAAGAGTCTAATGCCACTGCTGATCTGACAGGAGGCAGAGGTCAGATGGTAATGAAAGCGATGAGGAGCTGCTGTAAATACAGATAAAGCTGCATTCACTGCCATGCACCCGGTTCCTAACAGGCCATGGTCAGTACCTGTTGGCAGCCCCGGGGGTCAGGGGCCCCTGCTTTAAGGCAGTGTCTCCAATGCATGGGATGCAGACTCTGGGTGAGACAAGAGGTGACTTTAGTGGCCAGGGGTTGAGGCAGCAAATACCACTGAGTCTTTTGGTGAGAAGTGCCTTTTAATTCTCCTCCAATTCTGGGGCTGATTCTGCAGAAAGTCCTGGTTTAGCCTTGGCCCGTCCTTCCCTTTGGTAACCTGTGCTTGTCTCCCGGAGCAAGAGGAGTAGGCTGGATGCATGGGCTTGGCAGGCAATGGCATCTGGCCAGAACTTAGTGACCCTGGTTTATCGACATGGGTTTTATTGGACACCTCTCCCTGGCAAGAGGTGCTGGTTTTCTGTTTAAAATTGTGATGTTGGCTGGGCACAGTGGCTCTGCCTATAGATCTTGGCACTCTGGCAGCAGGCCAAGGCAGGGGATTGCTTGAGGCCAAGGGTTTGAGACCAGGCTGGGCAACATAGTGAGAGCCCATCTCTACCAAAAAACTTAAAAAAAAAATTAACTGTGAATGGTGGCATGTGCCTGTAGTACTGGCCACTTGAGGCTGAGGCAGGAGGATCACTGAGCCCAGATCAAGGCTGCAGTGAGCTATGATTGCACCACTGCACTCTAGCCTGGGTGAAAGAACAGATGCTATCTCTATTTTTTAAATAATAATATTTTATCATGATATAAAATTTCCCTTTGAAATGTATCTAAGTTTGGTCCAGGCGTGGTGGCTTATGCTTGCAATCTCAGCACTTTGGGAGACCAAGGTGGGTGAATCAGCTGAGGTCAGGAGCTCAAAACCAGCCTGACCAATATGGTGAAACCCCACCTCTACTAAAAATACAAAAATTAGCTTGGCATGGTAGCATGTGCCTGCAGTCCCAACTACTCAGGAGGCTGAGACAGGAGGATTATTTACACCTGGGAGGCGAAGGTTGCAGTGAGCCGAGATTGTGCCACTGTACTCCAGCCTGGGCAACTGAGCAAGACTCCATCTCAAAAAAAAAAAAAGTATCTAATTCAGAATGTGAGTTGGTTTAAAGAGAAAAGGAAGTAAATAGTAAGGCAGGTGGCACACAAGTATGGAGTTGACAGATGTCGGCAGGTGGAATTGGGCAGCTGCTGCTTTGAGCAAGTTCAGGTGAGGTGGGAGGTGGTAGGCTGGAGGTTGGCTGGAGGATACAGACAGATGGGGCAGTTTGCCCAAAGTCATCCAATTAATTAGCCAAAGAGAAGAACCCCTGCCCGGTCTCTAGTGCCCTTTGCAACTATCTTGGCTGTGATGCCCCAGGGTCAGAGTAGGAGGGGATCCCCCAGCCTACACCACCCGGTCCTATGCCAGGATGGCCTCCCGTGCTCCATTCTCTATCACCCGCAGTGTGAGTTAAGGGAAACCCAGCAATCCTATCACTTTGTCCTCACCCCCACTAAGAACTTTCTCCTGGGAAAGCCCCTTTTCTGCAATGCTAAGGAAAGTGTTGCTTGGGAAAAGCAGCATCTGCCTTCTCTGTGATCTCCAAAAAGTAAATAAGATACGAGATTGCTCTGCAGTCTCTGCTCCCTGTCCTGGCTCTGAATGGAAGCTGGGTTCAGTAGGTTTGGTATAGCTCAAGGCTATGGAAGCCTGGGCTAACAGCATGTCCTTGGTGGGAAGGTTAGGTAACCCTTCCTCTGCCTCCCTCTGTCCCTTGGTGGGCCGCATCCTCTGCTCTCTACATAATCCTGGGGCAAGTCTATGCTGCCCTTGCCTAGGCACTGCCCAGGCCTGCCAGCCTCCGCTGCTACTGCACACCAAGACAAATCTGCCCACGGCTCTGCTTTCAAAATTTCACTCCCCAAGATCAGGGACCAGCAACGGCTTGCCTGCTGGGTCCCAGCCTGGTCCTCCAGACTTGTTTCCCATTTCTTCCTCTCTCCCAGCACACTCCATGCATCCCAGCCAGCTCCTCACTGCCCTGTTCCACCCCCCTGCACCCCGATGCCTTCCCTCCTTTTGACTGTTCCCCACCAACCAGTCCAGTGGTCCCTAACCAGGCTGGCACATCAGAATCACCTGGGGCATTACCAAAACCATGTCCTTCCCAGGGGTTCTGACTCAATGATGGGCAAGGGGTTGGGGGGAGGGCCCAGGCAGGTGTATTTTTTTGTTAGTTTGATTTGGTTTTGTTTTGTTTTGTTTTGTTTTGTTTTTTTGAGATGGAGTCTTGCTCTGTCACCCAGTCTGGAGTGCAGTCGGCTCACTGCAAGCTCCACCTCCCAGGTTCACACCATTCTCCTGCCTCAGCCTCCCGAGTAGCTGGGACTACAGGCACCTGCTACCACGGCCGGCTAATTTTTTGTATTTTTAGTGGAGACGGGGTTTCACTGTGTTAATCAGGATGGTCTTGATCTCCTGACCTCGTGATCCACCTGCCTCGGCCTCTCAAAGTGCTGGGATTACAGGCATGAGCCACTGCGCCCGGCCAGGTGTATTGTTTTGAAGGCTTCTTGGGTAATGTTAGTGTAGACCCTCCCCTGCCCCACCCGCTTTGGCCTGTAACAATCTTACCCCTCTTTCACCGTCCAGCCAGACCGCCACCTCTGTGAAGTCTTCCCTGACTGCTACAAACCACAGTAGGCTTCTCCTTCCCTGTTAGATGCAAAGTCAGTGCCATCTGTCTTGCTACTCCTGGGTCTGTACCTAGTTTCTTGTGGGTTATCTTCGCTTCCTCAGCCGCTCTAGAATTTCCTTTATTCAACTTTCCTATTCCTTAGACCTTTGTTACTCAAAGTGTTGTCTGTGGACTAGCAGCATTGCATCCCCTGGGAGTGTGTTAGAAATGCAGAATCCCAGGCCTCACCCCAGACCAGCCGAATCAGAATCAGCGTGGTAACAAGATCCTCAGCAGATGCGTAGACATGTGAAAATTTGGGGTGCGCTAGTACAGAGATGGCCACCAGATACTTGGGAAAGTCTGGTCAATTACTTTTCCGTTTCACTTGTCATCATCTAACCCATTTTGTGGGTATTCGTTTCCTGTCTGCCGCTACCCCCATGTTCTACAAGCGCAGGCTTTGATCTATTTTCCTCACTGCTATGTAGTCAGTAGGTGCTCAGTGAAAATTAGTTGAATGAATAAATACATTTTTAAAACTCTCAGGCTGGGCATGGTGGCTCCAGCCTATAATGCCAGCACTTTGGGAGGCCGAGGCAGGATCACCCGAGGCCAACATGACGAAACCCTGTCTCTACTAAAAATACAAAAATTAGCCATGCGTGGTGGCACACATCTGTAATCCCAACTACTCGGGAGGCTGGGGCATGAGAATTGCTTGAACCTGGGAGGCAGAGGTTGCAGTGAATCGAGATTGCACCACTGCACTCCAGCCTGGGAGACAGAGCAAGACGCTGTCTCAAGAAAAAGTAATAACAATAAACCCTCCATGTGTCCTCCAGGATCATTTCTCTGCTGAGCAAGTTCCGACTGGGATTCCATGAAGTCCACATCCTCCCTGACATCAACCAGAACCCTCGGGCTGAGCAGTAAGTTCTGTTTTGGGGCTTCCAGGCAGAAGGGCCAACTGTGTGCCTGGAGACCCCTCTGCCGGCTGCCCCCTTTTTCCTTGGTAGACTAGGAGCAAGGGTCTCTCCTCCAAGCCCTTCCTAGATGTGTCAGAGGGCACAACTTCTGCAGTGGCTGTGGCCGGGGCCTGTCCCCTCCCTGGGGCTGAGGGGACCACAGGGCAAGGCGGCTGCAGCCCCTGACATTGTGTTAACACATTGGTGCTGGGAGAGGGGAAAAGGTGAGTGACCTGGGCAACAACTTCCTTCCTCCTTCCACGCAAGGGCAAGAGCACAGATTTTAAGCAAACCCCTGTGTGAATTTGTAGCAGTGACCAATGGCAGGTTCAGCAGGGACTGTTTGCTTTCCAAATGGTATAACTCCGTCTTCTTCAAATAAGACATTTACAAACAGGATTTGTATTTTGTCAATCAGTGTGCGTGAGGTTTTCCAGGACTGTCTCCTCACTAAGGTATGTTTCCTCCTGACCTCCTAGCCCTAACTTTTCTCTTACGTCTCCCAGCCGTAAGGATGTCCCCCATCTGGACAGGGAAGGAAATCAAGACAAGCAGAAAGGAGCTGTGTAATAGTGATGCATACATTGGCTCCAACCATTTGTTAGGAGCTGTGCTTGGTGCTGCAGAGGCAGAGATGAGGAATCTGCAGCCCCATCCTCCAAGCATGGCTGCAGGCTGGTGAAAGCCAAGGGCAGTTGCAATGCTGCAGAGACAGATCAGGGTGCCAAGGAGAGTAGGATTGTCTCTGTTGGTGGAAAAGCAAAGCCTTGCGAAAGGCTGGCCTTGATGATCAAAAAGAGATCAGGGAGATCTTCCAGGAAGAAGAGACAGCAGGAGCAACATACAGACCCCATCTAGCATCTGATTTTTATTTATTTATTTATTTATTTATTTATGAGATAGAGTCTTGCTCTGTCACCCAGGCTGGAGTGCAGTGGCGCAATCCCAGCTCACTGCAACCTCTGCCTCCCAGGTTCAAGCAATTCTTCTGCCTCAGCCTCCCAAGTAGCTGGGATTACAGGAGCACACCACTGTGCCCGGCTAAATTTGGTATTTTTAGTAGAGATGGGGTTTCACCATGTTGGCCAGGCTGGTCTCAAACTCCTGACCTCAGGTGACCCACCCGCCTTGGCCTCCCAAAGTGCTGAGATTACAGGCGTGAGCCACTGCGCCCAGCCTAGCATCTTATTTTAAAAATCCCCTCCATTGACCTTTCATCTGCCTCCAGCAACTGGACCATTTCTCTCCTCCTTGGCACAGCCAGACTTCAAGATGTTTGCACTCTTTGTCGACCCCTCCTCCCTTCCCCTAATCCTCCCGCTCCCAACCCACTGCCCCCGCTGTCTGAGACCACTCTTGCCAGCATCATCAGTGACCTCCACGTTGCCACACCCACAGAGTCCTCTCTCTCTCTACCTTTCAGCTGCACTTGACAGTGATCCTTCTTGAGACCGTTCCTTCTTTTGGCTTCCAAGACACCCCTTCCACTGGTTTCCTCCTGCATCAGGGGCCCTTCCTCCAGTTCGTCTGCTGGTTCTTCATCCTTGACCTCACTCGCCCTTGCTGGCATCCTTGGGGTTTGGCCCTGACCCTTTTCCCTTCTCTCCATTTACTCTGTCCCAGGTGAGCTCATCCATCCTTGTGGCTTCAGATAGCATCATCTGAATGCCAATCAGCCCTACATCTCTCTCTCTCTTTTTTTTTTTTGAGACAGTCTCACTCCATCACCCAGGTTGGAGTACAGTGGTACCATCTCAGCTCACTGCAACTTCCACATCCCAGGTTCAAGTGATTCTCCTGCCTCAGTCCTCTGAGTAGCTGGGATTACAGGTGTGTGCCACCACACCCAGCTAATTTTTGTATTTTTAGTAGAGACAGCATTTCGTCAGGTTGGCCAGGCTGGTCTCGAACTTCTGACCTCAGGTGATCCGCCCGCCTCGGCCTCCCAAAGTGCTGGGATTACAGGCGTGAGCCACTGTGCCCGGCCCCAGCCCTAAATCTCTGTCTTTAATGATGTGAGTCACATCGCACAGAAGACCCCCAGCAGCTTCTGGTCTCACTTGGGGCAGATAAGGAAGCCCTGCCCGACTGGGCCCTCTCTGCCTGCCTGTCCTCACCTCCTCCCACCCTTCCCTGCACTCACCTTGCTCCAGCACACAGGATCCTTCACTGCTCCTCATATGAGCCAAACACGCTCTGCCTCAGGGCTTCTGCACGTTCAGTTCTGTTCGCTTCTGCACCCCCTGTCCCGTGCATGGCTGGTTTTGCAAGGACAGACTTCCTTCAGGTCCCAGAAGGGCCTTCCCCACCCATTATTCTCTGTCCCAGTACTTGGTTGTCCCTTCATAAGCTTCCACTTCATATTTATTTGCTACTTGCTTATCACCGTGGCTCTGTGAGGACTGGGGACACAATCTGATTTGTTCACTGTTGTGTAGCACAGAGCCTGGTACAGAATCATGCTCTGTAAATACCTGCTGGATGGTCGGGTGGGTCACAGGTCAGTGGTTGTGGGCAACTTGTGAAAGTTCAGTTGGATGCCAGACCCAGCCAGCAGAGCTGAATTCAACATGGAAGCCACTTTGTAAATGGCAGTGTCCGATGGGTTTCAGCCTGAAAATGGGAGCTGTGGCAACACTGCCAGCTCCCCGCAGGGACCTGGCACCCCTAGAAATGGGGTTATCGTCTCAGCCGGCCTCAACCCACTTTCTCGTCCCCAGCACCAAGAGGTTTGAGGACATGATTGCACCCTTCCGTCTGAATGATGGCTTCAAGGATGAGGCCACTGTCAACGAGATGCGGCGGGACTGCCCCTGGAAGATCTCAGATGAGGAGATTACGAAGAACAGAGTCAAGGTGCAGAGAGGGGTGGGGGTGGGAAACGCGACACATCACTGGGTCAGGGACGGGTGTCCTGCATGTCTTGAGCTCCCCCAGCCCCTCCCCTCGATCCTCCACCCTGCCTTCCACTCCGGCCCCTGAGGTATCCTCAAGCCACAGTCGTTCAGGCTGATGGGTAACCCGGCTGTGGAACTCAGTGCTATCCTTGACCTGGGAGCCTGGTCCTCCTGCCCATCTTGAGTGAGCTCTGGCAGTGGGCTTGACTGCCCGGAGTCCTCCTCCTCCTCCTCCTCCTCCACACTTCCTCTATGCCGGGTGGAAGAGATTTCTGAGACTCATGGTGACAGCCAAGGTATAATTAGTCCTGTTAGGCCGGGCATGGTGGCTCACCCCTGTAATCCCAGCACTTTGGGAGGCCGAGGCAGGTGGATCACTTGAGGTCAGGAGTTCAAGACCAGCCTGACCAACATGGTGAGACCCCATCTCTACTAAAAATACAAAAAAAATTAGCTGGGCATGGTGGCAGGCACCTGTAATCCCAGCTACTCGGGAGGCTGAGGCAGGAGAATCGCTTGAACCTGGGAGGCAGAGGTTGCAGTGAGCCAAGATTGTGCCATTGCACTCCAGCCTGGGTGACAGAGTGAGACTCCGTCTCAAAAAAAAAAAAAAAAATTGTCCTGTGGGCCAACACGGCTGCCTGACCTTCCCTGCTTAGCCTCTAGACCCTACCCCTGCCACAGCTCAGAGCTATGGTGCCCCTTCCTGGACAGCACCTTCAGGACTCTAAGGGCTAAGAAAGGGTGTGTGCCTGTAGCCATGCTGTGAGTGCGTCAAGGTGGGGCAGGCTCTAGGAGTGCGAGCGAGAGCGATGGGGGCAAGGGCCGGGTCCTACTTCTACCCCCAGTGTCAGTCATTCTCCACCACGAGGGAGCTTACCCCCTGGGGGACATTTGGCAACCTCTGGAGACATTTTTGTTTGTCACAACTCGGGGGTGGGGCTGCTACTGTCAGGCAGTGAGGAGAGACCTGCGATGCTGCCAAACATCCTACGATGTGCAGGACACTTCCCACAACAAGGACTTGTATGCCCCAAATAACTACAGTGCAAGGTCCAGAATCCCTTACCCACGTTAACTCCCTTCCCCTCGGTCTCTTGGTCTCCAGGATAGGGCATCCGTCCACGATCAGTTCCTGAGTGTCAATCATTTCTGAATAATTTGAGCTAGGCCTTGGGTTGGAAGGAGTCTCCCACCCCCAACCCAGTCCCACGCAAGTTTGGGGACTTCCCTAATCTGTCAGCCCCGAGACCCTGCCCCAAAGGGCCCATGCAGCCATCTGGCTCTTTGGAAAATGCTGAATAAAACATTGTGTCCGAAGAAGACCTTCCAATACTCTGTTACAGAAGAAGTGGGGCAACCTCTCTTTTATAAAGTATTTTTAGTGTACCAGGCCCTCTGCCGGGTGCTTTTGCATAGGTTGTCTCATTTGATCCTCCCCAAATTCCCCTGGAGAAGGTATCATCATACCCATTTTACAGATGAAGATGGTGAAGGTCAGGGAGACAACCTGACTTGCCCAAGTTCTCTCTGCTATGAAATGTGAGAGCTGAGATCTGAACCTAGTAAGGTGTTCTCTCTTCCCTCTACCCTGCTGGTTATGGTCATAAAGTCAGGCAAGGAAAAGCCACAGAATGCTTCTTGGAGGAGGTGAGCTTGGTGCTCCATTACTCTGAGGGTCCCCTTCTTCCTGGAGACAGGAGACTCTATAAGAATTTATGAGGCAGCAGAGTCTACAAGTAAATCATGAATCCAGTTGAAAATGTTAATGAGGCCATAGACGTGGTGAAGGATTGAGTGACCTCGATGATATGGGAAGTGACCACTCGGCTTTCTCCCGCCCAGTCCCTTCGGCAGGTGAGGCTGAATGAGATTGTGCTGGATTACTCCCGAGACGCTGCTCTCATCGTCATGTAAGTAGTGCCCGGCTGGTGGGAGGACCAGTCTGTCCAGAGTCAGGTGTCTCAGCTCTGGGAAGGGGCTCAGCAGGGGCACCACGGAGGGCCCAAGCCTTCCCCTAGGAAGCAGAAGGGCCAAAGTTCCCATAAACATAGCCCTGGCGATTCTTAGCATGTGGCTGGGCCTGAGCCCGCCCCACACCTGAGCTCCAGCTGGCAGGGGTCGAGGGCCTCACGTGTCCCAGGCATCAGTGACCTCCCCTTGCCATTGCTTTTTCCTGTTGGCTGCCTTTTCCTACCAAATTCCACTTGGCAAAGAGGGAACCCAGCTCTTTCAAGAGGGACATCAACTCCTGGTTGTTCAGGAATTACTTGGCCCTCCTTGGCTATCGGCCATTCCCAGCTGATGTTGGTTCCAAGCCTGAGCAACAGAAACAGAGGCCTGTCCTAGCCCTGGCTGTTCCTACTGGACCCACGTCCAGTTCTGAGCCACCCCTGGGTGTATTAGCCAGGGCTGAGCAAGCAGAATGTGGGATGGAAGGTGAGAGCTATGCAGCAAAGGTCTCAGGGTGGCTCTGCTCTCTCTGAGGCCTGTAAGAAGAACATGATTGGCCGGGCACGGTGGCTCATGCCTGTAATCCCAGCACTTTGGGAGGCTGAGGCGGGCAGATCACCTGAGGTCGGGAGGTCGAGACCAGCCTGACCAACATGGAGAAACCCCGTCTCTACTAAAAATACAAAATTAGCTGGGCGTGGTGGTGCATACCTGTAATCCCAGCTACTCGGGAGGCTGAGGCAGGAGAATTGCTTGAACCTGGGAGGCAGAGGTTGCGGTGAGCCGAGGTTGCCCCATTTCACTCCAGCCTGGCAACAAGAGCGAAACTCCGTCTCAAAAAAAAAAAAAAAAAAAAAAAGAAGGAAGAAGAGGAAGAACATGATCAGCCAAGCCCTCAGCTCAGGGGACAAGGGGTCTTCGCCAAGGTAAGTAACTGGCCTCTCCTACATTTCCTGGGGGCCAACCACCTGGGAATCAGACAGAAGGGATCTTTCGGCTCTGGTGATGTACCCCACTCCCAGACCTGTCACCATCTGACCTGGACTGCAGATGCCAGGTTCTGCATGACAGCCGAAATGTTCGTGGAAACTGCTTGTTCAGAGCCTGAAGCCAGGACCAACTACACAATTTGCAAGGCCTAGGACAAAATGAAAATGTGGGGCACCTTGCTCAGAAACTATTAAGAAGGTCTGTGGTCTTCCCTTTCAAAGCAGTCTCCCTTACATCCTCACATAGGATGTATGGAATTTGTTTTTTAAAAAATCTCACAGTGGTGGAAAGGAGGAGGGGGTAGGGGTTCAACACAACTGATCATAGTTTGATCATTGATGTAGACAGATGATGACGTGGGCATGAAACGTCAGGGTATCATTTTTCAAACTTCACCTGTTTGAACCCTTCTATAAATCTGCAAAATGCATCCTGCCTTGGAGAGCAACCACAAGTGCCTCATCAAGCTTGCTTTCTCTGGCAAGAAGGTCCCCAAAAACCTAGCGCCACACACTGTTCTAGGAAGATGTGCTCAGATAGGAGGGATCCTTCAGCTCTGGTGATACAACCCATTCCCAGACTTGTCACCATCTGACCTAGACTGCAGATGCCAGGATCTAAGGATATTAGATTCATGAGAGGAGACCTCAGAACAAGTGGTCCATTGAGGGTGATAAAAGCAACTCAAACTATTTTCCCCCTACTTCTGTTGCTTGAGTACTGTGTACGTTGCATGCATCCCTTACTGCTGTGTCTGCAATACCCTCTTTCAGGAGAGCACCAGCAATGTTTCTTTTATGTAGTGTAAGTGCCCCTTTGAGAAGATCAAAACAGCAAATGGGTTCAGACTGAAAATGGCCAATGGCTTCTAGCAGATGAGTAGATAAAGCTTGAGGATACGCATCCTCCTAGGTCTCATCAAAGGCTAGAAGCTGAGCAACCAGTTTGGAGACCTGACCTGGAGGTTTCTGGACCTCCAGTCTGTCTTAAGATGTCCATGAGGGTTTTTCCTCCCTGGATGTCTGAGGATTGACTGCCATCCTGAATGAATCAGTAAGTATCCAAACTAGGAAGGTCGTGACCAACTGACTACTTCAGAGGAAACAAATGGTCGTCTATGTCCTTCACCCTGGGAAGGCAACAGTACCTAAGATAGAAATTCAGGACCAACTAGCCAAAATATACAAGACCACACTGGATATCATCTTTGCATTTGGATTTAGAACTAATTTTGGTGGTGGCAAGACAACTAGCTTTGGCATGATTTATGATTCCTTGGATTATGCAAAGAAAAGTGAACCCAAACATAGACTTGCAAGACATGGCCTGTATGAGAAGAAAAAGACCTCAAGAAAGCAATGAAAGGAATGCAAGAACAGAATGAAGGAAGTTAAGGGGACTGTAAAGGCCACGTTGGTGCTGGCAAAAGGTGGGCTGGAGATTGGATCACAGCCAAAGGAGTAAAGGGGCGGCAGTGTGTTATCTGCAGCCATTGTGGATTTTTTACAAGAAGATTAATAAACTAAAAACTCTCACATGAAAAAAAGATGCCCAGGAGAATTCAAAAGGCACCAGCACCAGTTACTCTTCATTGACAGGACAGAGGTAAAATTTTTGCTTTTACCAATTAGCGGAATTTTGTCACCAGGAGAGTGGTTCAGGCAATTAGAAACGTGCTTGGGGCTGGGCATGGTGGCTCACGCCTGTAATCCCAGCACTTTGGGAGGCCAAGGCGGGTGGATCACCTGAGGTCAGGAGTTTGAGACCGGCCTGGCCAACATGGTGAAACCCCACCTCTACTAAAAATACAAAAAAATTAGCCAGGCTTGGTGGTGCACACCTGTAATCCCAGCTACTTGGGAGGCTGAGACAGGAGAATTGCTTGAACCTGGGAGGCAGAGGTTGCCGTGAGCCAAGATCATGCCACTGCACTCCAGCCTGGATGACAGAGCTAGAAATGTGCTTGGATAATACTCAAACGCTACTTCCATACACGACAGCAGTTTTCAGAAATCATGTCTTAGAACATTCAGGCTGCTATAGCAAAATACCATAGACTGGGCTTATCAATAACAGAAATTTATTTCTCATGGTTCTAGAGGCTGGGAAGTCCTAGATCAAAGCATGGTAAATTCAGAGTCAGAGGCAGGGCTCCTTTCCTGACTCATGGATGGGCCTTCTTTCTGTGTCCTCACTTGGCGGAGGGAGCCAGGGAGCTCTCTGGGGCCTCTTTATAAGAGCACTAATCCTATTCATAGGTCACAGGGCTCCACTCTCATAACCTCATCATCTCCCAAAGGCCCCACCTCCTAAAACCATCACTCTGGGGATATGGATTTCAACGTGTGAATTTTGGGGGGACATGAATATTCAGACTGTAGCAAATGGTTCTGACTTATAGTTTCTCTTCTTCCCAATCACTTCCTATGTGCCAGTAGACAGTAGAGCATGTAGAATTCTTCATGATTCCTAATATCCTATGCAGTGTGCAAACCCTTCTTAGCAGATGTGTGTAAGAGTGCAGAAGTCTAACAACAGACCAGAAGCAGACCATTGTCAGTCTGCCCCTGGGACTCAGTATTCCTCATGCCCCGATGTCCCCAGTGCCAGTGTGTGCTTTTTTTTTTTTTAAAGAATGATTGTATTCATTTCTCAGATAGTGATATAACTTTTTTTTTTTTTTTTTTTGAGGCAGAGTCACTCTGTCACCCAGGCTGGAGTGCAGTGGTGAGATCTCAGCTCACTGCAACCTCCGCCTCCTGGGTTCAAGTGATTCTCCTGCCTCAGCCTCCTGAATATCACCACCTCGCCCGGCTAATTTTTTGTATTTTTAGTAGAGATGGGGTTGCACCATGGTGGCCAGGCTGATCTCAAACTCCTGACCTCAGGTGATCCACCCACCTCAGCCTCCCAAAGTGCTGGGATTACAGGCGTGAGCCACGGTGCCCAGCTGCAGATAGTGATATAATTTATAGTGTAGTCAATTGTGTTGAACTGCCGCTTGCAACATTTTCTTGTGTGACTTAAGGCATTAGAAAAAAAGAAAAAAAGAAGAATGTCAAGACGGTGAGAGCAGGGCATTAGATAAACAAGGGACCCTCCGGAGCAGAAGGCCCCGTGTGACTGTGCTGGTTGCACACCCAGGAAGCTGGCTCTGCCCAGAACAATGCTTCCTGGGGCTTTAGGGACATGATTTTTTTGTACAAAGAAAGTGCCCCGTGTTTCCTTGGAGAACAGTGATAAGGAAAGGGGCTGGGCTTATCTCCAAACCTCTTGCCAACACCTAGCAGAGAATGTTCCTAGGACAAGATTGGTCCAGGGTGAGCGCTGGGTCCGAGCGCAAGACAGTGGAAATGGCTTTGTCCTGGGACGCCTCCCCAGACTCTTCCTTGGGTATGGTGCCTGGTGGGTGTGCATGGGTGTGCCAGACCACGGCTTAATGAGTGCCGCCTCTGTTCAGAGAGGCATGTGTGCATTTTGTCTATGCGATTAGCCCACTGTGTGGCCTTGGGTAAGACCCCATGTCTCTCTAGCCTCAGTTTCCCTAATTATAAAGAGTTAACAAAAGTATTTCCAAGATTCTCTTTCATGCTAACATGCTGTGATTCTAAGTTTATTTGTCATTAAAATGAGTCTCAGCTGGGCATTTATTTGTCATTAAAATGACTCATTAAAATGAGTCTCAGCTGGGCATAGTGGCTCATGCCTGTAATCCCAGCACTTTGGGAGGCTGAGGCTGAAGGATTGATCGAGCCCAGGAGTTGGAGAACAGCCTGGGCAACATAGTGAGACCCTGTCACTACCAAAAGAAAAAAAAAGAAAGCAAAAAAAAAAAAAGAATCAGTCTCTCAGTCTCTTAAGCCATAAGATGAAGAATTTCATCCCGGGAGGTGACCACCTGTTGGAATCTCTCCCTTCCCACCCCCCATCCCTACCACCATCCCCCAAACTCACAGGGAAAATCAATCCCCCACCCACCAGCCTTTGTGGGATTTGCCAATACAAGTAATTATAAATCCAGTGACCCAAGAGAAGACCCCTGCCCAGGGCGTCCCACCCCATGCCAGTAGCTACAGCTGTTGCCCAAAGAGGCCCCAGCTATTGGGCCAAGTCCACCGGGAGGACAGAGCAGCTGCATCTCTCCATCACTAATCTCCAACCTGGAGCCATGCCTAGTGTTTCTCTACAAGTTCAGTCAGAGGGTCCGCTTCATCAGAACCACCAGGGGACTGTGAAAAATGCAAGTTCCTCAGTGCCTTCCAGACCAGGCTCTAGGGTGGAGCCCAGAAATTCTGAGGAAGGGAAAAAAAAAAAATCTCCCAAGCCTCGGTGAAATGATTAGATCACATTGTCTAGCATCTGGGAGAGCGTGCTTGGAGCATTTTCTAGAGCCGGTTTGAGGCAGCACTTGATTGATTGCTGTTCACTAATCAGTGGGTTATCAAATGGCCCCGGGTTTGAGCTCAGCTACCCCAGCACAGCTGATAAACCAGCCTCATAAAAAGCCCAGCAAGCTTTGACTAGCCTAGCAACATATTCCTGTTGGGTCCAGACACCTCTTTTTTTTCTAAAAACACTCCCTCCTCAAAGCCAAGCAGCAATAATCAAAATAGTAATAATCAACATTGCATTTTATGGCTTGGGCCTCTATATGGTACTCAAGGCAATAGGCCTTATGAATTTGCAAAGCCCTAATTTTAAGAGAGCATCTCACTCTGTCACCCAGGCTGGAGTGCAGTGGCAGGATCTCGGCTCACGGCAACCTCTTTGTTTTTTTTTGTTGTTGTTGTTTTTTCTCTTTCTGTAACCTGTGACTCAGGCCTCTTTGGGCATCTTTGGTCCTATAATTTTCTTTGTTTTGGTGGCGGGGTCTTACTCTGTCACCCAGGCTAGAGAGCAGTAGTGAGATCTCAGCTCACTGCAACCCCCACCTCCCGGGACTCAAACAATCCTCCTACCTCAGCCTCCCGAGTAGCTGGGACTACAGGCACATACCACCAGGCCTGGCTAGTTTTTTGTATTTTTTTATGGAGACAGGGTTTTACCATGTTGGCCCAGGCTGGTCTCCAACTCCTGAGCTCAAGCAATCCACCTGCCTTGGCCTCCCAAAGTGCTGGGATTACAGGCATGAGCCACTGTGCCTGGCCTCAAAACTCTATTATAATCACCCCCTCACTCCCACTTTAGAGATGAGGAAGCAGCTTCAGAGAAGTTAAGCAACTTGGCCAGGGTCTTGCAGACAGGAAGTGGGAATTGCATCTGGAGCCTGTGACTGTGGTTCTGATGCAGGGCTGTCTTTCACATCTAGGTTAGATCTGAAGTCGCCTTTCTTTGTGGCTAAGAGATGTAATTCTGAAAAAATGTTCCTTTGTTCTGGAACAGTTTTATTTCTGAAGATTAGTAGCTCAAGGCATGCACATCCTGTGAGCAGGAATAGAGCACGTCATTGACTGGTGTGGGGGCGGGGGTGATTTTCAAGACAGCTGTCTCTCGGACAGGTGGACAGGCTGTGTTGGGGGAGGGAACTCCATGCTGAAGCTTGAAAGTCTGACATAGGTGTGTTGGATGTTCCCCACCCCCATGGTGCAGGCACCATTTCTCTCGTGGCCTTTGAAGTTTCTGAATTCAGTCCCCGAAATCATGTCCTATTTCCTGGATGTTGTCCGCCTCTTGCATAACTGCTCAGTCAGGAGAGTTTGGGCTCAGTACTCCTATGTCCCTTTCTCCTGGAAAGTCACTAAATATTTGAACTCAGATGACTATAGCTTAATGAAATGGCCTTGGTCCAACCCACCTTCCCTAATTTTTGAGACCTTTTGTTTGTTTGTTTGTTTGTTTGTTTGTTTGTTTTGAGACAGAGTCTCACTCTGTTGCCCAGGCTGCAGTGCAGTGGCGCAATCATGCTCACTGCAGCCTCGACCTCCCAGGCTCAAACGATCCTCCCGCCTCAGCATCCTGAGGAGCTGGGACCACAGGCGTGTGCCATCATGCCCAGCTAATTTTTCTATTTTTTGTAAAGACAGGGTCTCACCATGTTGCCCAGGCTGGTCTCAAACTCCTGGGCTCAAGTGATCTGCCCACCTCGGCCTCCCAAAGTGCTGGGATTACAGGTGTGACCATGCCTGGCCCGGGACATTGCTTTTTAAAGGAGGGTAGGGCTTGTCCCAGGTGAAGCTTTGTGGATGGAACTTCCAAGTGTGACATAGCTGTTTAGTATCCCAGTTACCCTTCTCAGAGGAGGTTGGAGTTGCTGTGAGCAGAGGCTGCTGCGGAGGGAAGATGTCAAGACCTCGGTTCGAATTCCAGCTTTGCCGCCGCTGGCTTAGCTGTCGCGTGCTGGTCAGTACTAAGTGGTGATGACAGCTGCTGACCTTACAGAGCACTCACTGTGTGCCAGGCATTGTGCTGTGCCTGCGTGTGCTTTGCCTGTTTTAGCATCACAAACATCCTGCGAGGGAGGTTTTTGTGTTCTTGCTTTAGGGAAGAGAAACTCTGCAAAGGTCATCTGGCTGAGGAAGTGGCAAAGCCACGACTCGGACGCCAGAGACTGGCTCTGACCTCAGCGCTCCAGCATCCTCCTCCCGCCCCAGTTCTCCCACCTGTGAAGGAGCGCGGTGCTGCGGGCCCTGCCCATTCCCCAGGGGGATGTACTTGGGGAAAACAGACACTCAAGTGAGTCCCACGGAAGGTGCTGGTGCCCCCACTTCATGCGGCACCAGCTGGACCTGTGAGACACTGCTGGAGCCCACAGACCCTCCTGGAGCCCAGAGCTGGGCAGCTGTGGCCATCCCAATGCATTTTTGGAATTCTCCAGATAGTAGAAAAGTCACTTCCTGAAATAGTTGGAAGACATGGCTGGACAGCATTCCCAGGGCATCTTTTTATTCACGCAGCATTGCACAGTTAAGACAAGGGGCCTCCCCATAGGCAGCGGTGGAGTCTTGCTCCCAGGGCCTCCTGCACAGGGCAGGAGGCAGGACAAAGACGCTGAGCTGGACAATGAATGAACAGGAACATATCACATTGCTGTGGCCACAGGCTGGCACAGGGCTGGAGAGGCAAGCCTGGCATGAAGCGGGTGGCCTGATAGGGAAGGGTCGCCCACTTAACAAATATATACTGAGCCTGACTGTATCAGACTGTGTTCTAGGCACTGGGAAAAGGGGGGTGAATAAGGCAGATCTGGCCTCCTTGTGAGCGAACATTCTAATGTGGGGAGACAAGCACATAAATCAGAAGATGCTGTTGGGACTGTGGAGGGCTCTGAAGGCAGTAAAGTGGGGTGATGTGAGGAAGAGGCGTGGGCGGCCTGCCCTGGAGGAGTGATCAGGGAGGAGGTGGGTGCACTTGCCTGACTCAAAGGAAGTGACCAGGTGCAGAGCTGGGGCTGCTCCTTTCCTGGTGGGTGGGGAGAACGTCAAGTGCAAAGGTTGGAGGCAGGAGTGAGCTTGGCATTTTTTTAGGAATGGAAAGAAAGCCACAGGGCATCGGGGGTGAGCAAGGCGAGGGTGGGAGGAGGTGAGGTCGTGGGCTTGGCAAGGACTAGATCCCATAGGGCTTGTGGGCCATGGCTTTGTTTAGAAACGCTTCACGGCAGAAGGTCCATTCTGGGTCAGGTTTGTGCGGAAAGTGGGGAGGTCATTCTTAGGGTGGGTGGAAGGAGCTCTGAGGGACGGTAAACAGACTCGCTGTTCTGAAAACAAACTGGGAGCTGGGCGTGTGGAGCGGCCCCGTGGTAATCTCTCTTCTACCACTTTTTCATGCCTTGCAGCACTTTGCCCATAGGGAGGAAGGGGAAGTGCCCCAGCTCGCTGTACATGGCCTGGCTGGAGACCCTGTCCCAGGACCTCAGACCTCCAGTCATCCTGATCCGAGGAAACCAGGAAAACGTGCTCACCTTTTACTGCCAGTAACTCCAGGCTTTGACATCCCTGTCCACAGCTCTGAGTGTGTGGGATAAGTTGGAACTTGATTGCCTCTAGTCCACAGGGATGAGACTCATGTTCTGTTGCACTTTAAGTGGCAGCATCTGATGATCTCACCGAAAAAGATGGTAGATTTCCAAATCTGGCTGGACTCCACTTCCATGGGACACATTCCCTGGGTCTTGTGTTTATAGGCTAGAGAAATAGCAGATGGAGCTGCAAGGAAAACTCTCTAAAGCATCCTATTCCTTTTAAAGGATTTCTTTTGATTTTGATGACCATTAATTAAGAGTTCAGTCTTTGATTTGTATGCAAATTGGAGTCCCAATGCTGGGCGTGAATCTTGACAGTTTCTACAGACCTTCCTGGGTGAAAGTTCCTAAATCATGCCCTGCTTCCTCCAATAGGAGAATGGGAGCCTCACCTGTAGGACCTACAGGCTCTCTAAGGAATGCAGGTCTCTCTCTGAGCCTCCACAGCCAGGCAAATACATATATATATATTTTTTTTTTAGATGAAGTTTTTTCTCTTGTTGCCCAGGCTAGGGTGTAATGGCATGATCTCAGGTCACTGCAACCTCCTCCCGGGTTCAAGCATTTCTTCTGTCTCAGCCTCCCGAATAGCTGGGATTACAGGCACCTGCCATCACACGAGCTAATTTTTGTATTTTTAGTAGAGATGGGGTTTCACCATGTTGACCAGGCTGGTGTTGAGCTCCTGACCTCAGGTGATCCACCCACCTCGGTCTCCCAAAGTGCTGGGGTTACAGGCCTGAGCCACTGCGCCCGGCCCAGGCAAATTTCTTGAACCACTTCTCACTCCCGTCACTTTCAATAAGGGGTCTTTGATGTCTTCACTGGTTCTTTGGACGAGGGACTTTTCGAACTTTTTTGGTTGCAACACACAGTAAGAAATATACTTCACACTGAGACTTGCAGCGCACACACACGGAAACGACCAAAACAAAAATGTCACAAAACAATACTTACCCTTCCCTGGGGGACGTCCTCCAGTATGTTCTGTTCTGTTTATTTTTCACTGTTGGTTGCAATCCAATAAAATGACTTTGGGATCCACTCATGGGTGGGGACCCACACATTTGAAAGGCATGGCCACCTTTCTGTTGTGCCTTGCATTTGTCCACACACAGGGAGTCTGGCTGAGCTGGGGAAAGGCCACGGCTGGGTGTCATTGCCATTTTCCCAGCTCATCTCACCGGGAAGAAAAGCAGATTGACAGAACACGTGAGGAGGGGTATTGATGGCAGGAGAGTCAAAAAAGAGTTTTAAAGAAGGGGCAAGGTTGAAGGAGTCTAGTGGCAAGGGTAAGATTTCAGGCATGGTTAAGAACAGACGACAAGGATGTCAGGAATGAAGATGTGGAGAGGGGTGTAGAGATGGCAAGGTTGGCAAGGAACAGATAGGCAGGAGCAGGTCCAAGCCAAGCCTAGCCCAAGACCAGGTGAAAGGAGAGGGGAGGAGGAGCCACCTGCAAGAGATGGAAAGAGCAGGCGGCAGAGGGGGCTGGCAGGGAGGGGCTGTTAAGAGTGGGGTTGGAGGTGGGAGAGAAGCTAGGACAAGGGAGATGGAGAAAGGACCTATACCTGGCTCACGGAAGGCCTTCAGGTCACTACACGTTGAACATCCCCAGTGTTTGAGCCCCCAAAGCTAGGGTGCAAGAGCACTGCCATCGAATGCCAGTGGGTGAGGCCAAGTGAGGGTATTTGCAGCTCTAGACATAACCAAGAAGCGTAAAGGTGAGTTGTTTGGTGGTACGACTGCCTGTGCCTTCTTCCGATGGCACTGGGGTGGCTGAAGGAACAGACATCTTTGGGTTTCATCAGCCTCCTCCAAGACTGCTGCAGTGCCTACACTTTAGACTTCAGAAGGAGACTAAAGACTTCTAGAATTTAGAAGGAGATCTGAAGTCTCCTTTCTGGAGTTACAACCCAAAGGATGTTAGCATTTCTCAGGTCATCCCACTGCAAAGCCCAGAAGGCTTGGGGCTCCCAGGCTGCTCTGAAGCCCCACTGTCTGACCGCCTCAGGGCTTGCTACGAGGGACTGGGGCACGGCCAAGCTGACTAGGAACAGCTCTCGTGCTCCTGAGGGACCTGGAGGATGGGCCTGCCTCCCAGCCATTGAGCTGGATTCTGGGATAATTCTTAACTCGAAATAAGGGGAAGCATCCATCAGGGAATGCTGGCCTTTCTAGAGCCACGTAGAAAACAATTTTCTGGTTCTTCAAACCTCAAAGAGTCCTTGGTCCAAAAAACAGAATGTTTTGGCTTCGGGTGTCAAAAAAAAAATTTTCACGATGTCAGAAATAGTATGTTTTTAACAATAGTAATAGCTTTGTAAAAAAATAAAAAGCTTTAACAGCGAGGCCATAAACAATGAAATGAATAAAAACGGTGGTCATTCAGTCAACGGAACTTATTTGTTTTGGAACACACTGTTTTTCAACTCTGCTGAGTGTTTTGAAAAAATGAACTATTGTTTTTCCAACCCTGGATTGAACTCTTCTCGGAGCCCCTACTGGTTCTGCAGGTCATAGTGCCAGATTTCAACATAAATATTTATAGGAGCCATTTATTTTCCCTTTGATTCTCTTCCATGCATTTGCAGACTCACGGGGAACCATTTTTCTCAGCCTTTATCAAAGTCCCCCAGCATTTCCCATCTTGCCTGACACAGAGAGGTAACAGGTTGAGTGAAGGAGCCATGGCAAGGCCACCAGGTGACTGGGATTTGAGTTTCAATGTCTCCCCAAAACTGGCTGTGTGACCTCAGATATGCCCCTTCGTGTCTCTGGGAGGCCTCCAGTCTATGAAATGAAAGAATTGGACCAGAACAGGTGTCCCCAGCCAGCTGACCCAACAGTGACTGTGGTTTGGCCCAGGAGTGGTTGACAAAAATTGTGGCTGCATCAGGAGGTGGGGGTTAAGGGGAAGGGGTACACATCCCTTGGTCACCCCCAACCCACTGCCCTTCCCAGCCCACCACTTCCTACTCCCCTGTGGTGTGAGCCTTTGCATCCAAGGATTTCGAGTTTCTCTAGATCATTATTTGGCCTATTAGCATAAGAGATGTAGGGCCACACTGCCTCTCTGTCCCTGCCTTTGGATGACAAAATGCTTCCCATTTAGGAGTTTGTGCAGTGGGAAGTACTATCCATGAAGCCTTCCCTTCCTCTGTGCTGGCAGAGGAGGGAACCATCAGGGCCAGGGCCAGCCTCAGCCCCAGTGGCCACCCCAGCAGGGGCTCCTCCCTTCTCTCCCCTGGGATCCACTGCCCAGTCAGCTCCCAGTTTTGCCCTCAGCATTTCAGCCTCCAGATTTAGTATCCTCCCTCAGTGCCTGCCCAGACTTCCTATGGCTTTGAAGTAATTGCAGTACCACCTATTTTTCACCCAATGGGCTCTCTGGGCTCTGCTTACCCAGGCAGAAAGCTGTGGGCCTCCTTAGCACATGGAGAGTCCCCATGTGGACTGAATTCCCTTCTAGACCCCTGCCTGGACTGTCTAGAGTGGTGAGGGGGAGGAGGGGTTCACAGGGATGAGACCAGCTGGATTGTTCCAGAAGAACCACCTGGCTGGGAGGCCTTCAGGCACATGCAAAGCAGCCAGGTTTGGTTCATAGCTGTGTACAGCTCAGGATATCAGGGAAAAAATGCTGCCAACTCCAAGAATGTTCACAGAAATGGGGCGCAGGAAAGCCCAGCCACTGGCTTCATTGGTAATTTCCCACTTGAAGTGAGGTTTCATCCTGTGACCGAAAGCAAAAGTACAACATACGCACCCACTTCCTAAAAGTGGAGCCATCACAAATACAGTTTCTATAAATACTCTCAGAAGAACCACCTGGCTGGGAGGCCAGAGAGCAAAATGTCTGATAGATGAAAGACAGCGGCAAGAAAGGACAAGTGGTTTTATTTTAACTCATAAAAATTACAAATAAAACATTCTACGTTTGCAAAGGAGGGAGCAAACACATAAGGTCAAGGGGATTAGGAAAGTCTTTATAGGGAACATGGTGTACAAAAGGGGTACACATTCCTTGGTCACCCCCAACCCACTGCCCTTCCCAGCCCACCACTTCCTACTCCCCTGTAGTGTGAGCCTTTGGATCCAAGGATTTCGAGTTTGTCTAGATCATTATTTGGCCTAATAGGTTCCAGAGATTGGTGGGATTCAATAGAAAGAGAGAAATGAGATCTGGGGTGGGAAGAAGGATTTCTGGGCAGCAGCGGTAGCTTGAGCAAAAGACAGAGTGAGGATTGCCCCGGGCATGTCTGGAGAACAAGAAACAAGCCAGTTTTCCTGGAGTGTGAGGGAAGTGTGTATAGGAAAATAAGACTCGGCCGGGCGCGGTGGCTCACGCCTGTAATCCCAACACTTTGGGAGGCCAAGGCAGGGCGATCACCTGAGCCTACGAGTTTGAGACCAGCCTGGGCAACATGATGAAACCCTTTCTTTACAAAAAAAGAAAAAAAAAATTAGCTGGATGTGGTGGTGCGCACCTGTGGCTTCAGCTACCCCAGAGGCTGAGGTGGGAGGATCACTTGAGCCTGGGAGGTTGAGGCTGCAGTGCTGTGATTGTGTCACTGCTCTCCAACCTGGGTGACAGAGCAAGACTTTATCTCAAAAAAAAAAAAAAAAAAAAGGAGGAGGAGAAGTAGCAGTCCCGTCATATGAAGGGCAGAGTAACAGGCTTAATGCTGAAGGAAAGAGAAAGCAAATTGATTTGGGTTTGGTACTTTAAGTGTGAGAATGCCCAGGTGGTCAGAACTGTGGTCCTGGAACCTGGGAAGAGCTCAAGGTGCTCCCCTGTTAGCCTGCAGCTCTTTGAGAGCAGTGACCGTAAATAGATTTGGCAGTCATGCTCATGGTCAGGGACATGGAAGTCATAGCTTGGGTGAGATCAAGAGAGAAAGTACAAAGAAAGAACAGGGCTAGACCTTGGGAAGGGCTATATTTAGGAGGCAGAATGAAAAAGGGTCAGTGGTGAGGCAGACTTGAAAAGAGCATTGGAGGGACAGGAGGAAAACTCAGATCACCGAGGAGGCACCCGAGAAGGGGATCAAAGAAGCTCAGAGTCGACCATGTAGTAGCTGTCTGCGAAGGGGCTGGAGCCACTGAAGGTGCTGTTGAATTTGGGGTTGAGGCATCATTGGGAGCCTTGCAGTGAATAATTCGGTAAAGCGGCAGGTCAGGGGCCAGGGACTGAGGAATGAATTTGTGGGCAGGAAAAGAAAACAGTAGCCCTGCTTAGAGACTTCATACTTGAGTAAGCCAGCAATGGAGAGATTGAGGGAGACACAGTGGAAACCTGAGGGAATAACAGACTCAAGGAAAGTGCTTTGCCTGTTGTTATCGTAGGGCGTGTATTAGGGTAATGCTAGGCTATGCTGCAGTAACAAATTGCCCTCTCGATGTTAGAGGCTTACAAGACAAAGTTCTGTTTCTGTTACAAATATTCCTAACACAGTCAGGCAGCTCTTCGGGGTTCCTCTTCTCCACATCGGGACTCAACGATCAAAATTACTCCTGTCTTGGGAAGCCACCACTTTGACCAGTAGTTTCCAGCTCACTGAAGAAGGGAAAAGAGAGCTGGAGGGTCACACACTGGCTTTTAAGTGTTTCCACCCAGAAGGGACGTTATTTATTTCCACTCAAAGCCCATTAGCCAAAGCCAAATAGTCACATGGCTCCACCTAACTGCAAGGGTGCTGGGAAATTTGGGGGAAGATATGAATATTCATTGAACAATAAATGTCTCTGTTACAGAGTGAGGGTGAGTAATAGAGACCTGAGTGTATCGATAGGTCAGAGGGGAGAGATTGATGATGCAAGCAAAAGAATAACTGCAGAAAAGGTAGCAATGATGAATCAACAAAACGTGGGGACATTTTTGCCACACAGCAGGAAAGGCATAGCTGAAGTCTGGTAGCCCTGGGGTGCAAAACTCTCAGGACCCTTGCCCTTGTGATCTGCCCCGGCAGGGCCCCTGAGCACCAGGTCAGAAAGCAAACATAGAAATTGCAGGTGACATGTTTCCCAACAATGGGGCTGGCCAAGCAAACAGGGAAGGAGAAGGCACGAGGGAGGGATTCAAGAATGATGACCGTGAGCTCCCAGTTGGATGGGGAGACCAGAAGTGAGCTGCAAGACTTGACAAGACTTGAAATGCTAGTAGCATGAAGACAAAAAGAACACGCAGGCTGGGCGCGGTGCCTCATGCTTGTAATCCCAGCACTTCGCGAGGCCAAGGCAGGCGGATCACTTAAGGCCAGGAGTTTGAGACCAACCTGACCAACAGGTTTTTTTTCCCTAAGGGAAAAAAAAAAAAAATTAGCCAGGCATGATGGTGGCCACCTGTAGTCCCAGCTATTCAGGAGGTTGAGGCAGGAGAATCGCTTGAATCTGGGAGGCAGAGGTTGCAGTGAGCCGAGATCGTGCCACTGCACTCTAGCCTGGGCAATAGAGTGAGACTCTGTCTCAAGAAAACCCAAAACAACAACAAAAACATGCAGTGGGCCGGGCACGGTAGCTCACACCTATAATCTCTGCCCTTTGGGAGGCGAAGGCAGGTGGATCACTTGAAGTCAGGAGTTCTAGACCAGCCTAGGCAACATGGTAAAACCCCATCTCTACTAAAAATGCAAAAATTAGCCAGGCATGATGGCATGCACCTGTAGTCCCAGCTATTTGGGGGCTGAGGTAGGAAGATGGCTTGAACCCAGGAGGTTGAGGCTACAGTGAGCTGAGATGGTGCCACTGAACTCCAGCCTGGGCAACAGAGTGAGACCCTGTCTCTAAAACAAACAAACAACAACAACAACAAAGAAGAATATGCAGTTGATGTGGGAGATGGGGAGAAGGAGAAGAACAAAGTTTGTGGTCAGTACGTGTGCACTTCACAGCTTGACATTCTGGAGGAACTAAACATCTTAAGCACACCAAACTCTAAGGTGTCCACCATTTGCCTATGAGGTCTACAAAGGCGGGATTTGAGATGTACCTTTTAGTTGCTGGATGGCAGGGAGACCAGAGGAGGGCCCAGGGCAGCCGAAGGGCACTCGGGGCAGGGGCTATGGACCCAACAGGCACAGGAGTATTTCAGTATCTTAACTGCTGAAACAGCTGAATGACTGCATGTCAGCTTTGAGGGTGAACATATCTGATTCATCTCTTACCCTAGGGTGCAGCACAGGGCTTAGCAGAGTGGACACTCAATAGATGTTTGCAGAATGAATGAATGAACGACGAATGAATGGATCATACCAATGAGTGGTAGAGGAAAGTGGAGACAAGACAAAGGGAAGTGAGCTAAACATCCTGAGAGTGTGAGCCGGACGCTGGAGTTGTTAAAATGGGCAAAGGGTGGGGGGGAAGCTTGTGAGCCAGCTGTCAAAGGTGCTGAGTGAGATCTTGAGAGAGATCCCTGGAGGTCACTACCTGTATCTGCAGACAGGTAAACCTTCAGATCAGAAAAGGGAGCTGAATGATGAGAGCACATGGACACGTGGGAGGGAACAACACACACTGGGGCCTGTCAGTGTGGGAGGGGCCTGAGGGGAGGGAGAGCATGGGGAAGAATAGCTAATGGATGCTGGACTTAATACCCAGGTGGCCGGGTGCGGTGGCTCATGCCTGTAATCCCAGTACTTTGGGAGGCTGAGGCAGGCAGATTGCTTGAGGTCAGGAGTTTGAGACCAGCCTGGCCAACATGGTGAAACCCCATCTCTACTAAAAATACAAAAATTAGCCAGGCGTGGTGGCGGGCGCCTGTAGTCCCAGCTACTCGGGAGGCTGAGGGAGGTGAATCTTTTGAATCCAGAAGGCAGAGGCTGCAGTGAACCAAGATTGCACAACCGCAGTCCAGCCTGGGTGACAGAGTGAGACCCCATCTCAAACAAACAAACGAACAAAACAAGATAAAAAGAAAAAGAAATACCCAGGTGATGGGATGATCTCTGCAGCAAATGACCATGGCACACATTTACCTACGTAACAAACCTGCATAACCTGTTCGTGTACCCCAGAACTTAAAATAAAAGTTGAAATTAAAAAAAAAGAAAAGGCTGCTAAGATATGCACCAAATTAGATGCAGGTATGCTCTTATAAGCACACCGAGGAGGTGGGCTGGGAGGGAAGAACCTCCTTCAGTGGTGTGATATTCAGGGTCCTTTCCTGGAAAAAGACAGGGTTGGTTAATGTCAGGGGTACTGGGGCAAGGCACGTATCGGGGAGGAGACTGGAGCCTGTACACAAAGAACTACACCCAGGGGTTAATTCCTGAGATCTCAGTGATGGATATGGGCCTAGGGCAGGAAAGGCCAACTGGGCCACGTCAGAGATAAGAGTTGGAGGAATAAGTGCAGGTGTTTGCAATGGGCTAATAAAGACAGGAGGATAAGTCCAGGACTTAATGTGAGGGCTGAGCAAGCAGAAATAAATTCATGGAGGAGATCAAAAGTCCCACCATTTGAACAAAAATGTTGCCTAAGCTACTTCTGGTGTCTTACGCATCTTTGCTGAAGTGCTGGGTCTAGTCTGAAGTCAGCTTGGGGAAGGTGGGAGTTTTGCTGGGTGAAGAAAGAAAGAAACTAATACAAGATCAAAATCCTACTTAGGGTACAGAATATTCTGTGTACAAGAAAAGATACACGAGGCCGGGCACAGTGGCTCATGCCTGTAATCCCAGCACTTTGGGAGGCTGAGGCCGGTGGATAACCCAAGGTCAGGAGTTCAAGACCAGCCTGGCCAACATGGTGAAACCCTGTCTCTACTAAAAATACAAAAATTAGCCGGACGTGATGGCAGGCGCCTGTAATCCCATCTACTCGGGAGGCTGAGGCAGGAGAATTGCTTGAACCCGGGAGGCGGAGGTTGCAGTGAGCCAAGATTGTGCCATTGCACTCCAGCCTGGGCAGTAAGAGTGAAGCTCCATCTCAAAAAAAGAAAAAAAAAAAAAAAAAAGAAAAGGTACATGACATTTAAGATACATGTTTTTTTCTTTTCTGTTTAAAGTAAAACGCTGGACAGCAATCAGAATATTTAGAAGGAAGCTGTGATGGGAGAAAAAGAATGTGGGCTTCAGAGGTTACCTGGGGCCTCCGAATTCAACCATGACCCTTGCCCTAGATGCTGGCCTGGAGGGCGGGCTCCACCTGACTCTTGTTTGTCCTGGGTCCAAACCTGGTCAGCCAGGGAGAGCCATAAACCTGGCATGCTCTAGGGCAAAAGCAAGTATTTACTGTTGGAGAGACAACCAAATCAGGTAGATGCCTCCCATCTACCCGTCCTCTCCAGGATCTAAGTCCTTTGTTGGAGTAATCAGTGAAAGTTTCCTATGTGTGGTGGAGGTGATTTTATTTGCCTTCCTCCCACTCTTGGAAGAAAGGCTGGGGAGTAGCACTCAGAACAGGGAAGCCCAAGCAGGGTCTTTTTTTTTTTTTCTTTTTTCTTTTCTTTCTTTCTTTCTTTCTTTCTTTCTTTCTTTCTTTCTTTCTTTCTTTCTTTCTTCTTTCTTTCTTTCTTTCTTTCTTTCTTTCTTTCTTTCTTTCTTTCTTTTCTTTCTTTCTGTCTCTTTCTTTCCTTTTCTTTCTTTCTCTTTCTTTCTTTCTCTTTTCTTATTTTATTAAAAAAGAGAGAGAGATGGGGTCTCACGCCCAGGCTGGTCTTGGACTCCTGGCCTTGAGCGATCCTCCAGCTTCAGCCTCCCAAAGTGCTGGGATTATAGGCATGAGCCACTGTGCCAGGCCAAGGTCTTTAAAAAATTGTGGTAAAAGACATAACACAAAATTCACCATTTTAACTATTTTATTTTTTTGAGACAAAGTCTCACTCTGTCACCCAGGCTGGAGTGCAGTGGTGAGATCTCGGCTCACTGCAACTTCCACTTCCCAGGTTCAAGCGATTCTTGTGCCTCAGCCTCCCAAGTAGATGGGATTACAGGCACACGCCACCAGGCCCAGCTAATTTTTGTATTTGTTTTTTTTTTTTTCTGTAGAGACGGGGTTTCGCCATGTTGGCCAGGCTGGTCTCCAACTCCTGACCTCAGGTGATCTGCCCACCTCGGCCTACCAAAGTGCCGGGATTACAGGTGTCAGCCACTGTGCCCGGCCTGAACTATTTTAAAGTGTAATTCAGTGGTATTTAGTACATTCACGGTGTTGTGCAACCATCACCACTATCTCATTCCAAAACATTCTCATCGCCCCGAAAGGAAATTCTGGACCCATTAAGCAGTAAATCCCCACTAACCCCTGGCAAGCATTCATCTGCTTTCTGTCTCTATGGATTTGCCTGCTCTAGATATTTCATATAAGTAGATACAATATGTGGCCTTATGTGGCCTTTCTTGTCTGGCTTTTTCACTTAGCATCGTGTTTTCAAGGCTCATCCATCTTGTAGCATGCATCAGCACTTCATTCCTGTTTAAGGCTGAATAATAGCGCATTGCATGGATATGCCGTATTTTGCTTATTCATTCAGCTGGTGGACCTTCAGGTGGTTTCCACATTTTGTGTTATTATAAATAATGCTGCTATGAATATTCATGGACAAATTTTTGTGAAAAGTGCTTTCAGTTCTTTTGGGTAGATAGATATCTAGGAGAGGAATTGTTGGGTCATCTGGTAATTCTATATTGACTTATCCAGCAACTCTGGGTACACTGTAAAACTTTCTAAGGGCTGAGTTTTACTATCAGACCTATTGTTCTGCTGCCACAGCTTGGCCCCCGTTGTCAGTCTTGACTGGTCTTACCCTCTGGTGTCTCCTATTCAAGAGACACTTTGAGGTTCTCAAAAACTAGCTCTGTTTTCATTTTCTTCCATTTAAAAACTGTGTATAACAAACACCTTTAAGAATCAGGTAGCGGCCAGGCGCAGTGGCTCACACCTGTAATCCCAGCACTTTGGGAGGCTGAGGTGGGTGGATCACGAGGTCAAGAGGTCGAGACCATCCTGGCCAACGTGGTGAAACCCTGTCTCTACTAAAAGTACAAAAATTAGCTGGGTGTGGTGGTGCGCACCTGTAGTCCCAGCTACTCAGGAGGTTGAGGCAGGAGAATTGCTTGAACCCAGGTGGCAGAGGTTGCAGTGAGCCGAGATCATGCCATTGCACTCCAGCCTGGTGACAGAGCGAGACTCCATCTCAAAAAAAAAAAAAAAAAAAAAAAAAAGAATCAGGTCGCACAGGGGAATAACAGGGAAGTGGTTGCCCCAAGTCCTCAAAAGTTGATAACCACAGTCTGAGATTCCTCCTTCCTTCAAATAAAAACACTTCCCCGTCATGGGCCACAATGTTAAGGGAGGGTTTGCCTTGGGGGACTACTTCTTGTACAGAAGGAAAGCTGCTTCTGGCTTAGCAAGGGCAGGAGAGTTGCTGTGGGAAGGGTTTCATGAGTATGGAACAGGACGTCCATTTCCTGGGCTAAAGAAGGTGGCTTATGTGGGTGGTCAAATTAGGACTTCAGAATGACCATAAAAAGCACAGATTCTGGTTGGAGTTTAAATTACTCCAAAAAAAAAACCAAAAAAACAAAAAAACCCCCAAGAGTTCAAAAAACAAAGTATAGAAGTTCAGCAGGGCCTAAGACACCAGACTACTTCAAATAAAACATGATTACTGGCAATGATCTCTTGCTGACTTGGGTTTTGCAAAGGCTCTACCTTCACAGCCTGATTGTAAAATAAGATAGCGCTTGATTCTTCCATTCCTGTCCCCATCTCAGAATGCAAACATGAATTAGATCATGGCAGAGAGACAGCAACACTGCAGCACTACCACAGTCAACTTAAAGAGTTTCCATGTTCCTTTCATTTCCACATTTCCAGAAATCCCATTGAACACTGTGGATTTCCCTTCAGCTTGCTAACTTGCATTCCCTCACATGCTTTCTCTCCTACTTTATTTCTTTTTCCTTTTTTTTTTTTTTTTTGAGACGGAGTCTTGCTCCATCACCAGGCTGGAGTTCAGTGGCACGATCTTGGCTCACTGCAACCTCCGCTTCCGGGGTTCAAGCAAATCTCCTGCCTCAGCCTCCCGAGTAGCTAGGATTACAGGCACGTGCCACCATGCCCAGCTAATTTTTGTATTTTTAGTAGAGATGGGGTTTCACCATGTTGGTCAGGCTGGTCTCGATCTCATGACCTCGTGATCCACCCGTGTCGGCCTCCCAAAGTGCTGGGATTACAGGCATGAGTCACCGCGCCCGGCCTATATATATATATATCTTTTGAGATGGAGTCTTGCTCTGTTGCCCAGTCTGGAGTGCAGTGGTGTGATCTTGGCTCACTGCAACCTCCGCCTCCTGGGGTTCAAGCAATTCTCCTGTCTCAGCCTCCCAAGTAGCTGGGATTAGAGGCGCCCACCACCATGCCCGGCTAATTTTTATATCTTTAGTAGAGACAGAGTTTCGACATGTTGGCCAGGCTGGTCTCAAACTCCTGACCTCAGGTGATCTGCCTGCCTTGGCTTCCCAAAGTGCTGGGATTACAGGCATGAGCCACTAATCCTGGCCCTCATCTCCTCTTGAATGAACTGATCAGTCTCCTGGCCTGGAGTCTGTCCCCCTCCATAATGACGTGGATCCATACTGATTCTGATCTGTCCCTTCTACTGCTCAAAAACCTCCCATTGTCCACAAAATAAGGCCCAAACTCCGAAGGGTGACCATTCAAAGTCTTTTCTAAGCTTGTCCCAAGACTTTTTTCCATTCTTACCAATGACTGTTATCTGATATTATCATTATCTTAATATAATGATGTGGTCATTATTCTTATTTAAAAATATATCCTGGCCAGGCGCGGTGGCTCACGCCTACAATCCCAGCACTTTGGGAGGCCAAGGCAGGCAGATCACCTGATGTCAGGAGTTCAAGACCAGCCTGACCAACATGGAGAAACGCTGTCTCTGTTAAAAATACAAAAAAAATTAGCTGGGCATGGTGGCAGGCGTAATCCCAGCTACTTGGGAGGCAGAGGCAGGAGAATCGCTGGAACCCAGGAGGCGGAGGTTGCAGTGAGCCAAGATCACGCCACTGCACTCCAGCCTGGGTGACAAGAGCAAGACTCCATCTCAAAAAAAAAAAAAAAATGTTCCTGGAGTGATTTTGTTGCAGTCAGATTTGGGAACCACTGTACTGGACTCAGTCCAGTCCTCTAAATATTAATGGCTAACATTGATTGAGCACGTAGTAAATGTCTGGGTTTGTCCCAAGAACTTTGACAACTTGTGCTATTTAAGCCTCACAAAAACCCTATGAAACAGAAGATACTGTTATTATTCCTAATTTTCCTAATTTGGGCCGTGGCCCCATGAGTTTAACCACTGAGCTCTACCTGCCCATACAAATTCTGCGTATAAAGTCACTGGCACTCCATGGTGTTTAGTCAGTAATTGCTGCCATTATTACTTTCATTCAAATCTCACCCATCCTTCGGAATTCAGCTCAAATTCTACCTCTTCCATCAAGTTTTCTCTGACTCCCTCTCTTCTTTTCTCAATGTAATCATAAGTCCTTCAGAAATGTATTCGACTTTGGGATAGTCTTTTATTTCTGTGTTTTTTGTTAGCATCCTCATTATATTTGTAAAGTCATTGAGAATAGGGTCATGCTGTGTTTATCTTTCTATTCCTGGCACATTCGTTGACCTGTATTTAACATTTTCCTAAATGTGCTATAAGCAGAATCACCGAATTTCTCTCTTCTTTTTTTTTTTTTTTTAATTTGAGACTGAGTCTCGCGCTGTCTCCCAGACTGGAGTGCAGTGGCGCGATCTCAGCTCACTGCAGCCACCGCCTCCCAGGTTCAAGCGATTCTCCTGCCTCAACCACCCCAGTAGCTGGGATTACAGGTGCCCGCCACCACGCCTGACTATTTTTTTTCTATTTTTAGTAGAGATGATGATTTTTCACTATGTTGGCCAGGCTGGTCTCGAACTCCTGGCCTGAGGTTATCTGCTTGCCTTGGTCTCCCAAAGTGCTGGGATTATAGGCATGAACCACCACTCCTGTCCCCAAATTTCTTTAAAAGGAGCTATCTCACCAGGCGATAACTCAAGAGAGAATCACAGAAATTAGATTGCCTTTTCCCTAGGGGAAGAAAATGCAAAATCACACTCCTAAACTTTCTTTCTTCTGAGTGGAAAGGGATAAGATATCTTAACGTCTTAAGGGGCCCTGAGGCTTGTCACTGCAGGTGAGGGGAAACCACACTACTGGCATATTTGATTTCTCAATGCAGCTGTCACCTCCTGCCTTGCTGCCTCCTTTAATGCCTATGTTGGTTTTACCTGGGCTTGCTCCACTGGTTAGCTTCTCCCTAGTTGCAAGACTACCAGATCATAATCAGTTATTATCTCCCATCCTGATGTGTGAAAAGCTACAGAATTTGTGGGACCCAGTGCAAAATGAAAATGCAAGGCTTCTGTTTAAAATTTATTAAGAATTTAAAGATAATAGCAGAGCATTAAACCAAGCATGGGGCCCCATCCACTACATGGGTCCCACACCCATGAAGCCAGCTTTGATGAAAAAAGGGTTAGGCCAGGTGGTGGCTCGCACCTGTAATCCCAGCACTTTGGGAGGCCGAGGCAGGTGGATCATTTGAAGCCAGGAGTTCGAGACCAGGCTGGCCAACATGGTGAAACCCTGTCTCTACTAAAAATACAAAAACTAGCTTGGCTTGGTGGTGGGCACCTGTAATCCCAGCTACTTGGGAGGCTGAGGCAGGATAATTGCTTGAACCTGGGAGGTGGAGTTGCAGTGAGCGGAGATCATGCCACTGCACTCCAGCCTGGGCAACAGAGCACGACTCCGTCTCAAAAAAGAAAAAAAGGTCAGAGCCTTCTCAGCCGACCAAAACCACTTGCAGAAAGCTGAGTGTGGGGACAATTTATTTCCAAAGCCCTCAACCTCTCATCTTAATATAAAGACAGCTGAGAAAGAAATCACCCTGTATTGTGTGTTATATTAAGATTGACTATTGTGGACTGAATTGAGTCCTCCAAAGAGATGCTGAAGCCCTAACCACCAGTACCTGTGAATGTGGCAGCATTGGGAAATAGGGCCTTTGCAGATGATGGAGTTAAGATGAGGTTATTAGTGTGGGTCCCAATCCATGATGACTGGTACTCTTATGGAAAAAAGAAATGTGGACACAGAGCCAGACATGCACACAGGGAAGATGATGTGAAGAGACCTACAAAAGGAGAACCCATGAGAAGATGAAGACAGGTTGGGGTGATGCTTCTATATGCCAAGGAACGTCAAAGAGTGCCAGCAGGCCGGGGGCGGTGGCTCACGCCTGTAATCCCAGCACTTTGGGAGGCCGAGGTGGACGGATCATGAAGTCAGGAGTTTGAGACCAGCCTGGTCAACATGGTGAAACCCCATCTCTACTAAAAATACAAAAATTAGCCAAGTGTGGTGGTGGGCGCCAGTAGTTCCAGCTACTCAGGAGGCTGAGGCAGGAGAATTGCTTGAACCTGGGAGGTAGAGGTTGCAGTGAGCCAAGATTGTGCCACTGCACTCTGGCCTGTGCATCAGAGCGAGACTCTGTCTCAAAAAAAAAAAAAAAAAAAAATCGGCCAGGCGCCGTGGCTCACGCCTGTAATCCCAGTATGTTGGGAGGCCGAGGCGGGTGGATCACAAAGTCAGGAGATCGAGACCATTCTGGCAAACGGTGAAACCCTGTCCTTACTTAAAAATACAAAAAATTAGCCAGGCGTGGTGGCGGGCACCTGTAGTCCCAGCTACTTGGGAGGCTGAGGCAGGAGAATGGTGTGAACCCGGGAGGCAGAGCTTGCAATGAGCCGAGATCATGCCACTGCACTCCAGCCCAGGCGACAGAGCGAGACTCCGTCTCAAAAAAAAAAAAAGTGCCAGCAAACCACCAGGATAGGAGAGGGGCCTGGAAGATTCTCCCCCGAGGCCTCAGAAGGAACCAACCCTGCCGACACCTTGATCTCAGACTTCCAGTTTCCAGAACCAAGACAATAAATTTCTGTTTCTTAAGCCAGGAGTTCCCAACCTTTTTGACACTAGGGACCAGTTTTGTGGAAGACAGTTTTTCCACAGGCCAGAGGTGGGGTGGGGGGGGCATTGTTTCAGGATGATTCGAGCACATTACATTTATTGTGCACTTTATTTCTATTATTATTACATTGTAATATATAATGAAATAATTATACTACTCACCATGGTGTAGAATCAGTGGGAGCCCTGAGCTTGTTTTCCTACAACTAGATGGTCTCATCTGTGGGTGATAGGAGACAGTGACACCCGAAGTATGGTGCTTATGTCAAGTCTACCCATTTTGGCTGCTGTCACTGCAGAAAACCCTGCTTCACAGAGATGGGATGTTGCAATAGGCCAGGCATGGAGGCTCACATCTGTACTGCTAGCACTTTTGGAGGCCAAGGCAGCTGGATCACTTGAGGCGAGGAGTTCAAGACCAGCCTGGCCAATATAGCACAACCCCATCTGTCTCTACTAAAAATAATAAAAATTATATATATAGCCAAGTGTGGTGGTGCACTCTTGTAATCCTAGCTACTTGGTAGGCGGAGGCATGAGGCACAAGAATGGCTTAAACCAGAGAGGCGGAGGTTGCAGTGAGCCGAGAACGTGCCATTGCACTTCAGCCTGGGCGACAGAGTGAGACCCTGTCTCAAAAAAAAAAAGGATGTTGGAAATGAAAGCAGGCTTTTCAGTGTTTTTGTGGCCATCTCAGGATTAAAGCCTAGACTTTAACCCAGAACGTGGAGATTTGAAGTTGTCTCAAACATACTGTTTTTTTGTTGTTGTTGTTGTTGTGTTTTTGTTTTTTTTTTTTTGAGACGGAGTCTCGCTCTGTTGCCCAGGCTGGAGTGCGATGGCACAATCTCGGCTCACTGCAACCTCCACCTCCCGGGTTCAAGCAACTTTCCTGCCTCAGCCTCCTGAGTAGCTGGGATTACAGGCACGTGCCACCATGCCCGGCTAATTTTTGTATTTTTTAGGAGAGACGGGGTTTCACCATGTTGGTCATGCTGGTCTGGAACTCCTGACCTTGTGATCCACCTGCCTCGGCCTCCCAGAATGTTGGGATTACAGGCGTGAGCCACCTCGCCCAGCCTCAAACATACTTTTAAGGCCACCAGATGCAGCTGTACAACTGAAGTACATACACTTGCCATTGTAAAGCCTGCCACCAGATGCAGCTTGTCACTTGCCACTCACTGATAGTGTTTTGATATGAGTCTGCAAGCAATTGATTTATGATGGCCTCTGTGCAGTGAAACCTCTCTGCTAATGTTAATCCGTATTTGCAGCCACTCTCAGCACTAGCATCAGCAACTCAGCTCCACCTCCCATCATCAGGCATTCGATTCTCGTAAGGAGCACAGCCTAGTTCCCTTGCGTGCACAGTTCACAATAGGGTTCGGCTCCTGTGAGGATCTAATGCCCCCTGATCTAACAGGAGGCTGAGCTCAGGTGGTAATGCAGCGATAGGGAGCAGCTGTAAATACAGATGAAGCTTCGCTGGTGGCTCACCTCCTGCGGTGCCGCCTGGTTCCTAATAGGCCAGGGACTCATAGTGGTCCGTGGCCCAGGGGGGTTGGGGACCCCGTCTTAAGCCATCCAGTTTGTGGCACTTTGTTATGGCAGCTGCAGCAGATGAATATACCCACCAACCAGACCAGGCTCCTCCTGTTACCTTCCTGACCTTGACAAGCTCCTGACAACACCTGAAAAAACAGATGTCCCAAGGGGGTTGGAACAAGGAGGGAGCCGGGGCAATGTCAGTTTTGTTTTTCAAGCCTTTTTTTTTTTTTTTTTTTTTCCTACAGAGGAGGAGGAGGGAACGCCTACAATAAAGAGGCCTTTATGGTCCCACTTCAGGAATCGGAGAACCCCGCCCTCCTCGTCTCAGCCCCAATTTAACGGGTGCATGTGTGAGTATCTTATAAAGTGACGCGTTTTGAGGGGGACTCCAGTGTGAGCAGGACTGTGGCTGACTTGTCAATCATCATTAGGGTGATGTCCCAAACGTTCAAGTCTGAGGCCCAGGGAAATTGGCAACAGCTGCCTGGATGCCTCCATCCTCCCAGCCCAAGGAAAATCTGGCCTTGCTCCTTCGTTGTCTTTCTTAGGAGCACGTGGAGTTCTCCTAGGTGGGCTTGCACTCGGGGTCGCCCAGCCGTTCTTTGAGGGTTCGAGTGGGTAGGCTTCCCCTGTAGGACGGGCTTCCCCGTAGGTTTCCACGTGGGGCCACAGAGGCAGGAAAAGGGGAAGTGGGCACTGACACCTGGGGTGAAAAAGGGTGGGGGTGCGGCTTTGTGAGGAAAGAATTTGCAGAGACTGCTAAACTGGGGTCTGCTAGGATACCCCACTCCCCACCCCCTGCCTCGGGCGCCCTCAGCCACCCGAGCTGGGGGCCTCGCAGGTCTCAGACCAAGCTCCCCGCGCGGCCTGCAGCGCACCCAAACATGGCCACCGAACCCGGGTTCCCGGGGCACAGCCGCGCCTCTGGGTGACGCAGACGCGGCGGGTTGCATCAGCCCGTGCCCACGTGCTCGGTCCGCCCTCTGCCACCCGGATCCGGACGCCGATTGGGCCACGTTGGGAGAGTGCCTCCGCCTCAGCCAATGGGCGGCAGCCACAGAGCGTTCTGTCCGCAGAGCCGGGCGCGGGGCTTCTATAAAAGGCGCCCGAAGCGGGGGCGCGCGCCCCAGAGACGTGAACTGTCGTTGCAGAGATTGCGGGCGGCTGAGACGCCGCCTGCCTGGCACCTAGGAGCGCAGCGGAGCCCCGACACCGCCGCCGCCGCCATGGAGTCCGAGACCGAACCCGAGCCCGTCACGCTCCTGGTGAAGAGCCCCAACCAGCGCCACCGCGACTTGGAGCTGAGTGGCGACCGCGGCTGGAGTGTGGGCCACCTCAAGGCCCACCTGAGCCGCGTCTACCCCGAGCGTCCGGTGAGAGCGGCCCCGACTTCCCGCCCCTAGGCTGTGGCCCCCCGCCCTCTGCTGGGGATGCCACGTCCGGCTGCCCTGTCCTGTGGCCTCCTCCCGCTGACGGCTGCGATCGCTCGGCCGGTCACCTCCCCCAGGGCTGTGGTCTCCCCTTCCCTGCCCCGCCGACGCGGGCGCCCCTCTGTTGCCCAGTAGCCGTCAGTAATCAGCAGCCTGACCTTGGGCGAGTCATTTCACCCTCCAAGCCTGTTTCTCCCCCAGCGGCCAGGCAACTCGGTGTTCCTAATTGGGCTTGCATCCAATGGCTAGAAGTAAGAAAACATCCGTGCTGCAAAATGAGGTTTCTGAACGCAGCCTCTCTGCAGGGAGAGGAGCGGGCAGGTGCCACCCGGGGCCGTGGCTTGAGAAACCTGGGGACCGCCCAGACACTGTGGACGGAAGGCCCCACACCCAGAAGCAGGACGTGGCTCTTCTCCTCCCTGGCCACCTTCCGCCGTGCCCCTCCCTGTCGCACTGGACCGAGCAGCCATTGCCGAGTCCCGGGGTGGAGCCCCGTGCACTTTCTGACCAAGAGCGACTGAGAAGGGAAGCAGGCAGGAGTCGCCTTCAGTCTGGTTTTAGGACGGCAGCCTCTCCATTATTAGCAAGACTTCCTTGCTTTGTTTTGGTTGACACATCTGTCAACATCACCCTTAGCACCGCCTGCCCTGGCCACCACGTGATGAGGCTGTAAGCTGGCCCTTCCTGTATTTACTTTCTGCTCTGATATTATGTAAGTGTCAGCAGTGTTCTTCACTGCCCACGAGCATAATTCTTCATCACACAGGAGAGGGCATCCGGGCAGGAAAAGATAGTGAAGTCGTGAGTTCCAGCTTGTGGTAGCGCCTGTGTCTGTTTTTGTTTCATATGGTCAAGAATGTTTTAGAAGTGAGTTTTCCTTCTGAGTTGTTATTTTGAAATTTGCATATTTATTTAGTAAGCTTGCATTCCATGTCCTCTAGAATTCACCCTGGCACATTTTTCAGTTTCACCATAGCTGCTTCCAAGAAACTGGGTGGCTGTGTTGCCATGAGAATGACTATTGGGTACACAAATTGGTGAAGCAGGTGTAGCCTATGGTTGCATCATATGGCAAAAGGCAGGATTTTGGCGGAGGATTTTTAAGGTCTTCCTTTGATGAGGAATGCCGCTCCCATCTGTTCAGTCTGAAGACCTAACATTGTAAACAAATACCTCTCAGGTATACAAATTTGTGTCTAAAAATTATTATGGCTGAAACATACTTATCATTTGTTTTCTGTAGTAGAAAATGGCATAATATGAGAAGGCCTACTTTGTAATAGTTGTTTGCTTTACTTAATATTTTTCAAATCAGCCATCTGTGTGAAGACTCAATATCAAGTTAGGCCTTTAAAAGGGGGAAAATAATTCAAAACCACTGGCAGCTGTGGTTTTCCGGCCTTTTCTATTGGTTGAACTCTGTAATAAATGCAGGACCCTACATATACAAAAGGTACTGTTTTCCAAATTCACGTATGTATTAGCATTTACCTTTAAAGTTCTCATCCGTCAGAAAAACGGTGAACACAGCATTCAGTATATTTATTTTGGTTTAGTTACACAGTGTCAAAAAGTTCTGATGTATATGGATAAGTAGATGCACTTTTTGCTGTTTTGTTTGTTTAAACAGCTTGCTTTAATTATCTCAAGCTACTTGGCAGGAACACCTTTATTCCAGGTTTCGCATAATCAGTTATTCTGGCAAGAGTAGATTAACACGTTAGTGATCTCCAATAGACAGATTATATGTTAATATTATTTGAGGCCATTATTTTTAAGTACAATTTAGACGGAGTTTCAAATAGATTTTAAAAATGAGATTTGTATAAAAGAGTGTGCAGTCCCTATGGTGTTAAAATCACTGATATGGAGGAGAAGAGGGGTTGGAATTGTGACACTGTGGCAGCAGATGACCTTGGACAAGTCAGTTTTTCAGACTTTCCTCCCTTAAAATAGGGATACTAAATCTCACAGGGTGGTTGTGTATAATGTCACCCACACGCCATCTCCTCTATAACTGCATTTGTATGCCAGGAAATTGTCTGTGAAGGCTTCAGTTTAGAATAGCTTCATATTATTTTGGGGCACTGCTGGGTGATTTTGGTTAAGGCTGGCCTTGGGAGTTCTCTGAGTTTTCTCTGAAACCAAACTCAATTTGGTTGTAGGTTCCCTGTTTGCTGTTTGTTGCTTTTAGTAATAGGAGTCAGTCAGTTTACCTGGGAGTTAAGTTTGGACTGGAGATAATTTGCCATTCTTTTTTTTTTTTTTTTTTTTTTTTTTTGAGATAGGGTCTCACTCTGTCGCCCAGGCTGGAGTGCAGTGACATGATCTTGGCTCACTGCAACCTCTGCCTCCCTGGTTCAAGCGATTCCCCTGCCTCAGCCTCCTGAGTAGTTTGGGTTACAGGCACAAGCCACCACGCCCAGCTAATTTTTGCATTTTTAGTAGAGATGGGGTTTCACCATGTTGGCCAGGCTGGTCTCGAACCCCTGACCTCAGGTGATCTGCCCGCCTTGGCCTCCCACAGTGCTTGGATTACAGGCATGAGCCACCATGCCCAGCCGATAATTTGCCATTCTGTATTTATTTGCGTGTTAGAGACCAGTTAAAGTTAAGACACTTTCTAAATAGAAGTCTTGTATATGGGGCTTTTGAGAAAGTGTTTTCCCGTGATGCTGGGGGGAAACACACATATTCAAATTACTTGTATAAAACAGTTTATTCTGTGTTTAGGAACTTGTAGGGGTGAAATGCTGACCTGTGTTACTCTTTCTTTCCATGATCAGCGTCCAGAGGACCAGAGGTTAATTTATTCTGGGAAGCTGTTGTTGGATCACCAATGTCTCAGGGACTTGCTTCCAAAGGTACATCACTTACACATTAACTTCTGAATGTTTTTAAGCACTCACCAGGTTAGGTTCAGGTCCTTAAGTACCTTCGTATTACTTTTAGCAGGAAAAACGGCATGTTTTGCATCTGGTGTGCAATGTGAAGAGTCCTTCAAAAATGCCAGAAATCAACGCCAAGGTGTGTCTGCCTCTTCATGATGGTAACAATTTGTATCATTCAGACTTTCAGGGGAGTAATAAAAGAAGTTGGATAAAACGTTTATTGAGAGACTGTATGGTGTTATTACCAAGTAATATTTTGTTTCTTTCCTAGGAATTAGAAACTGTATTATCAACACAAAGTGATGAGTTAATAGTAGCAGATTGTTCCGTTAGTGCTGTAGTAGAAAGGTGGAGTTACATATTGCACTATCTTATGGGATATGATTTGATCTATGGTTACTGTGTATCTAGATTACTGAACTAACACTAATCGGGTTTTTATTGAATTTAGCACATAGCAAGTTTCTTCAAAGGAGTCACTAATTTTTATAAAGAGTACAAAAGTGAATATATTTCCTTTGGAAATTTTCATTGTGATTAGTTGGATAGGAAAAGATCAGAGTTTTTATCAAGTGATCTTTAAAGAATTTTTTTTTTTTAAAAATGGTCTCGCTGTGTGGCCCAGGCTTTTCTCAAACTCCTGAGGGCAAGCGATCCTCCCACCTCAGCCTCCTGAGTAGCTGGGACTACAGGCATGTGCCACTAGACCTGGCTCTAAAGACATATATGACACACGAAACCATTTATTTTTCATTTCACAATGTTTATTCACATATATGGTATTAGTATTCTAATGTAGTGATGCACTCTAAATTTGCATTATATTTCCTAGAACATCTGAACAGAGCATAGGAAATTCCCTATTTTGCCATTATCAGTTCTAACAAAAATCTTAAAAGCACTTTATCATTTCATTTCCCTGCACTGTAATTTTTTTAAATGATCAAAAACAGTATCATACCAAGGCTTACTTATATTGGAATACTATTTTAGAAAGTTGTGGGCTGGGTTGTATTTATAAATCTTGTTGGTCAGATGTCTGCAATGAGTAAATTTAGCACCATTATCAGGAAGCTTTCTCACCAATGACAACTTCATTGGAAGATTTTAATGAAAGTGTAGCATACTCTAGGGAAAAAATATGAATATTTTAGCATCTATGTATTGAAAATTATGTTGAATAAATGTCAGACTATTTTTTACATAACGTTGCTTCTGTTTAATTTTGTCACGTTCAGAGGTGGGGGGTAGGAGATGTAAGCCCTTGACAGCAAAATAATTCCTTTTGCTTGATTTCAGACAGTTGCATCAGCTCCTTTGTTCTGTGTTCATGTTACACTTATTTAGGTGGCTGAATCCACAGAGGAGCCTGCTGGTTCTAATCGGGGACAGTATCCTGAGGATTCCTCAAGTGATGGTTTAAGGCAAAGGGAAGTTCTTCGGAACCTTTCTTCCCCTGGATGGGAAAACATCTCAAGGTGAGTGTTATAATAAAGATCTTGGCTTATGCAACATGAATGTTCCTCGTTTGCATCAATTTAAGAATAAGGTATGTTTACACGTATATAATCAGAACTTTTAAACATACAGAATTTTGCTTTATAAATAGCTTCGCTTTAAAGATCTCTTATATATTTAACTTTTCTTAATACACAGCCTTTTAGTACACACAAATTTAAAAAGTAGGTAATGCATATATTGAAAAAAAAAAGAAAATGTAGGCGTTTTATCCTTCCATTGTGCTGACCGCTTGGTTGCCGTCATGATAGGAAATTAGTGCTGCTGCAGGAGAAAACAGCTGTCGTAAGCATTGTGCAGCTGCTTTGCTGAGTGGCTTTGTGCTTTATTGTAACAATGGGTGACAACAAGGGAGAGACTGTTTAAGAAGTGTCCTTCCAAAGACTTGGGGGTACTAGGAAAATTGGCCAATTTCTTATAACTATTAAAGCTTTTCTTTAGAGCAAAAGTCAGAACTAAATGCTCTGTTATTTGGATTTTTATAGCTCTTGGAATACATTGTTTTTGGGGAAAAATTCATTAACTGCAAGTTGCAATTCTGTAACTCTCCAATTCTCCGTCCCCCTTTTTCTAGTACTTTTTATACACAATATTTTATAAAGCCAGGTGTTTTAGGAATGAGTTTTTCTTCCTTTTCCCCCTTAATGGAACTTTCAAATATACACAACAGTGGGGACTGGATAATTAATCCCCACACCATCACCCAGGCCTAATAAATAACAATCAGAGTTTTACCATAGCTCATCTATTACCCTTTCCCTTTTTTTTAAAAAAAGAGTATTTAAAAGTAATTCCCAGGCATCATGTTATTTCATCCCTATATTCTTCAGTATATAACTATGAAAACCTTTTAGTTATCTTGTATATCTAGAATGCCATTATCAGATCTAACAGAAATCTTAAAAGCACTTTATCATTTTATTTCCATGCACTGTAATTTTCTTAAATGATCAAAAACAGCATCATACCAAAGCTTACTTGTATTGGAATACTATTTTAGAAATACTCTGTGTATGGAATTTAGTTAAAAGATTGTCAGCATATAAATTGGATAATTATTGGATAGAAAATTATTGGTTAGAAAAACTTAAAACTACTTCCCTTATTCTGATTCAACTATTCTTAACTTGAGAATTGAGGCTCATATTTGACTCTCTGAATCTCACCATATTTAAACTTGATTTCCTTTAACAAATATTTATTGAACAGCCAGTACATACAACTTTGCTTAAGGATATGAGTTGACCTGCAGGAATGACCACATAACCAATTTCTGATCTTTGGGCAATTCTATTATGGTTTCAATTTTGTGATGTGCTACTGAAGAAATTGACTGTGTAAGAAGCACAAAGCCAAAGATGACTCGCATACACCTGCCCTGTGAAGTTGAGGGCTGTGTGGCCTGATTAAAGAAGCATGCATTTGGCCGGGCGCGGTGGCTCACACCTGTAATCCCAGCACTTTGGGAGGCCAAGGTGGGCGGATCACGAGGTCAGGAGATTGAGACCATCCTGGCTAACACGGTGAAACCCCGTCTGTACTAAAAGTACAAAAAATTAGCCAGGTGTGGTGGCGTGTGCCCGTAGTCCCAGCTACTGGGGAGGCTGAGGCAGGAGAATGGTGTGAATCCGGGAGGTGGAGCTTGCAGTGAGCCGAGATTGCGCCATTGCACTCCAGGCTGGGCAACAGAGCGAGACTCCATCTCAAAAAAAAAAAAAAAGAAGCATGCATTTGACATCAGACCAGCTCTGAAATCCAGCCCTGCTACTTACTAGCTCAGTGACCTTGTGCAAAGCCCCTGTCTTCCCTGAGCTGTACTTGGGTTCCCCTTGTAAAATCTCCTTCATGAGATTGCTGTGGACCCAGCAGCCTGTACAGGACCCCCGGTGGTCAGTAAGCATGCACAGGTGATACCACATGCACACTTCACTATAGATTCAGATGGAGGATGGAGGAAGAAGTGGATATTGGGAGGATGGGAGAGATTTCCTTCAGGAAAGACTGGGAGAAATGTGGCTTTTGAGCTGCTCTCTAAAAGATGAACAGTGGGTTGAGACCTGCAGTGAGACTCAACAAGTCAAAACTGAGGTGGGATCTACTTAACCCAAAAAGGTTGTTTATATATCTGTGCACTCAGCAAGCAGGTGGCAAGGGCTGTTGTTTTCCTGTGGGATGGGACTGTGGTAGAAGTGCTGTGTCATTTAGTACCTTCTGTGCTTGTGGTACATGGGTGCGTCATACAGTCATTTACCATGTAACTGCCGTAAATTCCATTCTTCTGTCTCTTCGATTTGAATTCTTGATTTTAATTTAAACTTAGTTTTCATTTGTTCATACTCAACCCACTCAAAATGAGTGTTTTTTCAAATCTATGTATAGGCCTGAAGCTGCCCAGCAGGCATTCCAAGGCCTGGGTCCTGGTTTCTCCGGTTACACACCCTATGGGTGGCTTCAGCTTTCCTGGTTCCAGCAGATATATGCACGACAGTACTACATGCAATAGTGAGTCCTTCCCGCCATGCTGGGTGTGGCCAGGGCTCCCGGGAATTGAAGGGAATTTTATCCATGTTACCTGTAAAGTTCAGAATGGAGGGATGAGTGTATTTTCATCAGTCTGCAGAGCCCTGCTCTGTTTGGTCTGTGGGTAGAGTGTAAATGACAGCTGCTACCTGATTTGTGTATTGACACAAGGGTGCTTTTGTCTGATACATAGTTTAGTGACTTTATTTAGAACATGTTACTTTCTTTTCAATTTGTGCTATCTTCAAAGTTTTGTGAGGATTTTAATTTGCTACTGTGCCATAATCTTACAGTGGGCTTGATGTTTAATTTCAGGTGAAATTCACCTTGTGGCTTTTCTTAGAAAAGGCATTTATAGATATAGTTAGTAAGGAAGTTCTTCACTAAATTGAAGAAAAATCAAAGGCATATCTACCTACTTGAAATTCTTAACAGTAAAAGACTGCTGTGTAAATAAGCCACAGACTTCACGGTGCTTTGGTCTCAACAGTATCTGCCTCTGTCGTTTTTATTTTAGTTTAGCAGCCACTGCTGCATCAGGGGCTTTTGTTCCACCACCAAGTGCACAAGAGATACCTGTGGTCTCTGCACCTGCTCCAGCCCCTATTCACAACCAGTTTCCAGCTGAAAACCAGCCTGCCAATCAGAATGCTGCTCCTCAAGTGGTTGTTAATCCTGGAGCCAATCAAAATTTGCGGATGAATGCACAAGGTGGCCCTATTGTGGAAGAAGATGATGAAATAAATCGAGATTGGTTGGATTGGACCTATTCAGCAGCTACATTTTCTGTTTTTCTCAGTATCCTCTACTTCTACTCCTCCCTGAGCAGATTCCTCATGGTCATGGGGGCCACCGTTGTTATGTACCTGTAAGCAGATGGTTTCTCTAATATAAATTACACTACACTGTGTTCACACTAAGCAGATTTTGCTCTTTTTGTTTCTTGTTTTTTTTGAGATGGAGTCTCGCTCTGTCATTCAGGCTGGAGTACAATGGCACAATCACTGCAATCTCCGCTTCCCAGGTTCAAGCGATTCTCCTGCCTCAGCCTCCTGGGTAGTTGGGATTACAGGCGCCCACCACCATGCCTGGCTAATTTTTATATTTCTAGTAGAGACGGGGTTTGGTCATGTTGGCCAGGTGGTCTCGAACTCCTGACCTCAAGTGATCTGCCCACCTTGGCCTCCCAAAGTGCTGGTATTACAGGCGTGAGCCACCACTGCGCCTGGCCAGATTTTGCTCTTTTTTGAGCAGTCTCAGTTACTGTAGAAGGAGATGTGTTTAAATAGTATATCACTCTGTGGCTGGGCGCAGTGGCTCACACCTGTAATCCCAGCAGTTTGGGAGGCCGAGGCAGGAGGATCACATGAGGCCAGGAGTTTGAGACCATCCTGGCCAATATGGTGAAACCCCGTCTCTACTAAAAATACAAAAAATTAGCCGGGTGTGGTGGCACGGGCCTGTAATTTACTTGGGTGGCTAAGGCAGGAGAATTGCTTGAACTGGGGAGGCAGAGGTTGCAGTGAGCCAAGATCGCACCACTGCACTCCAGCCTGGGTGACAGAGCAAGACCCTGTCTTAGAATAAATACATAATAAATAGTATGTATTCTGGCACTTTCGATACAAGGAATTCATGGCTTGGTTGTATGGTCCCAAGAACATATCAATCCTGTGTTAATATAAGAATATTATCTTGTCCTCTAGATAAGCTACCTTACCTTCCAGGCTCACAAACCACAAGTATGTAGCCATACTGAGGCATGGAACAGAAAACTGTATTTGTTTTGAATGAGAACACATTTGCCTTTATCAGACCACAGCTGCCTTCCAGGGTAAAGTCAGGCACTGACTGTTAGCATGGCCCTGAAAGGCAAGGGAACCTTCACATACCTGACATTTGGTTTTAGCTGTGGCCCGAAGCAGTAGTTCTCAACTGGGGGTGGTTTTGTACCCTCTCTCCCCAGGGGACATTTGGCAATGTGTAGATATTTTTGGTTGTCACATCTAGGGGAAGTGGTCCTGCTGGCGTCTAGTTAGTAGAAGCAAGAGTGCTGCTGAATTTTCTACAATGCACAGGACAACTCCCACAGTAAATATTTGGCTCAATATGTCACTAGTGCCAAAGCTGAGAAAGCCTGGCCTAGAGTGATGGGTCTTCGTGGTTGAAACTAAAAGAAGAAATTTTCCTGTATAGTAAAAATGGATTTTTATTTTAGCTTTTAAAAATAAAAAAGGAATAATTAGAATATAATGAACACTCAAATATCCACAATTAGTCATTGTTAATATTTTATTATATTTAAGACTTGGGATTTAATTGGTTTCTTCAAATAAAACGTTTAGTTAATATTTTCTGTAGTCTCTAGAATCATATATTTAAAAGACCAAATGTAGGTTGTCATTATGTTATATATAATTATAGCTTTGTAGGTATATGCATTCTCCCCGCTCTGTTCAGGTTTTCAAGGGTAAGGTTTAGTTCGTCATAAGCATTTATTGAGTGCATACTATGTGCCAGGTGCTGTTTATATGGCTGGGTGTGCAATGATGAATAAAACACAGTCCCTGCCTTCAAGGACCTTACAGACTGGTGAGAATGTCTGGGAGACAGTGTGATCAAATGCCTCTGTAGATGGGTCTTGCAGTGAGCTTATCAGGGTGCTGCTGTGATTAGAGGTGGGGAGCCTTGGATTCTTGAGTAAGTCTCACTGTGACATCAGCTAAGATGGACTTTTATGTGCTTCCTTTGAAGGCATCACGTTGGGTGGTTTCCATTTAGACCGAGGCCGGTTCAGAACTTCCCAAATGATGGTCCTCCTCCTGACGTTGTAAATCAGGACCCCAACAATAACTTACAGGTATGGAGCCTCCCACGAAGCCCAGGCGAGCTTGACGTGATATGCCAGGCTCTCCAATCCTCAACCTTTAGATTGCCAGCTTGCGGTTTACCATTTTATTGGGCTAAATATTTCATGATTTGTTCACATTTCTTCTTAGAGCAGCAGCTATTTTTAAAACGTCGAATGTGCCATCACATTCTATCACATATTTTTGACGTGGCAATTTGCATTTTGGCTTAAGTAAATAACATTTTTTTAAACCCACTATTTTGAGCGTTCAGTGGTCTGTAACAGTGTGTTATACCATAAGAACTGGTATGAAGTGGTTAACTACTAGTTTAATAATAGTTGAAGCCTGGGCGTGGTGGCTCACGCCTGTAATCCCAGCGCTTTGGGAGGCTGAGGCAGGTAGATCACCTGAGGTCAGGAGTTTAAGACCAGCCTGGCCAACATGGTGACACCCCGTCTCTACTAAAATTACAAAAATTAGTTGGGCGTGCCTGTATTCTCAGCTGCTAGGGAGGCTGAGGCGGAAGGATGGCTTGACCTTGGGAGGTGGAGGTTGCAGTAAGCCAAGATCACACCACTGCACTCCAGCCTGGGTGACAGAGCGAGACTCTGTCTCAAAAATAATAATAATAGTTGCAGATCTAGTTGTTTCATTTGATATTTGCTGCCAGGAGCAGTCAAAACTATGACAACATCAACACAGTTGTGCTGTGGAAGCCTGAGAAACAGCCCTATCCAGCCTAGGGCATCATTCCCTGGGGTCCTGGCTGCCTGCTGCTGTGCCTATGGGGCAGGGGGCAGGGATTTACCCTGCCCTTTCCTAACATTATTTGGTGTTCATCATAGCCCTAATTGTTTTCTCATTGTTTCATTACCTCATTGTTTCATTACCTGTAGGAAGGCACTGATCCTGAAACTGAAGACCCCAACCACCTCCCTCCAGACAGGGATGTACTAGATGGCGAGCAGACCAGCCCCTCCTTTATGAGCACAGCATGGCTTGTCTTCAAGACTTTCTTTGCCTCTCTTCTTCCAGAAGGCCCCCCAGCCATCGCAAACTGATGGTGTTTGTGCTGTAGCTGTTGGAGGCTTTGACAGGAATGGACTGGATCACCTGACTCCAGCTAGATTGCCTCTCCTGGACATGGCAATGATGAGTTTTTAAAAAACAGTGTGGATGATGATATGCTTTTGTGAGCAAGCAAAAGCAGAAACGTGAAGCCGTGATACAAATTGGTGAACAAAAAATGCCCAAGGCTTCTCATGTCTTTATTCTGAAGAGCTTTAATATATACTCTATGTAGTTTAATAAGCACTGTACGTAGAAGGCCTTAGGTGTTGCATGTCTATGCTTGAGGAACTTTTCCAAATGTGTGTGTCTGCATGTGTGTTTGTACATAGAAGTCATAGATGCAGAAGTGGTTCTGCTGGTACGATTTGATTCCTGTTGGAATGTTTAAATTACACTAAGTGTACTACTTTATATAATCAATGAAATTGCTAGACATGTTTTAGCAGGACTTTTCTAGGAAAGACTTATGTATAATTGCTTTTTAAAATGCAGTGCTTTACTTTAAACTAAGGGGAACTTTGCGGAGGTGAAAACCTTTGCTGGGTTTTCTGTTCAATAAAGTTTTACTATGAATGACCCTGGCAGAGACTCCTGTCATCCTAGCAGTTTACTCTGCGTTTGTTGTATCTAGACAGTCAACAACTGAGTTGTCGGTGTTTAACCTGAATGCTTGTTTTTCAGAAGAGGACTGTTTGTGCCGGTAAGAATGATCAGGTAAGGCCATGAAAGTTTTTGTTGGCGTTTTTGTTTTTGAGATGGGGTCTTGCTTTGTTCCTTGGGCCAGAGTACATTGGCTACTCACAAGTGGGCTGGTAGCTGGCTACAGCCCCAGACTCCTGGCTTAAGCCACCTCCTGCCTCAGCCACCCTGGCAGCTGGGACTACAGGCATGCGCCATCACACTTAGCTTGAAAGTTTTAATTTACTAAGAATATACCTGTGTTTCCCCCCATTTCCTGATTTAAACAGTACTGGCTTATATAGGAACCCATCAAAGTTAAATTCCCCAAATTTAAATTTAGTAAATTTAGTGGTTTCACCTTGGCAAATCTGCAATAGTTTCACCAGCTCAAATTTCATGCTTTTGTAAGCTGAGCTTATGTTTGTGATTTTAATCCTTTAAGTACTACTGTGGTAACTAATCATTTTTTTGTTTTTTTTGGTGGTGTTTTTGTTTTTGTTTTGAGATGGAGTCTCACTCTGTTGCCCAGGCTGGAGTGCCGTGGCGCGATCTCGGCTCACTGCAACCTCTACCTCCTGAGTTCAAGCGATTCTCCTGCCTCAGCCTCCCGAATAGCTGGGATTACAGGTGCCCACCACAATGTCTGGCTAATTTTTTGTATTTTTAGTAGAGACGAGGTTTCACCCATGTTGGCCAGGCTGGTCTCAAACCCCTGACCTCAGGTGATCTGCCCGCCTCGGCCTCCCAAAGTGCTGGGATTACAGATGTGAGCCACCGCACCCAGCCAGGGACTAATCTTTAAAGCAAAGTTTTATATATTTTTACGTGAGTAATGTTATGTGTAGGTGTTCTATTTGGCAAAATAAATCAGCCTTTTCTATCATGATTGTGGTCATTTAAATTAATCCTCATCGGAAACATTGTTTACCTAAGATAAACATTCACTAAACAACTCATAGCAAGACGCTGGGTAGGTACAAAGATGTCTTATGTGTGGTTATGCTTTCAAAGCCAACTGAAACCCTTTTGTAAGGAGTTAAATAGCAAAAAGTTTCAAATAACTGTGTGCCTCTAGAACAGAACTATCAGAAGGCAATGAATATTCACAAATTGTGAAGAGATAGTTTGCTTCAAGGAAGAAATGACTTGTAACTAGAGTAGGTATGAAATGATGGGGGAAAAATGATGAGGTATGAAATGACTCACCTTCTCTCCAGCTCAAGGTAAGAAGGGTGGCAGCAGGAGTAAAAGCTCAGCCACAGGACGTGCTCTTCCTGCCAAACAGCTGGATTCTGCACATGCTTGGGAATGAGGTCCTGCTGGTTTAGGAAAACAAACATTAAGAATTCCCAAAGTCTTGGGTGGAAAAGCCTGTTGCTTTTCAGAGGCAAGGCCATCACCATTTGGCAAGGGGCCCAAGGCCCCAGGCAGCTGTGGTACCATCTGTTTCTGAAGGAGTGGGGATTTTACCCCCTGAAATGTCAGTTTGTGGCTTAAACTCTGGGTTCTACAGGCCCAAAATAAATAGTGCCAGGAAGGTGCCCCTGAACAGAGCTAACCAGGGTTCAGATTGGCACCCCATCCCCACTGGGGCAAGCAGGACTCTTAGCAATTAAGGCCTAAGACGGCTGACAGGTGGGACATGGCAGAAATTCAGTGCTTCCACCACAGCTACTCAATGTGCCACAATCATGGGCCACACACCACTCTGAATACTTAGAAAATTATTGGTTTGGGCCTTTATTATTAAGTAGCAAGTAAATAACTGAAAAAGCCCCAGATTTCAGCTCTGGCTATAGCAGCTTTCTAAGTCTGTGTTTTTAAGGTGCAATTTCTTGAATCCTAGTTCTGTAGAAGAAACACTCTACCCCCCCGCCCCCCCCACCCCCCCCCCCCACCCCTAAAAAATGAGCTTCATGATCAAGTACATTTTGGAACCCTCAGGCTGATCCAAGTTCATAGATTTCTTCACTGCAGGCCTTCTGGGTCCTTTAATATGCCTGAAGCTGGGGCTTTCCCTTCCTGAGAATGGCCCAGGACTATCCATGTGCCTCATTTTGGGAAATTTAGTAATGAGTTACTAAATCAACACCACCTTTGGCATTCTACATAGCAAACATACTTTGTTAGATGTGACATTTTACACACTAACCAATGGAGATAAAATTTTTTAAATTTATTTTTGGCCAGGCACGGTGGCTCATGCCTGTAATACCAGCACTTTGGGAGGCCGAGGCAGGCGGATCACTTGAGGTCAAGAGTTTGAGACCAGCCTGGCCAACGTGGCGAAATCCTTTCTCTACTAAAAATACAAAAATTAGCTGGGCGTCGTCGTGGGCACCTGTAATCCCAGCTACTCGGGAGGCTGAGGGAGGAGAATTGCTTGAACCCGGGAGGGGGAGGTTGCAGTGAGCCAAGACCACACCACTGCACTCCAGCCTGGGCGTCAGAGTGAGATTCTGTCTCAAAAAATAAATAAATGATTTCTTATTTATTTTTTTTTACCAGTGCTCTACATGTTCAGAGAAACTTCTCTGGTAACCAACCACAGAAATGATCCCTGAAAGTATAGTCTTAGGAGATAAATATTCTTTACATAGCCAGGAGGGAGATGAGAAGCCATACCTGTCTACAGTCTGACTGACAAAGGAGGAGGCTCCAGGTCCCCTGGAGAATCCCAGGTTTTATGTAATAATTACTTGGTCCTTTTCAAAGTACTTGGATGAGTGTAGGATAGTCTCTTTGTCTTATCAGCTAGTCCTGCAATCTAGGTGTTCTCCCATTTTGTAGAGGCTTGCAGAGATGAGAGACCTGTCCAAGGTCTCAAACCCCTAACTGGCAGTTCTGAGACTAGAAATACTCCCTCTCAGGAGTGGACCTCCTCTACAATTTTTTTTAGCAGTCCTCATGTGCCAAATATGGCGTGGGGGCCAGGAGACAGAATGAGGCATAGGTTGGGCGTGGCCCCTCCCCTCTTGGGTCTTGTAGTCGGCTGTGGGTGGCAAGTACAGCAGTGATGGCAGACAGGTGTGATGAGTTCAAGGACAGGGAAATAACATCCACAGCCCCATCCCAGTACTCCTGTGCAGCAATGGAAGTGTGCCACCGACACAGGGGCTACAGGGTGAGCAGGAGTGACAGGCGAAGAGAGGAAGAGAGCTCTGCCTGTGCAAAGGCGGAGGGAACATGGTGTGGGAGGAACTGAAGAGAATTCCACATAAGTATGAAGAGGGTAGGGAGATTGAGACTGGAGAAAAGGGGAAGCCGGGGCTCCCCTTTTGACCATGCAACGCACTGGAAGCACAGCACTCCCAGCCTCAGGGTCCTCCATGATTGGAGACTGACAGTGAATTCAGAGGAGCTTGTGGAAGTCACCCAGTCAGGTCCAGAAATCCTGCAGTGCATCCCTTCCGTTACCCCTGTCATAACTGGGAGAAGACACCACCCACATGACGCAGGGGAGAGTGCAGGCATGAGCTAGCACCCATATTGTCCCCTGCATCTGTCCTTGGCTATGTTTTACACCCCCCACCCCTTAGAACATTGTAGTCAAACTAGGATGTATTAAATTGGCTGGTTGCTCCCAACTACACTGGACAAAGTGGAGAAAAAAAAAAAAGGAGGAGCTCAAGGTTTCAAATTCCCAGCTCAAGCTCTGCATAAAAACTGCTGTGACTTCCTTAGAAGAGACCCCTATCTCCTGTAGCTGCAGGGTTGAGATTTCTGAGCTCAAGTGATCTGCCTGCCTCACCCTCCCAAAGTGCTGGGATTACAGTTGTGAGCCACCCTGCCTGGCCAGGGCTGAGATTTGTGAAAAGGAAACCCAAAGTCTCATCTTGCATGTGGCTGAATTATGTCGCAAATCCAATTCCCAAATTCCAGCCTTGCAGGGTGTCTTCAGTTAAAGTGAGGACAACTTGAAAATCGGAATGGGAACATAAGGGAAGATTCCAGTAAAGCTGGGGACATTGAATCCCTAAATTCTGTCATGTTCCCTGCCAGTAGAAACAGCCCATCTACCCCTCCCTGGGTCCAGCTGTGTGGACACAGATTGGCAGCGAGTGTGCAGGTGTTATTTCCCTACCCTTGTAATCATCACACTTTCTTTTTCTTTTTCTTTCTTATTTTTTTGAGTCAGAGTCTTGTGCTGCTGCCCAGGCTGGAGTACAGTGGTGCAATCTCAGCTCACTGCAACCTCCGCCTCCTGGGTTCAAGCAATTCTCCTGCCTCAGCCTCCCGAGTAGCTGGGACTACAGGCGCGCACCACCACACCCAGCTAATTTTTTTGTATTTTTAGTAGAGACAGGGTTTCACCCCCAATAGCCAGGTTGGTCTCGAACTCCTGACCTCAAGAGATTCACCCACCTCGGCCTCCCAAAGTGCTGGGATTACAGGCGTAAGCCACTGTGCCTGACCTCATCACAATTTCTTAGCCCTTTGAGAAACCCTGTGGCCTTCCCTGAGGTAGCTGTCTTGCGGGGCACTTCTGATTCTTCTTGGATCCTATGCCCTTCCCCTCTTTGCTGGACCTGTAACTAGACTCAAGTCCCACCAGGCCCCAGAGAGAAAGGTACACACTGTGACCCATGAAGAGGTGTGTTACACACCAAAAGAACTGCATGATTTTTCCAATTTATACAGACAAATCCAAGAGACATGTATGGGAGTAGATTTTAAGGTTGTGAGATCACGGAAGGACCATAGTGTTGGATCTGGCTGAACGTAATGATATGGGCCCACTAAGCAGAGATTCTTAACTCAGTGCTTTAGCATGAGGGGTTAGAAAGGGCTCTAACTTGGTTGGTTGGTTGTTTGGTTCGTTGGTTGGTTGGCTGGCTGAAACATGGACCAAAAGGTAGGTGGCCGACACCGTTCCTTATTTTGTTATTAATATATTTGTATATTCATATACAAACTTGTATGCTATGATATCTAATACATATTACAGATATAAAACAAATCTTTAGGCCAGGCATGGTGGCTCACTCCTGTAATCCCAGCACTTCGGGAGGCTGAAGCAGGTGGATCACGAGGTCAGGAGTTCAAGACCAGCCTGGCCAACAGAGTGAAATCCCATATCTACTAAAAATACAAAAATTAGCCGGTCACGGTGTCAGGCACCTGTAATCCCAGCTACTCAAGAGGCTGAGGCAGGAGAATTGCTTGAACCCGGAAGGTGGAGGTTGCAGTGAGCTGAGACCCCATCACTGCACTCCAGCCTGGGTGACAGAGCAAGACTCCGTCTCAAAAAAAAAAAAAATCTTTTGTTTCTTTCCTCTCTCATTCCTTTATCACCTAACATAAGATGGATCATCACAGCATTGAAGTGACAGGATGTCAAGCAGAAGAGTAAACATCACCCAAGGACGTTGCAGCCTCTCTGGGGAAAGGATTGGCATGTTTTCTGTTGTATGCAGGATGGTTGAGTCATGTTAGGTGGAAGTATGGCTTTGTTACTGTCTTTATCTGGAGATTAAGTGTGGTTTAAGGAGATGCATACAGGTGCCAGGTTGACAAAGAGAGTACTGTAATGATTAGTTTTATGTGTGAACTTGGCTAGGCCCAGTTATGTAAACACGAATCTAGGCCGGGCTTTGGTGGCTCACGCCTGTAATCCCAGCAATTTGGGAGGCTGAGGCAGGCGGATCACCTGAGGTCAGGAGTTTGAGACCAGCCTGGCAAACATGGTGAAACCCCATCTCTACCAAAAATACAAAAATTAGCCTGGCGTGGTGGTGTGTGCCTGTAGTCTCAGCTACTCGGGAGGCTGAGGCAGGAGAATCGCTTGAACCTGGGAGGTGGATGCTGCAGTGAGTGGAGATCATGCCACTGCACTCCAGCCTGGGCAACAGAGTGAGACTGTATCGCAAAAAAACATAAAAGAAAAAACAACAAAAACCCCGTGAATCTAGGTGTTACTATGAAGGTATTTTGCAGATGTGATTAACCTGCATGGGCCTCATCTAATTATCTGAAAGACCTTAATTGCAAAACTCAGGGTTCCCCAAGGACAGAGCAATTAAGTCTATGGCCTGCAGCCTCAGCTTCCGCCTGAGTTTCCAGCCCACCATCCTACCCTACAGCTTCAGACGCGTCTAGCCAGCCCCTACAACTGTGTAGGACAATTTCTAGAAGTTAGTTAATGAATACGCTATTGGATCTGTTTCTCTGGAGGAACCCTGACTGACACAGGGGCCGGCTCTGGAGGTTGTGGGGTCCAGTTCCTTATCCCTGTGTAGTGTATTGGCCAGTTGGGGTGGGAATTGCTTCCAGGCAGGCTGTGTCATTTGTTCAGGCAGGGTCCCCTCCCCTTGGCTCTGCCTGAGAGCAAAGGCAGGTGGGGGTGGCCCTGGGGAGGGCCTGAAGCTTTGCTCTGTGCCTCCTAAAGCTTTCCCACTCCAGGGACCAGGCCAGGCAGGCTGGCAGGAAGAGGCAGGCTTCATCTGGAAGGATGTCTCCAGGGTGGAAATGATGAGATTTAAATGGTGTAGGGACCCGGAGGGTGGGGTGGGACAGCACCACTGACCCAGCTGCAGAGTTGGACCCTCTGAAGCCCATTGTGTACATGAGAATCTGTGTGCCTGATTGCGTAGGTGCCTATACATGGATAGGCTGCGAATCTGTGTGCACACAGCTGGCTGGAGAGCACATGAGTAGGTATATGTACCACATTGTCAGCACTCACCCATTAGCTCCTGGGGACTCACTTGCTGCAGGTGATCCCTGTCCTCGTGGGCTCTACACCCTGGCAGGTCAACACAGACTACAAAGAAACAAGCGGACATAAAATGACAAGGGCTAGGACAAAAAGCATGGAAAGGAGAGGGGATAACGTGGCAGGGGACATTTTAGAATGCAGTGGTTTCGACACCAGGAGGAGGAGTGGTTAGACAGTGGTCGGGGAGGGCCTCTGAAGAGGTGACACCTGAATGATGAGCTGGAGCAAACCAAGCAAAGATTGGAGGAAGAGCCTCCAAGCAGAAAGAACTGCAAGGACAAAGGCCCTGGGGCAGGAGCGGGTACGTGTGTCCTGTATGTGTGTGTCCTGCACGGTGGCAGGTGTCTGAAGCTGAGCCCAGAGGAGCTGTGGAGATCAGGCCCAGAAGTGGAGCCACAGCACGTAGGGCCAGAGACCTGCAGTAAGAAATGGGATGTGGTCGAGATGGGATGGGAGCCACCGCAGCACCATGGGGCGGGAGCAGCAGAGTCTGATGTTGTGTACTTCAGGGAGCTGGAGTTCTATGAAGGAAGAGCGAGGAGGCATGTGGGAGGAAGAACAGCCCCACTGAGGCCTGCAGGGAAGGCAGCAGACCCCAGGTCAGAGCATGAAGGTAGAGGGGAGGTTCCAAGAAGTGGGTTGGGGAATAAGCACTGGATGGCTGATGACAGAGGGCAGGGTGGAGGATGCGGGGCCAGGGAGGGCTGCACAGAGTCCTGGGAGGGTGAGCGGTGGCCCTGGCTGGCTAGGAGGCGCCACCTTGAGGTGCTACTGGAGGATACGCCGCAGGGAAGGTGGATGGTCTCTTCTGATGACAACCTTCTTGCTGGCATTAGACTGAAAGGGGAGGTGATTTGTAGGGATGAGGCCAGAGGGGTTGTCCCCAGGGAAGGGCACCAGATGTGGGGCAGGAGAGCTGGTGTGAGTTGCAGCCGTGGGGCCTAGAGGAAGTCACAGCACCCCACTGAATTCTCACTTCCTCATCATAACAGACCCTGTGACATATAAAACCTGCTCTGCCCACCGCACAGGGATCACAAGGCTGGAGTGAAATAATGGAGCACTTCCCCAGAGTGGCACACGGGACCCAGGGACGGGTGTGCAAAACCGTTCTAGGTGGAAGAACACTTTTTTTTTCTTTTTCTTTTTCTTTCTTTTCCTTTTTTTTTTTTTTTTTTTTGAGATGGAGTCTCCGTCTGTTGCCCAGGCTGGAGTGCAGTGGTGCAATCTTGGCCCACTGTAGTCCCTGGCTCCCAGGTTCAAGTAATTCTCCTGCCTCAGCCTTCTGAGTAGCTGGGACTACAGGCACCCACCACAACATCTAGCTAATTTTTGTATTTTTAGTAGAGACAGGGTTTTACCATGTTGACCAGACTGGTCTTGAACTCCTGACGTCAAGGGATCCATCTGCCTTGGCCTACCAAAGTAGCTGGGATTACAAGCATGAGCCACCGTGCAAAGCCAAAAACACTTGATTATAATAGCATGCTATTTTTCAATGTATTAGATAAATGTATTTTCCATTTAAAGTGGGGATATAAAGCTCCCCTTTAAAATCCACATAAGTAAAAAAGTCAGTCTGTTTAAAAGGTTAAGTAAATAACAGTCTAGGGCAGATGCACAAAAGACAGCATCATGACCGTGGTTCCTGAAGGATTAAGGTTGCAGGAAACACTGAATGCTAAAAGCTTTGTGAATGTATAGTCCATGAAAATGTCTTTTAAAAAATGAGGTGCATACCAAGATGTTTGAGTGTGTGTATTTGGGGTAGGTGCTGTGGGCATACGGGTGTACCTGTGTGTGTCTCACAAGCAGGTGTAGCTGGGTGCTTGTGTGTATGTGGTGTGTGTGTATCTGTGCACACGTGCATATCTGTGCCCACATATCCATGCACACGTCCTCATAAGGCTCTCTGCGGCCAGGTGCGGTGGCTCACGCCTGTAATCCCAACACTTTGGGAGGCCGAGGCGGGGGGATCACGAAGTCTGAAGTTCGAGACCAGCCTGGCCAAGATGGTGAAACCCCATCTCTACTGAAAATACAAAAAATTAAGACAGTGAGTGTTGATCGTGAAGAAGGGAAGATGAATGTGGGGATTAGGTGGGAGGAATGGGGTGCTGTCAAGATGAAAATAAACTTAGGGTGGAGAGGCTGGGGCAAAAGAGAGGCCCAACAGTATGATTTGCCCCAGTGCGGGGACTTTGTGCCTGGTGATTTGAGGTGGCAGGGCTTCTACCCAGGCCTGATGGGAGCTGGGATTAAAAGCAGCTGTGACCTAAGGCAGGCCATTGCTCTGTGGCCTACTCCCCTAACTCTTTTGCAGAAAGTCCCAGGCTAAGAGATGGGGGATGGTTGTAATGACCCCTCCCAGAAATCCTGGCTCTGTCCTGCAGAGGTGGGGCCCGGGGATCAAGACGCCTCTAGGTTCAAGAGAGAGGCAGAATGAGGGGTCAGCCAGCTGGGGCAGGAAGGCTTCACTCTAGGCTGCAAGGAGAGACCTTTCGCCTTGACTGGAAGGACGTGAGGAGCCTGTGGCCTCCTGTTTGCAACCAAGGGCTGAGGAAGGGGCCGGGCATTCCTGCTGTAGGTCAATGACCTGGAGAAACACATGCTTGAGGACAGAGCTCAGATCATTGTCCCAGCGCAAACCTTGGTGGGATGTAAGGTTTGGAGCTTCTTAAGTTCCAAGAGGCAGTCTCATGCAGTTCAAGGAGGGCTGGAGAAGCCTGGTCTGCTCATGGGAGTCAATTGTTAAATTTTCAGGAATTTTGTGAGCCAATTATTGAACACAGCTATTATTAAAAACAAAATTATAGGCTGGGCGTGATGGCTCATGTCTGTAATCCCAGCACTTTGGGAGGCCAAGGCGGTGGATCACTTGAGGTCAGGAGTTCAAGACCAGCCTAGCCAACATAGCAAAATCCTGTCTCTACTAAAAATACAAAAACATTAGTCGGGTGTGGTGGCTCACATCTGTAACTCCAGCTACTTGTGAGGCTGAGGCATGAGAATTGCTTGAGCCCAGGAGGCAGAGGTTGCAATGGGCTGAGACCACGCCATTGCACTCCAGCCTGGGCAACAGAGGGAGATTGTGTCTTTCAAAATAATAAAATAAAATAAAATAAAATAATAGGCTGGGTGCCGTGACTCACGCTTGTAATCTCAGCACTTTGGGAGACCAAGGCTGGAAGATCGCTTGAGCCCAGAAGTTGGAGATCAGCCTGGGGAACACAGGGAGACCCTGGTCTGTACAAAAAATAAAAACAAAATTAGCCAGGCATGGTGGCACATCCCTGTGGTCCCAGTTACTTAGGAGGCTGAGGTGAACAAAGTTAACACTCAAAACTCATCACTTGTGAATTACTTTGCTACAGTGCACTATTATTATTATTTATTTATTTTTACTGGGCAGCCTCTTGAGCCTAAGTAGGCCCAGAGACTGTCCAGCATACTATTATTGATGCTTTGTGGTTATTGATATTGATTGGATCCGTATAGTGGAAATGGCTATACTGTAGAATTGTGTGCTACTGTGTATTTCTTACCAATTCTGCATTCAGTGGCATCACATTCATAGCTTGAAGTTGGCCATGGTGGGAGGTAAATATGTGTGGTATAAATTGGCAAAGACTACAGATTGGGGTTCCTGTCTGGCCCCCCAAGAGCTGGTTGTTAAACTTTTACCAGCACACCACTGAGTTGGAGTCTGGAAAGCAGGCTTCGTCCAGGTTCTGCCCTGCTAGCTCAACTGGCTCTCAAAGCTTTGCTCCACCAACTGGCCTATGGCTGCTTCCACTCACCAATTCTCCCTTTTGCCCTCTAAGGCCACCTCTTCCAGGAAGTTTCCCCTGATTTCTTTGCCTGGACTTCTAAAATTCTTTCTTTGCCAGGCGTGGTGGCTCACACCTGTAATCCCAGCACTTTGGGAGGACGAGGTGGGCAGATCACTTGAGGTCAGGAGATAGAGACCAGCCTGGCCAACACGGCGAAACCCCGTCTCTACTAAAAATACAAAGATTAGCTGGACATGGTGACGCGCACCTGTAATCCCAGCTACTCAGGTGGCTGAGGCAGGAGAATCACTTGAACCCGGGAGGCAGAGGTTGCAGTGAGCCAAGATCACACCATTGCACTCCAGCCTGGGCAACAGAGGGAGACTCCATCTCAAAATAAATAAATAATTAATTCTTTCTTACCTCTTCCGTTCATATTCATACAGAATAATCTCCACATCTCGAAATTCTTAACTGATTAGCTAGTTCTTGCTATTAATTAAATACGTGATGCATATGGCCAAGCTTGGATGGATGGAATCCCTGTATTGGTAAGGTGGGAATTTTTCTTTTCTTTTTTTTTTTTTTGAGACCAAGTCTCACTCTGTCACCCATGCTGGAGTGCAATGGTGTGATCTTGGCTCACCACAACCTCTGCCTCCCAGGTTCAAGCCATTCTCCTGCCTCAGCCTTCCTAGTAGCTGGGATTACAGGCACACACCACCAAGCCCAGCTAATTTTTGTATTTTTAGTAGTGACAGGGTTTTGCCATGTTCGCCAGGCTGGTCTGGAACTCCTGGCCTCAAGTGATCTGCCCACCTCAGCCTCCCAAAGTGCTGGGATCACAGGTGTGAGCCACCACGCCCACCTAGGGTGGGAATTTTCCACCTGGGTTCTGGGCTCAGCTCTGCCACAGATTCCTCTCTCTGGGCTTATCCTCTGAAGGCGAGATTTTGGCATGACTGAGTGGATGGAGGAAGAACTTGGGGTCAGCGGGCTGTCACCCTGCTCTGCCGTGGAACCGACTCAACAACAGGGCCACAACAGGCCTTGTTGGACATGGAAGCAAATGAGAAAATTAGTAATACTGATTCAGTGTTTACTTAAGGTTCTGATACTTTGTCCATTATAGACCTTTTGCATTAATTTTGATTTTTTATTATATAAAATATATATATAACATAAAATTGATCATTTTAGCCATTCGAAGTGTACAGTTTTGTGGCGTTTAATACATTCACATTATTATACAACCCATCTCCAGAACTCTTTTCACCTTGAAAAACTGAAACTCTATTTCCATTAAATATGAACTCACTCCCCGTTCTCTCTTCCTCCAGCCTCTGGTGACCTCCATTCTATTATTATTATTATTATTATTATTATTAGAGAGAGTGTCCCTCTGTTGTCCATGCTGGAGTGCAGTGATGCAATCACAGCTCACTGTAGCCTCAAACTCCTGGGCTCAAGGGATCTTCCCACTTCAGCCTCCTGAGTAGCTGAGATTATAGGCATACGCCACCACACTCTGCTAATTCACTTATTTTTTGGAAAGATGGGGTCTTGCTGCATGGTCCAAGCCAGACTTACATTCCTGGGCTCAAGCGATCCTCCCACCTCAACCTCCCAAAACATTGAGATTACAGGTCTGAGCCACCGCACCCTGCCCATTCTACTTCCTGGCTCTTAAATATGACTACTCTAGATACCTCATATAAGTGGAATCATACAGTATTTGTCTTTGTAACTGGTTCATTTTACTTGGCATAATGTCCTGAAGGTTCATCCTCATCGTAGTGTGTGTCAGAATGCCCTTCCTTTTAAAGGATGAATAATATTCCCTTGTGTGGATATATCACATGTTGTTTATCCACTCATCATTGATGGATGCCTGTGTTGCTTCCACTTTTGGCTGCTATGGAAAATGCTGCTATGAATACGGGTGTGCAAATATTCATTTGAGTCCATAATTTTGATTGTTTTTTCTTTTTGAGACAGAGTCTCACACTGCTGTCCAGGCTACAGTTCAGTGGCGCAATCTTGGCTCATTGCAACCTCCACTTCCCGGGTTGAAGTCATTCTCCTGCCTTAGCCTCCCGAGTAGCTGGGATTACAGGTATCCGCCATCACACCTGGCCAATTTTTGTATTTTTAGTAGAGACAGGGTTTCACCATGTTGGAGACTGGTCTCAAATTCCTGGCCTCAAATGATCCACCCACCTCGGTCTCCCAAAGTGCTGGGATTACAGTGAGCCACCATGCCGAGTCCATAATTTTGATTTTTAAATGGTGGCTACTAAGTTTTTCTGGCACCCCTTAAATTTTGTCAGGCACTTGCCTTACCCTAGTCCTGGCCCCAGTTTGGGTTGTCACAGCAAGGTGGAAGTGTACTGAAAAGCTCGTGTTTTATCTTTATACGTTTACATGGGGCCCCAAAAAGGGGGAAAACCCACTTTGATAGGGATATGACACAGGGACGCAGGAGCCAACCGAAAGAGCCCCCAGTGGCCAAAGATGGAGCAACTTGAGCAACAAAATAAATAAAGTAAGCATCAAATTATAGCCCAAAGTATAAAATAAGTGTCTATGAGTCTATACTCACATAGATGATTTAATACATTCATATTAATAAATGGGAGAGCACTTTGAGAGGCCAAGGTGGGCAGATCACTTGAGCCCAGGAGTCTGAGACCAGATTAGGCACTGTGATGAAACCCTGTCTCTACCAAAAACACAAAAATTAGCTGGGCATGGTGGGGCATGCCTATAGTTCCAGTTACTTGGGAGGCTGGGGAGGGAGGATTGCTTGAGCCTGGGAGACGGAGGTTGCAGTGAGCTGTGATCTCACCACTGCACTCCAGCCTGGGCAACAGAGTGAGGCCCTGTCTCAAAATAAATAAATATATAAATAAGATAAATATATAAATAAAAATAAAAATAAACGGGAAAGAAGAGACAAATCTTCTGTGCAGGAGAATCCCAAATGAATTCTGTAGATTCTCCACCCTACAGGAGGGCACACACAACTCCAGGCTGCCTTAGTGACCTTCTTCCAAAGAGTACAGTACGGGAAGGGGGAGCGGGGAGAATTAACTTCACAGTGGAGAAATCTGACAAATACGACCTCCGCCAAGTGATCGAGGTCACATCAGCTGTCATGAATTATGTTGATAGTGGGCATCCTGGATATGATGGGATGAAATGGCACTTTACCTCCACGACCCTTTTCACAACAGCCCGTAATGCCAGTATAAGGAAAACATCAGACCAGGAGTGGTGGCTCACGCTTGTAATCCGAGCACTTTGGGAGGCCAAGGTGGGTGGATCACAGGTCAGGAGTTTGAGACCAGCCTGGACAACATGGTGAAATCCTGTCTCTACTAAAAATACACAAACTAGCCAGGCACGGTGGCGGGTGCCTGTAATCCCAGCTACTTGGGAGGCTGAGGCAGAAGAACCGCTTGAACCCGGGAGGCGGAGGTTGCAGTGAGCTGAGATCGCGCCACTGCACTCCAGCCAGGTTGACAGAGTGAGACTCCATCTCAAAAAAAAAAAAAAAAAAAGAAAAGAAAAGAAAAAGAGAAAAGAAAAACATCAGACAGATCCCAACAGAAGGGCATCCTACAGTATACGTGACCACTGCTCCTCAAACCTGTCAAGACTATCAGAAACAAGAGAAACTGTCACAGCTACAAGGAGATGTGACAATTAATTGTGATTTTTTTTTTTGAGATGTGGTCTCGCTTTGTCACCCAGGCTGCAGTACAGTGGCACAATCACAGCTCACTGCAGCCTCGAACTCTGGGGCTCAAGTGATCCTCCCATCCATCTCAGCCTCCCAAGTAGCTGGGGCTATATGCGTGCACCACCACACCCAGCTAATTTTTGTATTTTTTTAGAGACGGTATTTCGCCATGTTGCCCAGGCTGGTCTCGAACTCCTGGATTCAAGCAATCCACCTAACTTGGCCTCCCAAAGTGCTGGGATTACAGGCATGAGCCACCATGCCTTGCCAAATGTGATGTATTCTTGATGGGATCCTGGAAGAGGAAAAAGATATTAGGTAAAAACTAAGGACATCTGAATAACCATGGATTTCAGTAATGTATCCACACTGATTCATTAATTGTAACAAATATACCGTATGAATGCAAGATGTTCATAATGAGGCCGGGGCGGTGGCTCATGCCTGTAATTCCAGCACTTTGGGAGGCTGAGGCGGAAGGATCTCTTGAGCTCAGGAGTTCGAGACCAGCCTGGGTAACACAGTGAGATCCCCATCTCTACAAAAAATTTTTTGAAATTAGCCAGGTGTGGTGGTGGCACATGCCTGTAGCCCCAGCTACTCAGAAGACTGAGACAGGAGGATTGCTTGAGCCGGGAGGTTGAGGCTGCAGTAAGCCAGGATCACGCCACTACACTGCAGTCTGAGCAACAGAGCGACACCCTGTCTCAATGATAATAATAACAATAATAATAATAATGGAAACTCAGTATGGGTTGTATATGGGAAACTTGCTCAGTTTCTCTGAAAATCTAAAATTCTTCTGAAAATCAAAGTCTGCTTAAAAATTCACATGGGGTTTGCATTCTCCTCCATGACAAGGTTTTGCAGGTTATGATTACAGAGGCTGGAGAGGGTGCAGGTTATCCCGCCCCTCCCTGTCCCAGGGATTCCCTTCCCCAGGAGCTGTGTCTCCCCTGTGAGAGAGGGTGAGCTTCCATGACCCCAAGCCTCTTGCCCTCTGACTCCGGTATTCTTAGAAGCTGGGACCAGCACTGAGCCCAAATTCCCGAAGCGCTCAAATACTGGCTTTCTGTCCCTATGTGACCTGGAGCTTGTAGTTTAACTTCTCTCTGCCTCACTGTTTGACCTATAAAGCAGGGCAATCAAGGCATCCCGGGGGTGGCTATGAAGAGTGAATGAGATAGCAGACAACCCAGATGCCTACCGACAGGTGAAGGGACCAACACAGTGCGGTATAGGCGTATAAGGGAATGGAGTATGGACACAGCCTACAACACAGACAAACCTTGAAGACATTCCTCTAAGGGACATAGGCCAGGCATGGTGGCTCACACCTGTAATCCTAGCATTCTGGGAGGCCGAGGCGGGCAGATCACTTGAGGTCAGGAGTTGAGACCAGCCTGGCCAACATGGCAAAATCCCGCCTCTACTAAAAATACAAACATTAGCTGGGTGTGGTGGTAGGTACCTGTAATCCTGGATACTCGGGAGACTGAGGCAAGAGAGTTGCTGGAACCCGGGAGGTGGAGGTTGCAGTGAGCCGAGATTGTGCCACTGCACTTCAGCCTGGGCGACAGAGCGAGACTCTGTCGAAAGAAAGAAAGGGAGGAAGGAAGGAAGAAAGAAAGGGAAGGGAAGGGAAGGGAGGGGAGGGGAGGGGAGGGGAGGGAAGGGAGAGAGAAAGAAGAAAGAGAAAGAAAGGAAGAAAGAAAAAGAAGGAAAGAAAGAAAGAAAGAAAGAAAGAAAGAAAGAAAGAAAGAAAGAAAGAAAGAAAGAAAGAAAGAAAAGAGTGAACCCAGGAACGAAAGATCACACACACTGTATGACTCTATTTACATGAAATGTTCAGAGTAGGCAAATCCATAGAGACAGAAAGCACATTTATGGTTGCCAGGAGCTGGGAAAGGGCAGGATGGGGAATGACTGTTTATTGGATGTGGGGCTCTATTTTGGGGTGATGAGAATGTTCTGGAATTAAATTCATGGCTGCATAACACTGTGAACATACTAAATGCCCCTGAATTGTACACTTTAAAATGGTTAAAGTGGCAAGTTTTCACTAAGCAGTAAATTAAATTCTACTACAATTTTAAAAAGACTAAAAAATAATTTAAAAAAGATTAAATGAGATAACGCAAAAAAGCATTATCTCGAAAATACAGCTGATATTAGTATAATTCTTACTAAGTTTTAAGAGTCTAAGGTGCAGGATTCTAAGTTTAAAGGGATAGGCTCTTTTGGTTTTTTGGTTTAGTTATTTGGTTTTTTTTTTTAATCCATTATCCCCACCCTTGGGAGGCCCCCAGCACCCAGTCTGCACTAGAGGATGGGGCCCACCTCCCTTTTCTCTCCAGGCCCAGCCACTGACCACCAGTACCCTGGCCAGGGGCACCCTCGGTCATTGCCCTCCGTGGCCCAAGGAAGGGAACAGAAACAACAGCCAAGAAGACAATAGCCGCCGGGAAGTCCTCACATTTCTGGAGAAATAGAGCCCATTAATGAATGAAGTTCCTCCAGCCTGATCGGAGGACGGGGTGCTGGGGAGGCCTGGGCTAAAGGGCTCACCTCCAGCCCCCACCCTGGCAGGGCCGATGGTACATGCTCACTCAGTGAGGGGGCTCCAGAGGTCTGTGGGTACGAACCCAAGGGCTGGTGCCCAGGGGCAATCAGCTTATGTCTCTGAGCCTTGGGAAACAGTGAGGGTCAGCCCGGCTCCCCACGTGCTTCTGGGCAGCTTTGGTATTGGAGCAGGTGCAAACTCGGGACTAGGGCAGGACCCCCTGAGAGGCGACTGAGCAAGGCCATCCCGACTCATGTTTCCTTGGCCCTGCCCGGGGCACAGCATCCTGCCCACATCCCTGCAGCCCTGGCTCCTTCCTAGGGGCTCTGAGGAGGCAGCACTTGGTCATCTGGTCACAGTTGCTGCAGGGCAGTTCTTGGCCCCAGCTGTAGGTAAAGTACTGTATGTTGTAATTTTTTGAAAGATAACACGTTCACACAACTCAGAATTGAAATGCCACAGACATTCCCCCTGCTCCGCCCCTTTCCCCCGGATACCCAGTTTCTCCCGGAGGCAGCCAATGATCTCAGAGGCTGTATACCCCCCCAGAGTTATTTTATGCATATCAAGGAAAGTCTACATAGAGGACTGTTTCTGGGGTACCCAGATGCAGCGTCAAATGCCATGGAATACTACAGTGAGGACATTATCCTTTCAAGCTTTCAAATCAGAGCAAGGGAAAGGTCGATGCTAGAGTTTCTCTAGCACCCATGAAGCCCTCTCCCTTTTTCTACTGAGTTTTACTTTACAGGCAACAGCAGGCTTCAAGCTTGGGGTCATTGTCGGGCAACAGTATCTGGCAAGAATTCAATGTCTTTTTCTCATAGTCATTGTATTTTGGCCTCTTTCTATTTATGGCAACTGAGAGAGAAAGCTTATTCCTAGATATATGTATTTAAGTAAAAAATAAATGAATTCATGGAAACATATTAAGCAATTATCCAGATAACATAAGGGATGGCAAAAATGGTGCAGATGGTGGAGGGGAGACAAGTAGAAGTTGGGGTGCTCTTGTTGAATGTCTGGCTCTGAACTCTAGAGGAGGCCGCAGGGGCTGGGCAGGAAGGAGGTGAATCTCTGGGGCCAGGAAGACCCTGCTGCCCGGAAGAGCCTCATGTTCCGTGGGGGCTGGGCGGACATACATATACGGGCTCCAGGCTGAACGGCTCGGGCCACTTACACACCACTGCCTGATAACCATGCTGGCTGCCACAGTCCTGACCCTGGCCCTGCTGGGCAATGCCCATGCCTGCTCCAAAGGCACCTCGCACGAGGCAGGCATCGTGTGCCGCATCACCAAGCCTGCCCTCCTGGTGTGTAAGTATCAGTGCATCTGTCTGCCCTGCCAGGGGTCTTTTCATGGACACCCACTATGCCAGGAGCCTCCCTGGCCTGAAGCCAGCCCTGAAGCCGGCTGCCACACTAGCCCAGAGAGAGGAGTGCCCTGGGAGGGAGATGGGCTGAGTGGAGCTGTCATCACCCCCTCCTGACCTCGCCTTCAAGGTCAAGTTCTTTGGTGAGAAGGTCCTAGCTGCATTGCAAACAGCCAGGTATAGGGATTTGTGTTTGTCTGAGACCCAGAATCACTGGGGTTCGAGTTAGGGTTCAGATCTGAGCCAGGTTAGGGGGTTGAGTCAGGGGGTAAAGATTAGGAGGTTGGTGTATATTTGGTGTTGGGGGTCACTCTATGGCCAAAGTCAGGGGTTGCCATGAGCTCAGGTGACGGAGGCTCCATCACTGACTGTTGTGTGACTTTGGCCAGCTCCCCTGCCCTCTCTGGGCCTCAGTCTCTTGCTCAATATAATAAGGGTATAGGGAGGCTAAATGATACAATTTCTAAAATAGAGTATCGCCAAGTTCAAAAGCCAGAATTATAGACCCCCAGGACTACAGACAGTGTCACAGCATCGTCTGGGTGAGGCTAGGGTTAGTGTGCGGCTGGGCTCAGGGCTGCCCCATTTGCTAGGATCGTGGGGTTCCCATGTGTCAGGATCCAGAGGCTAGGGTATGATCAGGATCTCTAGCTGGGGTCAGGGTCAGAGCTCTCTGTGTCCCCTAGAATTGCCATCAACCTTAAACCCAGAGGGAGGCCCAGTCCAACCCCTCAGCTTTAAGACCTGCTGGGAGCCTCATCTCAGAGAGGCTGAGTCATGGCCAAGGCCAGTTGGGGGTGGGAGCAGGGGGCTTGGTGTGGGCCTGCAGCCCCTCATCCACTGCCCTCCCCTCTAGTGAACCACGAGACTGCCAAGGTGATCCAGACCGCCTTCCAGCGAGCCAGCTACCCAGATATCACGGGCGAGAAGGCCATGATGCTCCTTGGCCAAGTCAAGTATGGGTTGCACAAGTGAGTCGGGCCTCGGGTGTGACCAGGCTGGGGGTAGGGAGGCGGGAGGAACAGCCTGGGGCTTGCCCCCAGCCCACAGGGAGGAAAGGCAGCAGCTGGGGGACTCAGGTCTCTCCCCTTGATTTGGAACCAGAGCCTGACACCTTCCCTACCCCCACCCTCCATCCCCTGGTGCCCTGGGGGGATTTATTGGAGTGTATCAACCTCTCCAACAGCCCCTCTAAGAGTCAGGCTTCAAAGGGTCCTTTCCCACTGCCCTGGGAAGATGGAGGTCTTATTTCGGGGTGAATGGGGGGTAGGGTAGAAAAATCTCAACAAAATAAGTATTTTTTAAAAAAATGTATAAATGTTGTTTTCTTATAGTACAGACAGGTCTTGCTATGTTGGCCAGGTTGGTCTTGAACTCTTGGCTTAGCCAGTCCCCCACCCCAAGCCTAAAATTAGTATCTTGACTTTATTTGGGATGATGGTAACAGTCAAGGGTCGGTTGTGGGCCAGGTGCTTTTACAAACAACATCCTCACCTTTATCATATATTTTTTTCTTTCTTGTTTTTCATTTTTTGAGACAGAGTCTCCCTCTGTCACTTAGGCTGGAGTGCAGTGGCACAATCTCAGCTCGTTGCAACCTCCGTCTCTGGGTTCAAGGAATTTTCGTGCCTCAGCCTCCAGAGTAGCTGGAATTACAGGCACACGTCACCACATCCGCGTAATTTTTGTATTTTTAGTAGAGATGGGGTTTCATCATGTTGGCCAGACTGGTCTCCAACTCCTGACCTCAAGTGATCCGCCCACCTCAGTCTCCCGAAGTGCTGGGGTTACAGGCGTGAGCCACCACGCCTGGCCCTTTATCTATCTTAATCTTTATTTTATTTATTTATTTATTTATTTATTTATTTATTTATTTATTTATTTATTTATTGAGATGGAGTCTCTCACTGTCACCCAGGCTGGAGTGCAGTGGCACGATCTCAGCTCACTGCAACCTCCACCTCCCGGGTTCAAGACGTTCTCCTGCCTCAGCCTCCCTAGTAGCTGGGATTACAGGTGCCCACCACCACGCCCGGCTAATTTTTGTATTCTTAGTAGAGACGGGGTTTCACCATGTTGACCTGGTTGGTCTTAAACTCCTGACCTCAAGTGATCCACCCGCCTCGGCCTCCCAAAGTCCTGGGATTGCAGGCGTGAGCCACAGCGTCCGGCCTATCTTAATCTTTATCATATATTTTAGCCTCTTCTGTAAAAGAGGATAATGCCATCGCCCGGATGACCCTGCTTAACAAACACGGAAACAGGAGCCGATAGAGGTTTAGCAGCCTGGCGGAGCTCATGTGCAAACTCAGCTCAGTATCGGAAACTCAGCCACCTTCATGGCACCTCAGGCTGCCCTGGAGCCTGGGTCCCGGTCTGTGTGTCGGTCTGAGGCCCCAAGGGTGGGGCAGACATTGTTCAGGGACCTTGTCTTTGTCTTAAAGCCAATCTCCTCCTCCTCCCCGGCCCTGCTAAACACGCTCCCCAGGGGTGGTCTCTGCTACCCGCGCACATTGGGCCTTGAGTCTTGGTAAATGTTTCTGAGCCACCAGGGGGCGCCAGCGGTGCTGGATGCCACTTCGCCTTTTGCAGGAAAACTCCCGCCGCTAGCGGGTGCTGTGGGGCGTCCCAGGTCTCGCGCAGCCACGCCCTCTGTGTGACCTTGGGCTTCAGTTTAGGCTTCTGTAAAAGAGAATAATGGGCAAGGTCCAGTGGCTCATGCCTGTGATCCCAGCACTTTGGGAGGCCGAGGTAGGAGGATTACCTCAGCCAGGGTTCAAGACCACCTGTCTCTATAAAAAATTTAAAAATTAGCTGGGCATGGTGGTGCGTGCCTGCAGTCCCAGCTACTCAGGAGGCCAGGGGAGGTCAAGGCTGCGGTGAGCTATGATTGCATCACTGCATTCCAGCCTGGGTGACAGAGCAAGACTCTGTTGCTAAAAAATAAAAGAGGATAATGCTATCCTAGACCTATGTGTTGCAAGAGGTCAGACATGGCAAAAGCGTTGAGAAGTTAAAGAAATAGTATCCTTAATAAATCAGCAATAATTCAGTAAGACCAGACTGCCATAGACTAGATGTCATAGTCATTAATATATAACTGTTATCCCAAACGTATATGAGTGGGGTAGAAATAAAATATGATTGGCCATAACTATGATTGGTCATGATTAATGTTAGATGAAGTTGGATAATGGGTAAGATGAGAATTCTTCACACTATTCTCTCTAAAGCGAATGGAATAAAATAGAACAGAACAGACCGGGAAAGCCAGATATATGTGGATTCTCCTTGCTGGGCACAGTGTGTCATAGTGGCTTATAATATGGGATTTGGAGTGGGATGGACCCAGGATCAAATTCCCTTCTACTGAGGTTTTCTGAAGCCACATAAGCTGTCTGAGCCATTTCTGTCTCAGTTCAGTGGGTACAGCAATAGTGACTACCTCGTGGGTAGCTGTGAGGATTAAACCAGGAAATGTGTATAAACTCTAAGCACAGTGCCTGCCACACAGCATGTGTTTGGTACGTGATGGCCGCTTCTATTGTGTCATATTCCATGTGCTCAAGCCGGGCCCTGGGGGAGAGTTCAGCAAGGGTAGAGGGATATGAGAGTGAATGTGGCCCACTGGCCTCCCTGCCTGCAGTCTCTCCTCTCTGATCCTTGCTTCCTAAGGGTCTTCACTGAGCCCCACCTCTGACCAAGTCCCCGGCGGCACAGGCAGCACAGATCCTCTGCTGTACCTACACCAAGACCCCAGGGCCAACGCTTCTCCCATTGTGCAGCTCCACCTCTGCCCCCGGGGCCTAGCTGAGGCCTCCTCCAAGCTGAGCCACCTACTATCTTCCAAACTCCCACCCTCCATCTGGTGTCACCTCCTCCCAGAAGCCCTCTGTATCAGTTTCCTGTTTTCTGCCATAAAAAAAATCACTCCAAGTTTAGTGGCTTAACATGACACAAGTTTACCATTTTACAGTTTAAAAGGCTAGAAGTCCACCATGGCCCTCCCTGAGCTAAGATCAAGCTGTCAGCAGAACCAGATTCCTTCTGGGGGCTATAGGGGAGAATTAATTCCCTCGCTTTCTGCAGCTTCTAGAGGCTTCCCCCATTCCTTGGCTTCCCTCCATCTACTTTTATTTAGGGCGAGGGAAGCTTCCTGCTCTGACTTTCTCATTTATGGTATTCTCCCCTGCTTTCCAGCAGCTGTGATTGTCCCAAGTCCTGTCCTCTGGTTCTCTAGGCCAGAAAAACTATGATCTACCAGAGCTCAAGAACTTGAAAGGGCCTTTTCCCACTGTCCCTTCTCACAGTGAGAGCCGGAGCCCAGCTTCGTGCTAGAATCTGTGAAAATGGAGAAATGCACCCTGTGCTGTTCTCTTCCTCCACCCGGCATCTCCCCTGCAGCCCGGCTGGGTTTTTTTGTTTGTTTGTTTGTGGGTTTTTTTGTTTTTTTGTTTGTTTTTGAGACAGAGTTTTGCACTTGTCGCCCAGGCTGGAGTGCAATGGCACGATCTCGACTCACTGCAACTTCTGCCTCCTGGGTTCAAGCGATTCTCCTGCCTCAACCTCCCGAGCAGCTGGAACCACAAGCATATGCCACCACTCCCGGCTAATCTTTTTTTTTTTTTTTTATGCATTTTTAGTAGAGATGGGGTTTCACCATGCTGGCCAGGCTGGTCTCGAACTCCTGACCTCAGATGATCCACCTGCCTCGGCCTTCCAAAGTGCTGGGATTATAGGCGTGAGCCACGGCCTGGCCCAGTCTGACTGTTTTCACTTACTCTCTAATGTCTCAGGTAGTGTTTATTGTATTCTGTGCGGAGGTCAAGAATTTAGTCATCCAAGGAGGTTAGTGTATTAGGAGCTTACGCAGCTATTACCAGAAGAGACTCCACTCAAAAATTTGGTACGTGGCTGGGCGCAGTGGCTCAAACCTATAATCCCAGCACTTTGGGAGGCCGAGGCGGGCAGATCACCTGAGGTCAGGAGTTCAAGACCAGCCTGGCCAACATGGTGAAACCCTATCTCTATTAAAAGTACAAAATTAGCTGGGCATGATGGTGCATGCCCATAATCTCAGCTACTTGGGAGGCCAAGGCAGGAGAATCACTGAACCCAGGAGGTGGAGACTGCAGTGAGCTGAGATTGCCCGCTGCACTCCAGCCTGGGCAGCAAGAGCAAAATTCTGTCACACAAACAAACAAACAAACAAAAAAAACGGGTTGGGCATGGTGGCTCATGCCTGTAACCCCAACACTTTGGGAGGCTGAGGTGGGGGAATCACCTGAGGTCAGGAGTTCAAGACCAGCCTGGCAACATGGTGAAACCCCCTCTCTACTAAAAGTACAAAAATTAGCTGGATGTCGTGGCGGGAGCCTGTAATTTCAGCTACTAGGGAGGCTGAGGCAGGAGAATCACTTGAACCCAGGAGGCAGAGGTTGCAGTGAGCCGAGATCGTGCCACTGCACTCCAGCCTGAGCAACAGAGCCAGACTCAGTCTCAAAAAAAAAAAAAAAAACAATGGTATGAGCTTTAAATTTCTGTAGAACTGAAAGAGGATTGGAGATTGTAGTAGGGTCTAATTCTAAATTAGAGCATTTAGAATAATGTGGAGTCTGGTCAACATAGTGAGACCCCCCCAATCTGCACAAAAAAGACAAAAATTAGCCAGGCAGTGTTGGTGCATGCCTGTGGTCCCAGCTATTCCAGAGGCTGAGGCAGGAAGATCGTTGGAATTCGAGGCTGCAGTGAACTGTGATTACACAACTGCACTCTGGCCTGGGCAACAGAGAGCCACCCTATCTCAAACAAGAAAGAACAAACTAAAAAAAAAAAAAGAAGAAGAAGAATTTGGAGCAATCTAGTTGTTTCCTATACCAGAAGTCTTTGCCAATCTATTTTTTTTTAATTTTATTTTTAATTTTTGTGAGTACATAGTAGGAGTATATATTTATGGGGTACATGAGAGTACATAGTAGGAGTATATATTTATGGGGTACATGAGATGTTTTGATATAGACCTGCAACGTTTTGTCAATCTATTTTTTTTTTGGCGACAGTCTTGCTCTGTTGCCCAGGCTGGAGTGTAATGGCGCGATCTCAGCTCACTGCAACTTCCGCCTCGTGGGTTCAGGCTATTCTCCTGCCTTAGCCTCCAAACTAGCTGGGACTACAGACGCCCACCATCATGCCCGGTTAATTTTTTTGTATTTTTGTGGAGACGAGATTTCACCATGTTGGCCAGGCTGGTCATGAACTCCTGACCTCAGGTGATCTGCCCTCCTCGGCCTCCCAAAGTGCTAGGATTACAGGTGTGAGCCACCACGCTGGCCCACCAACCTATTTTTGATCTAACTTTACCTCTGGTGGTGTATTGATACTCTTCCGAATCAATTTTCACCCTTCTTCATATACCATTTACATTTCTAAGAATTTGTCCATTTCATTTCATCTAGTTAACCTCATTTGTTGACATACAATTGTTCGTAGTATTCTCTCATAATTCCTTTTATTTCTGTAAGACTGGTAATAATGGCCTTGCTTTTATTTCTGTTTTTAGTAATTTGAGTCTTCTTCTTTTTTTTTTTTTTTGCCAGTCTAGCTAAAGGTTTGTTGATTTTGTTGATCTTTTGGAAAAACCAGCTATTGTTTTCACCGATTGTTGTTTTTGTTCTATTATTTCATTCATAGGCACTAAGATCCTGATTACTTCCTTCCTTCTGCTAGCTTTGGGCTTAGTTTGCCCTTATTTTTCAAGTTCCATAAGGTGGAAAGTTTGATTATTGAGTTGAGATCTTTCTCTTTTTTAAAGATAGGCATTTCTAGATATAAATCTCCCTGTGAGCACGGTTCCCTCCATCTTCAGCACACCAGGGTTGACTCTCTCCGGGCGTTCTTCCCTGGTCACCTCTCCCCTTCCTCTCCTCTTCTGCCTCCTCTTCCACTTTTCGGTACCCTGTGATTGTATTGGGACCACCCAGATAACCTAGGATCATCTCCCCACCTACCCCAAGGTCCTTAACTTAACCATACTTTCATATGGGTAACACGAGTTGAGTGTGGTACCCAGGGTTTGACATGTTGGGTAACATATTTGCAGGTTCTGTGGATTAGGAGGACATTTTGGGGGCCATGATTCTATCTTCCACCCTCGCCTAGACAAAATTGGAGGCTCACTCCTTGGGCTCCCTGGATGACCCCCAACATCCTTCCTCACTTCCATTCCTTCCCAGCATCCAGATCAGCCACTTGTCCATCGCCAGCAGCCAGGTGGAGCTGGTGGAAGCCAAGTCCATTGATGTCTCCATTCAGAACGTGTCTGTGGTCTTCAAGGGGACCCTGAAGTATGGCTACACCACTGCCTGGTGGTAAGCATTCCTGTCAGCTGATGCCCCATGCCCTGGCCCTCTCTGGGCTGGAGGGCTGAATGAGGGTCCTGGGTCCTTGGCTCTTTCCAGGCTGGGTATTGATCAGTCCATTGACTTCGAGATCGACTCTGCCATTGACCTCCAGATCAACACACAGCTGAGTATGTGTCAAGCGTCCTCTGGGGAAGTGGGAGCTGGACTCCAGGGCTTGGCCTCAGCAGAGGGGGAGGTTGTGCAGGCAGAGGGTTCTGGGGCCACCAAAGGAGGCCCAGCCTGGGAAGTTTGCAGGGGTGGGGACCCCAGAGCTGGCCAAGCTCTTGACTGGCCTGGGCAGCATGTGGATACCATCTGATAGCGGAGGCTGCCCTGAGGTCATGTCGGGTCTCCCTGCAGCCTGTGACTCTGGTAGAGTGCGGACCGATGCCCCTGACTGCTACCTGTCTTTCCATAAGCTGCTCCTGCATCTCCAAGGGGAGCGAGAGTAAGTACACCACCCTGTGGCCCCCATTCCTGCTCGTGCCCATCCTGTTAGTGTGTCCACGGCTCCTTCCAGGCTCAACCCCACACAGGGCATGCTTGTGGGTGGCCAAACCTGAGGGCAGCAATACCTTCAGTGGGGTCACTTCCTACCCCCTCCCATCAATACACCCTCAAAGGCTGGAAACAACAATAACCAACAGCTAGTAACTAACAGCTATTAAGAACTTGCTGTGTGCAAAGCACTATTCCAAGCCCTTTTCATGAATTAATTGATTTTGTCCTTAAAACCAACCCTAGGATATAGATTCTGTTATCATCCCCTTTTTACATATGGGTAAACTGAGTCACAGAGAGGTTAGAAAGGAAAAGCTCATATCTACGGAGTGCATCCTGCATTCCAAGCACCACACTAACTCAGAGATAAAACTCTAGCCAAGCTAAGTAACTTGCTGAGGACACACAACTCGCCACTAAGGGATGGGAGTAGGATTTGAACCCAGCATTCTCTGACCCCAGAAGCTGAGTTCCTAGATACTTTACTCTCCTGCTTCCCAGGGTGGGGCTTTTTGTCTTGGCCAACACCCTCTGTCAAGGAGCTGTGGGTAACCCCATTGCACAGAGGAAGATAACAAGGTTTGGAGAGTCCCTAGTCATGTTACCAATGCCAAACCTGGAAGGCAGAAGGGAACTGGTGGGTGGGGTCTGGAGAGGAGCCCTCTATTCAGGCCATTTTCTGACTCTGGAGCAGACGGATACATGTATGAATTTGGACTCTAGACACGTTCTCGTGTGTGTGACAGGTGTGAGCGTCACAGGAGCTGGGCCCTCCCGAGGAATTCTGGGATGGTGCCACAGTTAATTCTTGGGTCTGAGGCTCCGTGTTCTCAGCTGCAAAATGGGAGTGATAATTCTTACTTCCTGAGCTACAAGAGTCAGGGCCAACAGAGCCATGAACGGTGCCTGGTACACACTAGGCGCTCCATGGATGCACAGGACTGGTCAGGGGCTCATTGTGGTGCTTGCTGCCTTCAGGCCTGGGTGGATCAAGCAGCTGTTCACAAATTTCATCTCCTTCACCCTGAAGCTGGTCCTGAAGGGACAGGTGAGTGAGGCTGGCTGACTCCCTGTGGTCCAGGGCCATGCCCAGGAGGCTGGATCCCTTTCCTCCCTGCCTTTCCCTGAGAAGGTGCCACTCCCACCTTCTCCATGTGGCCAGTCCCCTGTGCCGGTCCCCAGCACTGCCACCACCACGCAGCTGGAAGGAGGCACTGCCTCTGGCCTCCTTTCCTGCCTGGAAAGCACCTGCTCTGTCTGCCCCAGATCTGCAAAGAGATCAACGTCATCTCTAACATCATGGCCGATTTTGTCCAGACAAGGGCTGGTGAGTGCGTTTCTGTCTGCATGCCTCAGAAGACAGCAGTGGGAGCCAGAAAGCCACCTGCTGCACTATGTGGCCTTGGGACTGTCACTCTTCCTGTCTAGGTCCCATGGGCTCTATCTGGCTCTGACACTTGATGATTAGTTATGAGCATACTTTGGCAAATCTCTGCCCCTTTGGGCTGCAGCCTCACAAGCTGTGTGGCGTTGGGCAAGTCTATAGAACTCAGGACAAATGGGTGATTAAGTCCAAGAGGACTCCAAGATTCTCCTGGAAGTAGATTAGGAAAAAAGATAATTAGATTGCTCACATGGCTGGGCACTCATCCATGTACTGTACTCTCCTATGCAGTACAGAGCAGAGCTGGGTTTCAGCCCAAGTCTTGGACTCTGCTCTGAACCAACCTTCTAGAAGGGCTCTACCTACCCAGACAGACAGACTTGGGAAAAGAGAGAATGAAAAAGTGCCACACCCCTCCCCGCACACCCAGGTCCCACTTTACAGAGGGGAACACTGAGGCTGGAGGGTTGGGTAGCTGTGTGGATGCAGGGGAGCGGTGACTCAGGGCAATTCCCCCATCCTGAGGCCCTGCGTTGATCTTTTCCTCCTGCAGCCAGCATCCTTTCAGATGGAGACATTGGGGTGGACATTTCCCTGACAGGTGATCCCGTCATCACAGCCTCCTACCTGGAGTCCCATCACAAGGTAGGAGTTGTGGGAGGGTGGGGCAGGGCCCAGCTTCCCCAGGGGAGTTGGTCCTTTTTTGTGCTCTGACAACCCCGTCCCCCAGCTTCAACCTTATGGCAGCCAAGAGTCCTGGGGCGCTCCTCCTCATTCCTGATGCTCCTCCGCATTCCTGATGCTGCGAGGAGGGCAGGCCACAGCGACGTGCCCCTGACCCCTCTCTGCAGGCACCAGGGCTGCCCACTACAAGGATCCCAGCAAAGCACCAGCTCCTTCCTAGAGGGCTTATTCGGCTTCTGTCATCCTCTACAGCAGTGGATTGTGGCCCCCCCCCAGGGGGTACTGACAAAAGCTTTGGACCCTCTATTACTTAGGATATAGATTTCTGTAACAAAGAAATCCGAAATAATAGCTGCTTAAACACAATAAACAGTTATTTCCCTCTGTTGCGTTCTGAGCATCTGCAGCCCCGCGGGATCAGGAGGCTGCAGGGTGTCAGGCACGCAGGCCCCTTCCACGTGTTCTCAGCCAGCCCCAGGCATGACCTCATCCCAGGGTCCTGGCTGACTGGCCTGACCACCACACCCACTCTGCTCACAGCCCGTTGGCCTGAACCTGATCGCAGGACCCCACCCTAGCTGCAAGGGAAACTGAGGAATTTATTTCAGCTAAATATTGAGACCAGCTAAAAGTTAAGTGGTACAGAATGGAGGGAGAGATTGGAGAAGACTTTAGGGCGGACCCAGCCATCTTTGTAACAGAGCCTCTCCCTGGAAAACTGGACAGAAGGATCATTTCAGAGGTTCATGGCCACTCCTGAAGCCTGTTCACAACCCATGGGCTGGATGATCTAGTGGGGCGGGGGACTGGGCAGCAGCTTGTTTTCCTGATTTTGGCCTCCAGGAGCCGATGGTCAATGGACTGCCCTCTGCAGGGGCAGGGCTGGTGGTCAGCTGGGGCGGGGTGGGAGCTGGAGGTCCGTGGTCACCAGCTGCCCTGACTAATGTCGTTACTTGAATATAACCCTGTGAAGGCAGGAACCACGTCTGTCTGGTTCACTTCCCACGGTGGTTGAGACATAGTGGGCACTCCGGAAGTATTTGTTGAATGAGTGAAAGCCCCGCTGGGGGAAACTGGGTACAGCTCTTTCCTCAGTTTCCCCATCTGCACTCTGGGCTGAATGCTGGGGCTCCTCCCAATCTCCCTGAAGCTGGACCTGAGCCCAGTAGGGACACACAGGGTCCAGCCAGCGTCCTGGCTTCCTCCAGGGTCATTTCATCTACAAGAATGTCTCAGAGGACCTCCCCCTCCCCACCTTCTCGCCCACACTGCTGGGGGACTCCCGCATGCTGTACTTCTGGTTCTCTGAGCGAGTCTTCCACTCGCTGGCCAAGGTAGCTTTCCAGGATGGCCGCCTCATGCTCAGCCTGATGGGAGACGAGTTCAAGGTGAGTGGGTGGGGCTGGGCTGCTAGGGGATCCAGATGGCATGTGGTATGTGTGTGTGTGCACACGCATGGGGAGGAGGGAGGAAACTCGGAAACTTGGTGGTGGGCAAAAGAACTAAGCTGGAGCAATAGCAGTGAAGTCCAGACTGGGCACAGTGGCTCACACCTGTAATCCCAATCCTTTGGGAGGCTGAGATGTAGCAGGACGAACCGCAGACAAAACTCCTCAGACACTGAGTTAAAGAAGGAAAGAGTTTATTCAGCCGGGAGCATGGGTAAGACTCCTGTCTCAAGAGCGGAGCTCTCCGAGTGAGCAATTCCTGTCCCTTTTAAGGGCTCACAACTCTAAGGGGGTCTGCATGAGAGGGTCGTGATCTATTGAGCAAGTAGCAGGTACGTGACTGGGGGCTGCATGCACCGGTAATCAGAACGAAACAGAACAGGACAGGGATTTTTACAATGCTCTTTCATGCAATGTCTGGAATCTATAGATAACATAACTGGTTAGGTCAGGGGTCCATCTTTAACTACCAGGCTTAGGTCAGGTAGGCCCAGGCCTGGTTTCGGGTCTGGTTCCTTGGTTTCGGGTCTGGTCTCTAGGCGTTGGGCTACCTGCCTTTAGTTTCGCTTCTCTTTCTTTTTCTGAGTATAAAACAATATAAAACAATATGAGAGGGTCTGTCTCTCTTCTCTCAGAGACAGGAGGGTCCCTGGAGGCCAGGAGTTCAAGACCAGCCTGGGCAACATGGGGAGACCCCTGTCTCTACAAAAATAAAAATAAGTTTAAAAATCAGCTGTGCACGGCGGTGCATACCTATAGTCCCAACTACTCAGGTGGCTGAGGAGGGAGGATCACTTGAGCCCAAGAGGTTGAGGCTGCAGTGAGCTATGATGGCACCACTGCACTCCAGTGTGGGTGACAGAGTAGGACTCCATCTCAAGAAAAAAATACAGTCCAGCATTTATTGGAGTCAACTATGTGTTGCCAGATAGATAGATGGATAGATAGACAGAGTGATCAATAGATTTAGGTATAGATATAACTTGGCACGTAGTAACTGTGCATTAAATATAAGTTGATATTAGACTTACATTTATTGCAGTTATATTTGCTACACTTTGTTTTGTTGCACTCATCCTGTGAAATAAGTACTGTTACCTCTGTTTTGCAAACAAAAAAACCACAAAGCTCAGAGAAGGTAGGTGACTTACTGAAGATCACACAGCCTGTAAGAGGTGGCCCCAAAGCCTGTACTCTTCACCTATACTGTACTAGAAATGCTTAGGTAGTTTCCAGGCTGTGCTTGTCATTGAACTCATGAGGAAACTGAGGCCCACAGAGGGGAAGAGACTTGTGCGAGGTCACACAGCATGTGTGGGGCACAGTGGGGAGCAGAAGCCAGGCCTCCAGCCGGGACAGGGGTTCCCTGTTCCACACCCTGCCCAGAGCATCTCACATGTTGTCTGGGAGGTTGGGAGTTGCGTCTGAGGAGGGGTCCAGTCCTTGAAACTGCCCTTGGTCCCTGCGAAGTTTTCTTCTGAGGAGTGGACTTTACTCCACCCACCCTCCAACTTCCTCATTTCTTTTCAGGCAGTGCTGGAGACCTGGGGCTTCAACACCAACCAGGAAATCTTCCAAGAGGTAACTGCCCCCTGCCCCTGTGTGGGGTTTATCTCACGTACCCCAATCCTGCTCTGGCTTCAAGAGCCCCCACACAGCCAATAACACCACCAATGGCAACAATTATAACAGCGAACACAGCTCCTACTCGGTTGTTCGGCATGGAGTGAAGCACTTAGTGTGTGTGACTTCCTTCAGTGCTCACACCGACCCTATGAGTGGGGCGGTCAAACTGTCCCCATTTTACACACAGGGAAACTTAGTGAATGGCAAGGCTGGGTTTGAGCCCAGCTCTATTGCCCCCAAAGATAAGGCTCCATTCCCTGCTCCATTTCCCAGGCATAGGGACTTGTAGGGGGCTGGAACCCCAGGATCAACTCTGGGCTCAGAGGGCCCCAGCAATAAGTGACTGTTGATTACTCCTGATCCCAAAGCTGACTTCAGGCAAGCTCCTTGGAGGTCGCAGCCCCTTCTTGCTATGCCCAGTGGCAATGATGTTCATAATCCCACTCCTCAGTGCAGGGTTCCACTAAGAACCCATGATCTCCTACCTCAAATGGACCTCATGCTTTCTGAGTAAGCCTCCCTCAGCTTTCTGGTCACCTCACTCCCCCCACCCACTGCAATGACTTCTTCAGGCCTTCCCTGCCATCCTCAAATCTCCAGCTGCCCCCTCCTGTCTACCTTCCACTTCCCTCTCCACACACAACCTGCTTACCAGAGAGCTGAGCAGAGCCACCAACAGAACTTCCCCCCCACGTCGCTGCTCCCAGTCGCAACCCACTCACCCACACCTGCGCCTTCCTGCGGCCGTTCTCCTGTTCTAACAGAGGACGGTCCCTCTTCCCTTCTGAACTCAGGCCGTCCAGCCTTCCCCGGCTCTGTGATGCCTCTCTCCTTGCACATACACAACTCACAATATTGGGCAGGCCCCTGACCGGCTCTTCTCCCTTAGCCCCTTGTCTGAGTCCTGTTCCTTTGATGTCCTATTTCTAGTCTTTCCATTTCTCTCTGTCTCTACCTCCTCCCCAGGCTACCATTATCTCTAGTGGGGACCCATCTGTAGCTCCCGGTGGGTCTCCCTGTGTCCTGATACCCTCCAATAATCTGTTCCCCACAGCAGCCAGAACAATCTTTTCAAGAAATAAAACTGGTCATTCACCTGCCTGCTTAAAGCCGGTGTAGGATACAGGCTAAACGCTCTCCCATGGCCTCCAGGGCCCTGCATTTTCTCATCCTGTCTACTTCTTCATCTAGTTGTTTCCCACCCAGCGTAATTGTAACTGTTTAGTTGAAAGTTGACGAGGTCTTTTGTCAGCTCTAGAAATTTCTTTTCTTTTCTTTCTTTTTTTTTTTTTTAAGACAGAGTCTTGCTCTGTGGCCCAGGCTGGAGTGCAGTAGCACAATCTCAACTCACTGCAACCTCCACCTTCCGGGTTCAAGCAATTCTCCTGCCTCAGTGCTGAAATTACAGGTGTGAGCCACAGCACCCAGCCCATCAGCTCTGGAAATTTCTTCATCACTCTCTCTTCCATGATTGCCCCATCCCTATTTTCTCCATGCCTACCTCCTGGAATTTCCATGAGACACACGTTGGGCCATCTCATTCCATTTTCCGTGTCTCTTAGTTGCTCTGTCGTGTTTTCCATCTCTTTTATCTCTATCCTAAATTCTGGATAGTTTCTTCAAGTATCTTTTTAGTTCATTAATTCTTTTTACAGCTGTGTCTTATTTGTTTACTTACCCACTGAGATTTTCATTTTATTTTATTTAATTAATTAATTTATTTATTTTTGAGACAGAGTCTCGCTCTTGTTCCCCAGGCTGGAGTGCAGTGGCGCAATCTCAGCTCACTGCAACCTACGCCTCCTGTGTTCAAGCAATTCTCGTGCCTCAGCCTCCCGATTGGCTGGGGTTACAGGGGTGCACCACTGTGCCCAGCTCATTTTTTTGTATTTTTAGTAGAGACGGGGTTTCACCATGTTGGCCAGGCTGGTCTTGACCTCCTGACCTCAAATGATCCTCCTGCCTCAGCCTCCCAAAGTGCCGGGATTACAGGTGTGAGCTCCCGCACCCCGCCGGCCCTTTCTTTCTTTTGAGCTGAGCTATGTATTTAATGAAACCTTTTCTTGTGTATCCAGCGGTTCAGTGGTTTCTTGGGGCATGTGATCTCCTTGAGCCCAGTCCCACAGGCTGTAATCGAAGGTCCTCAGGCCACACTCCCCAGCCCCGCTGGCTGCCTGCGCATTCCTTATCTTGGCCATGTTCCTTCCACAGGGCTCTTGTCCACACTGTCCCCTCTGCCAGAATGGTTTGCCCTCCCCCATGCCATCTGCTCCTCCTCCTGCCACCTCAGGGAAGGCCTCTCCCACCTCCCTGACTAGGTCAGGTCCCCTCGTGCCACAGCCTGGTGTGTCTCTCCTTTAAATACTCCTCAGCTGCAGTTTTACGTTCTGTTCTGGGATGCCCTGGAAAATGCTGGGCTCCTGCAGATATGGCCCGCAGCTCCTGCGCTCTCTGCTCTATCCCCACCCCTAGCCCAGCTGCTACAGCAGCTTCCCTCGGAGGGTTACCATGCAGTAGGTCCTGTTCTAAGCTCTTTCCACAGATTATCTCATTCCATCCTCAGGACAACCCTATGAGGTAGGATCTATGATTATCCCCATTTTACAGATGAGGAAAGTGAGGCCCAGAAGGCTAAGTGAAGGCATCCTCAGCACATCCTGAGAGAGGAGTTCAGGGTAGGAATAGCTTCACTAGCACACAGATGAGAAACTGAGGCCCAGAGAGGACAAGAGTCCTAATTTGCACAGCCTGGGGCCTGGGCACTACCCCGAGCTACTTCCTTTTCCCCAGCCCTGGGGCCCGGAGCCAGCTTTGTCCTTCCCATCTCCGAGGGCATGGACTGCTGCTGCCCTGATGGGCCCCTGTCCTGGCCATGGGACCCCTGTCTTCCACAGGTTGTCGGCGGCTTCCCCAGCCAGGCCCAAGTCACCGTCCACTGCCTCAAGATGCCCAAGATCTCCTGCCAAAACAAGGGAGTCGTGGTCAATTCTTCAGTGATGGTGAAATTCCTCTTTCCACGCCCAGACCAGCAACATTCTGTAGCTTACACATTTGAAGAGGTGAGGCGGGTGCAGGGAGAGGTGGTGGTGGGGGAACCTGACTCACATATGGGCCGCAGAGGGCAGGGGCCTGGGGGTCTCTGAAGCCTCCAGATCCTTCTCACCACCTCTGCTGGCACTGGTTGTCTCTTGCACATGGCTCCTTACAATCAAAATCACATCATGCAAGTAACGAGGGGGTACACACGTGGTTTCCACAGCTTAGGTAATATTTTCTCTCTTTTCTTATTTTTATTTTTTTTAGAGACAGGGTCTCACTCTGTCATCCAGGCTGGAGTGCAGCCTCACACTCATAGCTCACTGCAGCCTCGAATCCTGGGCTCGAGTGATCCTCCCACCTCAGCCCTCCTGAGTAGCTGGGACCACAGACAAACACCACCACACCTGGCTAATTTAAAAAAAAAAATTTCCTTAGAGGCGGGGTCTTGTTATGTTGTCCAGGCTGTTCTCAAACTCCTGGCCTCAAGCAATTCTCCTGCCTTGGCCTCCTAAGTTGCTGGGGTTATAGGCATGAGCCACCATGCCAAGCATATGTTCTTTCATTCTTATTTTTATTTATTATTTATTTATTTACTTATTTATTTTTTTGACACAGAGTCTCACTGTGTTGCCCAGGCTGGAGTGCGGTGGCACAATCTCGGCTCACTACAACCTCTGCCTCCCAGGTTCCAGCGATTCTCATGCCTCAGCCTCCCAGGTAGCTGGGATTACAGGCATGCGCTACCACGCCTGACTAATTTTTTGTATTTTTAGTAGAGACAGGGTTTCGCTATGTGGGCCCAGCTGGTCTGAGACTCCTGGTTTCAAGTGATCTGCCCGCCTCAGCCTCCCAAAGTGCTGGGATTACAGGCATGAGCCACCACGCCCAGCCAATATTCTCCTCCTTAAGCTGAGCAGTGGACAATGGTGTTTATTACCCGAGTCCACAACCCTTTATTCATTAGGGCCACAAGGGTTTCCAAATTCAGAACTTCTGTGAATTTGTAAAAGTAGTATAGTGTATAGACACTGGATATATTGCAGAACACCCCAATAGGGTGTGGGGTGGCACCCCACAATCAATTCTCCTCAAATGCCTCAATTGGCATTTCTCCTCATATGAAGCAAGATAAATACCATACATAGCTTCCTAGACAATGGCCAGGTTTTGCCAACAAAACTTAAGAAAAAACTTGTAGTTTTCAGATCCTGTTTGATTTTATAATTACAAATAAGGAATTAAGAATCAGTATTATCTTTAATGCTCCTTAGAATATCTTCAATTTTTTTTTTTGAGACAGAGTCTCACTCTGTCACCCAGGCTGGAGTGCAGTGGTGCAATCTCGGCTCACTGCAACCTCCACCTTCCTGGTTCAAGCGATTCGCGTGCCTCAGCCTCCCCAGTAGCTAGCTGGCACTACAGGCGCGTGCCACCACGCCCAGCTAATTTTTAGTAGAGGCGGGGTTTCACCAGGTTGGCCAGGCCAGTTTCAAAGTCCTGACCTCCAGTGATCCACCTGCCTCAGCCTCCAAAAGTGCTGGGATTACAGGCATGAGCCACTGTGCTCGGCCAATATTTCTTAATACATTAAGAACTAAAGACAAGAGCGATACAATCACATTGTGGAAAATATAGAAAAATAGAAAGAAGAAAACCACTGTCACCATAACCCCCTTCTCCAGGGGCCTTCGATGTGGTGACTGGGTGCATTTCCTTCTGGTGCTTTGTTATTTTTAAATAAATTTTTTATCTTGGAGTAACTTTATATTTGAATAAAAGTTGCAAAATACAGAGTGTTCCCATATATCCCCCACCCACTTCCCGCTTTGTCCACATCTTACATAACCATGCTACAGTGTCATAGCGGAGAGATTAACATTGGTGCATGACTGTTAACCAAACTCTAAACTTTATTTGAATCTCCCCAGTTTTTCCACTGATGATACCCTTTTTCTTTTCCAAGATCTGATCCAGGATAGCACATTGTATTTAGCCGTTCTTTTTTGTTGTTGTTTGTTTGTTTGTTTGTCTGTTTGTTTCTGCCCAGGCTGGAGTGCAGCGGTGATCCTCCCACCTCAGCTTCTCGACTAGAGATGTGCACTACCACGTATTTTTTTGTAGAGACAGGGTTTTGCCACATTGCCCAAGCTGGTCTCAAATCCCTGGGCTCAAGTGATCCTCCCACCTTGGCCTCCCAAAGTGTTGGGATTATAGGCATGAGCCACTGTGCCCAGTTTATTTAGCCTTTTAAATATCTCTTTAATTTTTGTATTACTTTCCTTTTCATTTTTCTGTTTTATTCCTTTTGGCTTTCTCATGTGGATGTAGACATATTATTTTATTTACTTATTTTTTTGTTGTTAAGAATCTGAAACATTGAGCATTTGTTAAAAAAAAGAATTATTCGGCCGGGCACGGTGGCTCACGCCTGTAATCCCAGCACTTTGAGAGGCTGAGGTGGGTGGATCACATGGTCAGGAGTTCAAGACCAGCCTGGCCAATATGATGAAACCCCATCTCTACTAAAAATACAAAAATTAGCCGGACATGGTGGCACATGCCTGTAGTCCTAGCTACTTGGGAGGCTGAGGTAGGACAATCGCTTGAACCTGGGACGTGGAGGTTGCAGTGAGCTGAGATCGTGCCACTGCCCTCCAGCCTGGGCAACAGAGTGAGACTGTCTCAAAAACAAAAAAAGAAAAGAAAAGAAAAAGAAAGTGACTTCTCAGGTCCTAACCCCAAAGCCACAGGTGCTGGGGAACTTTCCTCGGTTTTCAGAAGAGCAGTAGCTAAGCCTGGTTCCCGTGTCATCCTTGCCTCTCCAGTCCCTCAGTGGAAAGAATCAGGGGCCCTGAGCTAGGAGGGTTGCTCTCTGCTTCGGGAAGAGCCCTGGCTCACAGCAAATTTGGTTTCTCTCCCCAGGATATCGTGACTACCGTCCAGGCCTCCTATTCTAAGAAAAAGCTCTTCTTAAGCCTCTTGGATTTCCAGTATGTGCTGCAGAGAAGAGAGGGGGCGGTCAACTCCGCAAACCTCTCCCTGGCCCCTTGGAGTCAGGCACAGGGCGGGGTGTTGGTGGGGAAATGTGGCCCCTTTCTTCTGGGGCATATGGGCTGACTGCAGGGAGATAAGACCCTGCCTAGATAGAATCTTCGTGGGGAAGAAGGGGCTCCAGGAAGAATGGAGGGCTGCCAGGAAGAAGGGCCTGGCAGGAGGAGAGCGCTGCCCGAGCAAAGGCCTGGCCGCCAGAATAGCAAATCTCAAGGGAATAGCAAATCTCAAGAGAGTGCCCCAAAGGGCCTGAGCTATGAGACAGAAGCACTGGCTGCTATTCTTAGAGTTTCTTTCCCAGGGGATGTTACAGGAGGGGGCCCAATGGAGGGTCAAATTATCATCGCTTTTTTATTTCAGGATTACACCAAAGACTGTTTCCAACTTGACTGAGGTAGGTAGTCTTGGATAGACTGGGGGAAATAAGTCCTGTGGGACCTCCTGCCTTAAAGAAAGCAGGCGGAGGGCCCTAAAGGAAATCAGGCAACCAGACCAAAAGAATGTGGACCAGGTGGTCCATGCTGTGTCTCTTGTGACCCTTCTTCTCCCTGCCATGTCTTTTGGGAGAGCCCTTGTGTTGCAAAAATGAGAGTGTGGTGGTATGGATTGGGGTTTAGGCAGAACAGTACTGGCCAAGCAGCGCCTCCCTGGACCTCAATTTTCCCTCTGTGGAATGGGCTAGCAATCCTGGGCCTCCCCAGGGCGAAGGAAAGACCACTCAGGAAGGGCACCGTCTGGGGCAGGAAAACGGAGTGGGTTGGATGTATTTTTTTCACGGATGGGCATGAGGATGAATGCTTGTCCAGGCCGTGCAGCATCTGCCTTGTGGGTCACTTCTGTGCTCCAGGGAGGACTCACCATGGGCATTTGATTGGCAGAGCAGCTCCGAGTCCGTCCAGAGCTTCCTGCAGTCAATGATCACCGCTGTGGGCATCCCTGAGGTCATGTCTCGTAAGTGTGGGCTGGAGGGGAAACTGGGTGCCGAGGCTGACAGAGCTTCCCATTTCACCTTGTGGGCCCTTCCCAGGCAGAGCTTCAGGTGCCCCTCTTCCCAGTCATTGATACTTAGCGGTCCTGGCCCCCTTTCCTCTCCCTGCTGGTGGTATTGCACGCCAATGACTCGGCCAGATGCCCAGACCCCTGTTCTTGGTTTACCTGCAGAATATTATCTTTGCCACCCCGCGGGATGGCTCAACCCACTTTCAGGATGCAGGTCTCCTAATAGCAACCTGATATAGCAGAAAGACCCCTGGGCTGGGAGTCTGAGACCTAGTTCTAGCCCAGCCCTGAACCTCAGTTTCCCTTTCTGTGAAACAAGAATGTTGAACTTGATGATTCCCAATTTTCCTTTTGACCTTGAAATGGTAGAATATTTATCCCTTTGAGGTGACTCGGATGGTAGACTCTCAGACACCATAGCACACGTGTGCTGGGGGTATTTTGGACCAGGCTCTGCTGAGAGCTTTCTGCTCCCTTCCCCACAGAGTATGTTGAGCTGACTGTGCTTTCCTTTTGAACATCTGCTTGTCCACATGGCTTAGGTAGGAGAGGAAGGGCGTGGAAACTGGAATGATCCTAGTGGGGTGTCTTGGCATCTCTTGGCCTCATTTTCCCCATCTGAACCATGAAGCTAAAACTAGGGGATGTGGATTAAATGGTTCCTACAACTACTTGCAAGGAGACCACTCTGTGTGGTTGCAAAGAACACTTTGAGAAGCTGTGTGGGAAAGTTTCCTTCCTAGCAGGGTAGACTCAGCTAACTGCAGGTCATGTGGCCATTGTGGATGGGTTGGGAGCTCAAGTTTGGGGCAGAAGGGAATTTTTTTTGGCAGCAGAGTGGCAAGCCCTGCCGCCAGGCAAACTCTGCTCTTCCTCATCCTCAGAAGCACTTGCTCACTCTGCTAAATCAAAGTGAAACGCATGTTTACAGAATATTGGTCCAAAAGGGTCTCAGCATCTCCCACTACCCAGGGTGGCAGAGCCTCGGGCCGGCCTTGCTCCCCAAGAAGGGCTGACTGGGGCTCTGTCCCCTGCCCCAGGGCTCGAGGTAGTGTTTACAGCCCTCATGAACAGCAAAGGCGTGAGCCTCTTCGACATCATCAACCCTGAGATTATCACTCGAGATGTGAGTACAAAGCCCCCCTCACCAGCCCCTGTTCCTGGGGAGAGAGGCCCAGACAGGATTCCTGGGGTGACTGGGGGCTGTTGGGGAGACAGACAGAGGGGCCTCTACCAGCTTGGCTCCCTCCTGGTGGCCTGGGAGTCAGCCCAGCTCGCCCCTCTCTCCTACTGCCCCTCCCTTCAGGGCTTCCTGCTGCTGCAGATGGACTTTGGCTTCCCTGAGCACCTGCTGGTGGATTTCCTCCAGAGCTTGAGCTAGAAGTCTCCAAGGAGGTCGGGATGGGGCTTGTAGCAGAAGGCAAGCACCAGGCTCACAGCTGGAACCCTGGTGTCTCCTCCAGCGTGGTGGAAGTTGGGTTAGGAGTACGGAGATGGAGATTGGCTCCCAACTCCTCCCTATCCTAAAGGCCCACTGGCATTAAAGTGCTGTATCCAAGAGCTGCGGAGTCCTTCTTCTGTGGCTGGCGGGTAGAGGGGGGGGGAAGGGATTGTCTCACCAGTGCCGTCCACCTCTTTTCAGCCCTTCCAAGGCAGCTGCCCCCAAACCCTCCAAGCTTCATGATGACTGGAGGAAGAAATCCAAACTTCTCTCCTTGGGACTCACGATCCTCCCTGATCAGGTCCCTGGATACCTTCCAAATTTATCCCCTTTAACCCAGCACTCTCCTTGTCTGACCAGCTTCCTGCAGGAGCTGTCACACACTCTCTGTCCCTTGGGGTTCCAGTGCTGGACAGAAAGTGAGGGAGGACCAGGGCTTCAGATCCTGAGGATGGTGGGAGGGGAAGGGGCCCTCAGAGGTCTGGTTTCTGGTAGAAATGGAGGAAGACAGAGCCTTTAAAAAGGCAAACGACTTTATTCCAGAAGATAAACTGCTCACGAGCCTGAGCTTATTTCCAGCTCACCTTTTTTTTTTTTTTTTTTTTTGAGACGGAGTCTCTCTGTGACCCAGGCTGGCATGCAGTGGCACAATCCCAGCTCACTGCAACCTCCACTTCCCAGGTTCAAGCAATTCTCCTGCCTCAGCCTCTCAAGTATTTAGGATTACAGGCACCCGCCACCACACCTAGCTAGTTTTTGTATTTTTAGTAGAGACGGGGTTTCACCATGTTGGCCAGGCTGGTCTCGAACTCCTGACCTGCAGTGATCCACCTGCCTCAACCCCCCAAAGTGCTCATGTTAAATATGGTGAACCCCAAGTTTTTCTTCAAAGAATCAGTATGTCTGTATGTTCAGCTCTCTTATTCTTTGATTCTCCATTTTAAAGTTTAACTTCCTGGTTCTCTTCGCCCCCTTGCTTCTAATTTCAGTAAACAACCTTTTCCATCAGTTTTATTCAGTAGTTCACACCTGTTCCCCTGGTCACTTGCTCCATCCTGACTCATCCCAGTCACCTGCTTTGACCTGAGTCACCCCTGGTCACCTGCTCTGATGTAAGTCACCTTTAGTTACCCGTTCCTAACTGTCCTTCCTGCCAAACTACTCACCTCGCCACTCTGGCTCATACCTCTGCTCTCTTTAAAATAGCCAATCGGAATTAGCTTAGACCGTGCGGTCCAACCTTAGCCAACAGGGGAACAACATAGCAGCAGGGATTACCTGGGTCAGGAATAAGAACCCCTTCCCCTCCCTTGTTCAACTGTGCTCTCACCATTGTTCCATCTATGAGGAGCACCCTTTCTACAGAAACTAAAAATTGCTTGCTGAGAAAATTAAATTTATGTTTGAGTGCTATTTCTTTGCAGCAGTGGAGAACAAGCATTCCTAACACTGGGATTGCAGGCATAAGCCACCGTGCCCAGCTTCCAGCTCACCTTCTTATGCTCAAATTGTGTCTTCTCCTTCCCACCCTCAAGCTACAATACAAAAAGTTTCTTCCAACCCTCTCAGTCTTGGAAGGTAGCAGGCTCTATTTTCTCTGGGTGTGTAAAGAAAATGCCTCTCCCACATTAGCCAATTGAGACGGGAGGAAGCGCAGCAAGATGCTGGCTAGTGCAAGGTCCCTGGGGTAGAAAGAATCATGATGGATTCAAGAACAGTCAAGAGGGCTGGTGTGGCCCTGAAAGCAAAGAACTAGGGGCGAGAGATGAGGCCCAACCAGCAGGCAGGGTCACATAACAAAGGTGATAAAAGGGCTTGGCCTTTATTTCAGCAGCCAGGAGAGACAGCCAGGAGGCTGGGGCTGTGGGGAGCTCAGAAGTAAGATGCCCCTTCCAGTCTGGGAATATGTGAGGGGAGGGCACCATCTTCTGAGCCAGGTTTCTTCCCAGCCCTTCCCTGCCCTTCCAAGTGCTTTCTGAGGCCTGTTTCTCTTCCTCCCCTGGGGCCTAATGCAAGTGTCTGACTCACTAAGCAGGAGCATCATGGGCGGGATGGGCGGCTCTTAAAGGGCCCTGGCAGAAGGAGTCAGTGTGATCTCGCCAGTCCCTGAGTCCAACGTGGGAATTCTGGGTCTTGGGATATTGGCCTTTGAGGTGGTGACACCAGTTAGGAGCCACATCCCACCCAAGAATGTCCCCTTGAAGAGGCTGGGAAGGCCCAAGGCCCCCACCTTGATGCTACAATGACAGAATCAGGATAACTTGGCAGCCCTAAGGCAGCTCTTCCTTGAATGGAAACTTTTATCTGCATGAGGGGCAGACAGAGAAGTCACTTGGAGTCTTAACCCTTGTAGACCCCAGCCTGACTGGGACTCCAGAAGGTCCCAGGGCTCTGCTCCAGAAAGAAGGGTAGGGGCATGCCCCCAGCTTCCTTCAGTGACCTTGGAGAGGTCTCCCCAGGGCTGAGCTGGGAGGCACTTCCATGTCACTGTCTCATCCAAGGAGTGCGATTAGCAGGAGATATGGAGTCCAGAGGGTGAGAGGCTTACCAAAATGGGACTGACCTCCGAGCCCCTCTCCCAAATTCCAGCCCCTCCATCCAAGCCTAGAAGCTCTGACCTAGTCCTATTGAAGTCCTCCTGGCCTGGGTGTGTGTTGGGGGGAATCCTGGCTCCAACCCAGTTAGGATCATTTCCATAAAGAAGGCCACACCTGCTGCTTCCTCTGGGGAAAAACAAGTGCTCCCCAAGGCCAGCACCAGGCAGAAGCACATCCTGCCACCTGGGCTGCTGACCTTGGGCAGGATGGGGCCCGGGTGTTTGGCAAATAGGAAGGGTAGAGGGAAGGCCTGGCTTTCAGACCTGGGTCTAATCCCAGCTCCCCCCAACCCCAGTTACTAATTCTGCCATCCTGGGGCCCCTCTGTGCCTCCATTTCCTCTTCTATTCAATGGGATGATAATACTTTCCATGTAGGATTCTGGCAAGGGCTGGGTTAGCCCAGAGGAGGAGCCCATGG